>NT_167246.2:3920721-4231330 GCF_000001405.40 Homo sapiens
GGCCATACTGCCCAAGGTAATTTATAGATTCAATGCCATCCCCATCCAGGTACCAATGACTTTCTTCACAGAATTGGAAAAAACTACTTTAAAGTTCATATGGAACCAAAAAAGAGCCCACATCGCCAAGTCAATCCTAAGCCAAAAGAACAAAGCTGGAGGCATCATGCTACGTGACTTCAAACTATACTACAAGGCTACAGTAACCAAAACAGCATGGTACTGGTACCAAAACAGAGATATAGATCAATGGAACAGAACAGAGCCCACAGAAATAACACCGCATGTCTAAAACTATCTGATCTTTGACAAACCTGAGAAAAACAAGCAATGGGGAAAGGATTCCCTGTTTAATAAATGGTGCTGGGGAAACTGGCTAGCCATATGTAGAAAGCTGAAACTGGATCCCTTCCTTACACCTTAAACAAAAAGTAATTCAAGATGGATTAAAGTCTTAAACGTTAGACCTAAAACCTTAAAAACCCTAGAAGAAAACATAGGCATTACCATTCAGGACATAGGCATGGACAAGGACTTCATGTCTAAAACACCAAAAGCAATGGCAACAAAAGCCAAAATTGACAAATGGGATCTAATTAAACTAAAGAGCTTCTGCACAGCAAAAGAAACTACCATCAGAATGAACAGGCAACCTACAAAATGGGAGAAAATTTTCGCGACTTACTCATCTGACAAAGGGCTAATATCCAGAATCTACAATGGACTGAAACAAATTTACAAGAAAAAAACAAACAACCCCATCAAAAACTGGGCAAAGGACATGAACAGACACTTCTCAAAAGAAGACATTTATGCAGCCAAAAAACACATGAAAAAATGCTCACCATCACTGGCCATCAGAGAAATGCAAATCAAAACCACAATGAGATACCATCTCACACCAGTTAGAATGGCATTCATTAAAAAGTCAGGAAACAACAAGTGCTGGAGAGGATGTGGAGAAATAGGAACACTTTTACACTGTTGGTGGGACTATAAACTAGTTCAACCATTGTGGAAGTCAGTGTGGCGATTCCTCAGGGATCTAGAACTAGAAATACCATTTGACCCAGCCATCCCATTACTGGGTATATACCCAAAGGACTATAAATCATGCTGCTATAAAGACACATGCACACGTATGTTTATTGCGGCACTATTCACAATAGCAAAGACTTGGAACCAACTCAAATGTCCAACAATGATAAACTGGATTAAGAAAATGTGGCACATATACACCATGGAATACTATGCAGCCATAAAAAATGATGAGTTCATGTCCTTTGTAGGGACACTGATGAAAATGGAAACCATCATTCTCAGTAAACTATCGCAAGGACAAAAAACGAAACACCGCATATTCTCACTCAGAGGTGGGAATTGAACTATGAGAACACATGGACACAGGAAGGGGAACCTCACACTCTGGGGACTGTTGTGGGGTGGGGGAAGGGGGGAGGGATAGCATTAGTAGACATACCTAATGCTAAATGATGAGTTAATGGGTGCAGCACACCAGCATGGCACATGTATACATATGTAACTAACCTGCACATTGTGCACATGTACCCTAAAACTTAAAGTGTAATAATAATAAAATAAGTTAAAAAAAACAAGTTTCTCTACCTATGGTTTAGAGAATCCAAACAGAATTTCTAGAATATTACAGCTAGAATAGGCGTAAGTGTTTTGTAACATATCTACAATTTTAATATAAAATAAGTAGGTGAGCAATAGAGAATGCCATCAAATGCAGACAAATATGGAATGAAAAAGCAAAAATAAATCCGTATCATTCTATGTAAGGAGACCATTTTTTAAAGTAGTTTTAAGTGTACAGAAAAATTGCAGAGAAAGTTCAGGGAGTTGCCACATCCCTTCTTCCCTAAAACAGCCCTCTGCTCATTTTCTCCTATTATTAACATCCTGCATCATTGAGGTACACTTGTTACAACGGATGAACCAACACTAATACTTATTGTTAAGTGAGGTCCATAGTTGAATTTGGGTTCATTCTTATTATACAGCTCTATGGGTTCTGATAAATACATAATGCCATATAACCACCGTTAAAGTGAAATGGTGGATAAAGTGAACACAAGAGTCACTTAGTTTTTGTTTAAATAAACATAGAAATGGATACTTCGGGTCTTTAAGCTTGGAACTCATATTTGTTTTATAGGAGTTCCTTTCCAAAAACAGATCCCCCAGGCCTCTCAAAAAGTATCAAAGAACTGGAACTCACCAGATCATCTCATCCAGACAATGACTCCCAGTTCCTCATTCATCATGATTGTTCCCTTACGGCCTCCCTAGTTCCTGTTTTCCCATACATAGTTACATTTCTTCCCTGCTAGATAAAGCCCTAGTCACTCACAGAGATGGATTTGACTCTGGTCTCCCATTTCCTCAGCTGCAGTACCTGATGAAAGATTAAAGCCTTCTTCTTTGGCAATACTCATTGTCATCTCAGTGATTGGCTTTCTCTGTGGCAAGCAGCAAGACCCAGACTGAAGCCCTTGTGTGCAACACCTAGACTGAACCTGGTGTTTCAGTAACAAAAGTATGTTATGCAGTAGTATCATTGAAGTAAATTTCTCCCAGGCTCCACCTACTCATCCATTCCTCTTCCTCCTGAACCCCTGGAAACCACTAGTTACTGTCTCTGTATTTTTGCCTTTTCCAGAATGATATAGTCGTAATCATAAGGGATATAGTTTTTTTTAGACAGGTTTCTTTCACTTAACAGTATGCATATAGGGGCCGGGCGCGGTGGCTCACACCTGTAATCCCAGCACTTTGGGAGCTTGAGGTGGGCGGATCATGCAGTCAGGAGTCCGAGACCAGCCTGGCCAATATGGTGAAACCCCATCTCTACTAAAAAATGCAAAAATTAGCCGGGTGTGGTGGTGCGTGCCTATAATCCCAGCTACTTGGGAGGCTGAGGCAGGAGAATTGCTGGAACCTGTGAGGCTGAAGTTGCAGTGAGCCGAGATCACGCCACTGCACTCCAGCCTGGGCCAGAGAGCTAGACTCCGTCTCAAAAAAAAAAAAAAAAAAAAGAAGAAGAAGAAGAAACAGTATGCATATAGGTTTTCTCTATGTCTGTTCATAGCTTGATGGCTTGTTTCTCTTTAATGTTGAATAATAACCCATGGTATGGATATACCAGAATTTGTTTATCCACTCACTTACTGGAGGATATCTTGGTTGCTTTGAATTTTTGGTAATTATAAATAAAGCTGCTAAAACATTCGTGTACACTTGTTTGTGTGGACAGAAGTTTTCCACTTATTTGGGTAAATACTTAGGATTGCAATTGCTGAATCTTATGGTAGAGTATGTTTAGCTTTGTAAGAAACAGCCAGAGTGTCTTCCAGATGAGGCAGGCGAATAGTGTCTGGAGGCAGGGAACCTAAGGCTGTTTCCCACTGACTTCCGAAGATAACTAAGTTGAAAGGAAATCCATAACTTTCAATGCCTGAGTAACAAAAAGACCAGAGACTACTCCCTTTGCCAATCCCCACCTTTTCTGAGCTGCAGATCGGAAATTGAAAGTACCTCTGATTGGTTGTCTTTTGCAACCAATCAGATACTTGCATAGGAGTGTAACTTCGTAATTTTATTTTGGCCTCTGATTGGTTGTGGAATTGTTTTCCTCAAAATTTCTACAGGCTAGTGATAAAAATCTAAGAAAAGCAAAATAAAATAAGCACAAACCAAGGGGGCATAACTAATAAATAACTAGTTTCTTTTTCTATGGTTTAAAGAAAGCCAACTCTTGAGAGTGTTGCAAATAGAGTAAGCGTTTAACATATCTACCATTTTAATATAAAATAAATAGACGAACAATAGAGAATACACTCAAACTCAGACAAGTATGGAATGAAAAGCAAAAGTAAATCCATATCCTCTCATGTAGCAAGACCATTTTTAAAGTAGTTTTAAGTGTACAAAAATATTTTAATGAAAGTTTAGTAAGTTCCCACATACATCCTTCCCTGAAACAGCCCTCTGTTCACTTTCTCCTATTATTAACATCCTGCATTAGTGTGGCACCCTTGTTACAATTAATGAACCAATGCTGATACTTATTGTTAACTGAGTTTCATAGTTATATTAGGGTTCACTTTTACACAGTTGTGTGGGTTCTGATTAAAGTGAAACCAACCCAATAGTCCCATGGATAGTTATTTGGATAAACGTAGAAATTGACCCTTCTTCTCTTAAAACTTGAAATTTACATTAGTTTTTTTTTTTTGAGACGGAGTCTCACTCTGTCACCCAGGCTGGAATTCAGTGGTGGGATCTCAGCTCACTGCAACCTCCACCTTCTGGGTTCAAGTGATTCTCCTGCCTCAGCCTCCCAAGTAGCTGGTATTACAGGCACCTGCCACCACTCCCAGCTAATTTTTTAAAAATTATTTTTAGTAGAGACGGGGTTTCACCATCTTGGCCAGGCTAGCCTCGAACTCCTGCCCTGTGATCCACCCACCTCGGCCTCCCAAAGTGCTGGGATTACAGGCATGAGCCACCGCACCCGGCCAAAATTTACATTACTTTTATCTGACGTCCTTGCTCAAGAAAGGATGCTCAGGTCTCTCAAAAATTATCAAATAACTGGAACTCACCAGATCATCACATCTCATCACATCCAGACCATGAGATGCCATTCTCCATCATTCATTATGATTGTTTTCTTATTGTCCAGAGTTATTGTTTTCCCATACACAGTAACATTCCTTCTTTGCTACATAAACCCCTAATTTTAGTCAGTCAGGGAGATGGATTTGAGACTGGTCTCCTATGTACTCAGCTGCAGTGCCTGATTACAGATTAAAGCCTTTTTCCTCGGCAATACTTGTCATCTCAGTCATTGGCTCTGTGTGTGGCCCTGGCAGGAGCTAGACAAATCCATGGTGTTTCAGTAACGAAAACATCATACAAAGTAGTTTCCCTAACTATGCCTGAGGCTCAACCTACTCACCCATCCCTCCTCCTCCTGAACCCATGGTCTCTTTACTCTCTGTATTTTTGCCTTTTCCACAGTGTCATATAGTTGTAATTATACAGTATAGAGCTTTTTCAGGCTGGCTCCTTCCACTTAGCAATATCCCTATAGGTTTCCTCCATGTGTTTTCATAACTTGATAGCTTATTTCTCTTTACTGTTGAATAGTATGCCACAGTATGGATATATCACAATTTCTGTATACATTCAACTATTGAGGACACCTTGTGGGCTTCCAATTTTTGGCAATTATGAATAAAACTGTTGTAAACATCCATACACAAGAATTTGTGTGGACATAAGTTTTCCAGTCATTTGGGTAAATAGTCAGAGGTGCCATTGCTGGATTATATGGTAACAGTATGTTTAGCTTTGTAAGAAACAGCCAGAGTGTCTTCCAAAGTGGCTGTACTGTTTTGCATTCCCACCATCAATGAATCTGAGTTCTCGTTGTTCTACATCTTTGCCAGCATTTGGTTTTGTAAGAGTTTTGGATTTCAGCCAGAAAAAAAAATGTTTTTTAAAACTTTTTACTTGGAAATTATTACAGATTCACAGGAAATTGCAAAGACACAACAGAGAAAATATGCATACCCTTTCACCCAGTTATTCCAAATGTTTATATCTTAAGTAGCTCTAGCACAGTAGCAAAACCAGGAAACTGACTTTGGTAGAATGTGTGTCCATAGTTCTATGCCTGTGTCTTATCATATTTGCAGATTTACGTAACCACCACGCAATCTAGGACTATTCCATCCCACAGAGATCTCCCCTCATGCTGCCCTTCAGAGTCACACCCTACTCCCTACACACCATCACCCTGACAACTAACAACCACTAATCTCTTCTCCACCAATCTCTATAATAGTGTCATTTTGAAAATGTTACATAAACAGAATCACACAGTATGTGACTTTTGTGACTGGCATTATCCCCTCAGTATAATGTCCTTGAGATCCATCCAAGTTGTTGCATGTATTAACAATTTGTTCCTTTTAATTTTTTTATTTTATTTATTTATTTATTTATTTTTGAGATGGAGTCTTGCTGTGTCGCCCAGGCTGGAGCGCAGTGGTGCGATCTCGGCTCCCTGCAAGCTCCACCTGCCGGGTTCACGCCATTCTCCTGCCTCAGCCTCCCGAGTAGCTGGGACTACAGGCGCCTGCCACCACACTTGGCTAATTTTTTGTATTTTTAGTAGAGACAGGGTTTCACCGTGTTAGCCAGGATGGTCTGGATCTCCTGATCTCATGATCCACCCGCCTCAGCCTCCCAAAGTGCTGGGATTACAGGCGTGCACCACTGTGCCTGGCCCAATTTGCTCTGTTTTATTGCTAAGGAAATACTCCATTAGATGGAGGTACTGCAGTTTATTTGCCTGTTGAGGGACATTTTGGCTGTTTGTATTTTAGGGCTATTACAAATAAAGCTGTTGTGTGCATTTGTGTGAGATTTTTGTGTGAACATGTGTTTTTATTTCTCTGATATAAATATTGCAGAGTGTAACTCTTGGCTCATGTGGCAAATATTTGTCTAGTTCTTCAAGACACCAGTTTTTAGAGGCAGTGTGCCATTTTACATTCTCACCATCAGTGTATGAGAAATCCAGTTTTTCTGCATTCTCACCAGCATTTACCATTGTCAATTTTTTTTTTAATTTTAGCTGTAGTAAGAGGTGTGTAGTGCTATTACATCATGTTCTTTTGCATTTCCCTGATGGCTAGTGATTTGCATGTCATTCATTGTGCTTATTTGCCATGTATATATATCCTCTTTGATAAAATGTCTTTTCATATATTTTGCCCATTATGTAATTAAATTTTATAGTCTGCAGTCTACTATAGATTTTATAGTAGAGCTTTTATAGTTGATTATAGATTCTAGATAATTTATTCTTGGTAATATATGTGGTTTTAAATATTTTCTCCATATCTCTAGTTTACTTTTCATTTCTTAGCAGGATACCTTACAGAACAAAAGTTTTAAATTTTGATAAAGCCCTATTTATTGATTTTGTTTGTTTTTTGTTTTTTACACATAGTGCTTTTGGTGTCATGTCTAAGAACTCAAAACTCAGACACTGGGCCCTAGCTCCTGAGGATTTTCTCATATGTTTTCTTCTAAATGTTTTACATGTAGACATGATTTAATTGGGGTAAATGTTTTCATAAGGTGTGAGAATTTGTTGTTTCTTTTTTGCTTCTTTTTCCCTTTGCTTCCTTTTTTTTTTTTTTTTTTTGAGACAGTCTTGCTCTGTCGCCCAGACTGGAATGCAGTGGCATGATCGTGGCTCACTGCAACCTCCACCTCCTGGGGTCAAGCGATTCTCCTGCCTCAGCCTCCTGAGTAGCTGGGATTATAGGCGTGCCACCACGCCTGGCTAATTTTTTTGTATTTTTAGTAGAGATGGGGGTTTCACCATGTTGGTCAGACTGATCTCGAACTCCTGACCTCGTCGTGATCCACCCGCCTCAGCCTTCCAAAGTGCTGGGATTACAGGCGTGAGCCACCGCGCCTGGCCTGCTTCTATTTGTTTTTGCTTGGTTTTGTTTTTGTCTATGGATTTCCACTTTCTCCTGGATCATTGTTTGAAAAGACTGTAGACTATATTACCTCCATTGAATTATTTTGTATCTCTGTCAAAATGAGTTGGCATAGGTGTATTTCTGGATTCTTTATACTGCTCCACTAATCTATGTCTATCCCTGTGCTAATGTCAATCAGTATTGATTACTATAGCTATAAAACTTCTGAAATTTGGTTACAGTTATTTCTCCATCTCTTTTTTCCTATGAAATTTGTTTTACCTATACTAGTTCCCCTGCTTCTCCTATACGTTTTAGAATAACTTTGTCTACAACTATTACAAATCTTGCTGGAATTAGAGAGAAATTGTGTTAAAGCTGGATATCAAATTGGGGAGGAATGACATCTTTACTATATTTAGTTTTCTAGTTATGAACACAGTAAATCTCTCCATTTCTTTAGATTTTGTATTTCTTTATCAGTATTTCAGTATATGTATTGTGTACATGTTCTGTTGATATACTTATGAGGTTTTTTGAGTGAAGATAATTCATGTTGTATTTTTAACATTTGTTTTGATTTCTTCAATACTATATATTCAAATAAAATTGATTTTTTGGTTGATTTTGAATTCAGTGACCTTTGTGAATTTCCTCATTAGCTGAAGCAAAAGAGGAAAAGCGTTCAGTCTTCTATTATTAAGTATAATTTAGCTGCAACATTTTTTTTTTTTGAGGCAGAGTCTTGCTCTGTCACCCAGGCTGGAGTGCAGTGGTGCGATCTCTGCTCACTGCAAGCTCCGCCTCCCGGGTTCACACCATTCTTCTCCCTCAGCCTCCCGATTAGCTGGGACTACAGGTGCACACCACCACGCCTGGCTAATTTTTTGTATTTTTAGTAGAGACGGGGTTTCACTGTGTTAGCCAGGATCGTCTTGATCTCCTGACCTTGTGATCCGCCCGCCTCGGCCTCCCAAAGTGCTGGTATTACAGGCGTGAGCCACCGCACCTGGCTAGTGGCAACATTTTTGTAGAAGTTATTTATCAAGTTGAGGAGGTCCTCCTCTATTCCTACTACTTTGAGGGTTGTTTTTTTTTTTATCATAAATGAATGTTGAATTATGTCAAAGGCCTTTTCTACATCAGTTGATAGAATCATGCGATGTTTCTTCTTCAACTTGTTAATATAAGGATGACATGGATTGATTTCAAACATTAAACCACACTTGCATCCCTAGAATAAACGCTACTTGGCATAGTTTACATATTTTTTCAGTTTGGCTGATTTTTATTTGCTAACATTCAGTTAAGGAATTTGGCATCTATAGTCATGCAGGTATATTGCTTTTTACTTCTCTTTTGTTGTACTATTTTTGTGTGCTTTTGATTTTAGGAAATGCTGGTCTCATAACGTTAAGTTGGGATGTGTTCCCTTCTCTTCTGTTTTCTGGAGGAAATTTTGCAGACTTGTGGTAATTCTACTGAAATGTTTGGTAGATTTTTCCTGTGAAACTATTCTGGCCTAGAGATTTCTCCTTCAGCAGTCTTTATATTATAAGTTCAATTCCTTTTATAATTGTAGAGCTTTTCAATTTATCTATTTCTTATTGAATTAGTTGTAATAGTGTGTAGTTTTCAAGGATTTTTTCCCATTTCACCTGATTGTTTTTGGTGTATTCCTTTAGTGTACTATTGATGTCGAAGGATCTGTAGTGGTATAACATGTTTCAATCCCAATATTGGTGTTTTTTTCTCCTTTTTTCCTTTTAGTTTGTCCCAGAAATTTGTCAGTTCTATTTATCTTTTCAAAGAACAAACTTTTTCTTTCACTGGTTTCCTGTTTTTTTTTTTTTTTTTGTTTTGTGTTGTTTTTGTTTTTATTTTTGTTTTGAGATGGAGTTTTGCTCTTGTTGCCGAGGCTGAAGTGCAATGGCACGATCTTGGCTCACTGCAACCTCCACCTCCTAGATTCAAGCAATTTTCCTGCCTCAGCCTCCTGAGTAGCTAAGATTACAGGAATGTGCCACCAGGCCTGGCTAATTTTGTATTTTGAGTAGAGACGGGGTTTCTCCATGTTGGTCTGGCTGGTCTCAAACTCCCGACCTCAGGTGATCTGTCCACCTCAGCCTCTCAAAGTGTTGGGATTACAGGTGTGAGCCACTGAGTTCTGCCCGTATATTCTCTCTCTCTCTCTCTCTTTTTTTTTTTAACTGCTTCTTGCTTTAGGTTATTTTGGACTACTTTTGTAAATTCTTAAGTTGGGAACTGAGATTATTGGTTTCTGACCTTTTCTTTTTTTCAGTGTATACATTTTGTACTATAAATAGTTTTTCAAAGCACTGCTTAGCTATGTGCCAAACATTTTGATACACTGTATTTTCATTTTTACTTAGATGAATGCATTTTTTTATTTTCCTGAAGACCTCTTTTTTGATGTACGGGTAATTTAAAAGTATGTTATTACATTTCCATGTGTTTGGAGTTGTACCAATTTTCTTCATGTTATTGATTTCTGGTTCAACTCCATTGTTTCCAGAGAACACAGTCTGTATGATTTCAATTCTTTCACATTTGTTGAGGTTCCTATTATGGCTATTATGGTCTAGAGTCTAGGGTATGATCTATGTTGGTAAATATTCCATGGAGAGTTAAAAAATGTGTATTCTGCTGTTTGGTGTGGTGGTCTGCAAATGTCCATTAGATCTTACTGTTGGATAGTTTTGTTGGGTTTCATTATCTTGCTGAGTTTTTGTACAGTTATTTTATTAATTTTTCAGAGATGATTTATGAAGTCTTAAAGTTTAACTGTGTATTTGTCTATTTCTCCTTCCAGTTCTGACCATTTTTGCTCTACTTACTTGTAACCAGTTTTTTGGTGCACACACATTCGGAGCTGAAATGTCTTCTTTCTGAAATAACACTTTTATCATTATGTAGTCTTTCCATTTGTCTCTCAGAATATTCTCTGCTCTGTGCATTTTATGTTATCTGATATTATAGCCATTTCTGCTTTCTTTGACAAGTGTTTGTATGGTTTATTTTTTTCCATTTTTCTATTTCAGCCTTCCACTCTTGTAGTATTTGCAGTAAGTTTCTTACAGGTAGCATATCGATGGGTCATTATTTTTCACTCTGACATTTGTCTGTTTAGACAATTTACATGTAATGCAATTATTAATATGTGAGCTCTTACGACTGCCATCTGCTTTTTGTTTTCTTTGTTTTTTGCTTCTCTGTTTTCTTTTCCTGTTTTTCAATGTGTTCCTTAAGCAATTTTTAGAATTCCTTTTTTTAATCAACCGTTTTTTGGTGTATCTCACTGTATAGTTTTTGTGGTTTATATTAACATAACTTATCATAGTCTACTGGTGCTGACATTTTACCAATTTGACTAAAGTGTAGAAACTTTATGTCCTTTATATCCCTTTCCACTTCTGCATCTATAATATGTATTTTTTATTTTCTCTACTTACATCAAAAACCACATCTGACAATGTTGTAATTTTTGCCTCAACCATCAAATTAATTTAGAAAACTGAATTTCCTGAGTGACAGGAGTATCTTTGTTGTTTATAGTAGACCCCTGGGACCACACCTGATAGTTTGTGCTAACCTGATGGTCTGGTGGGACCAGGCAGGCACATCCAGTAGTCTTGGGGTGGGATATGGCCACAGTAGAAAGACCAACCATGTGATTAGGAAGTTGAAGCTTTGGGTCACATGATATTGCCTCACCTCTGGAGAGAGGGACCTGAAGATTTCATTCAATCACACTGACAATGAATCAATCAATCATGTTTGTATAGGGAAGCCTCAATAAAACTATAGACACTAAAGGTTTGGTGAGAGTTGCAGGTAGGCAATACCTCTAGTGCATTGTCATATGTAATGCCAGAAGGGTAACATTTCTGAGGATGTGGAAAATTCCTATTTAGAACCCTCCCAGACTCTTCCCTATAGGTTTTTTTTTCCTTGAGTGCTTTTAATGCACAATTTCTCTATAATAAACATAAATCTGAGTATAAAAAAAACTGAAGAAGAGAAGTCTGTTGTATCTACCCATATTTTTACTCATTCTATTGTTTTTTCCTGATTGTCCAAGTTTTCCTCCATTATCATTTCTATTCCAGTTCAAGCACTTCCTTTAGCCTATGATTTAGGATAAGTCAGCTAGCATCAAATTTCTTGATTTTCCTGCCTCTAAGAATGTCATGGCCGGGCAAGGCGGCTCACGTTTGTAATCCCAGCACCTTGGGAGGCCAAGACAGGTGATCCCCTGAGCTCAGGAGTTCGAGACCAGCCTGGGCAACACGGCAAAACTCTGTCTCTGCCAAAAATACAAAAAAATTAGCCAGGCGTGGTGGTGTGTGTCTGTAATCCCAGCTACTGAAGAGGCTGAGGTGTGAGGATCCCAGGAGCCTGGGAGGCAGAGGCTGCAGTGAGCTGTGGTTGCACCACTGCCCTCCAGCCTGAATGACACAACACTCCATCTAAAAAAGAAAAAGAAAAAGAAAAAAAAGAGTGTCATGATAGAACCTTGATTTTATAACAATATTTTAAATGGATATACATTCTAGGTTAACATTACTTTCAGCCATTAAATTATCTTCTGCCACTTCTGTCTGGTCTGCATGATTTCTAATGAGCAATCTACTGTCATTTAATTTATTTTTTCCTATGCATGAGATGTCATTTCTCTCTTGCTGCTTTCTAGATTTTTTGGCGTAAATTTGTTTGGATTTGGCCAGGTGCACTGGCTCACGCCTGTAATCTCAGCACTTTGGGAGGCCAAGGCGGGCAGATCAGGAGGCCAGAAGATCGAGACCATCCTGGCCAACATGGTGAAACCCCGTCTGTACTAAAAAATACAGGCATGGTGGTGGGCGCCTGTAGTCCCAGCTACCTGGGAGGCTGAGGCAGGAGAATGGCATGAACCCAGGAGGTGGAGCTTGCAGTGAGTGGAGATCACGCCACTGCACTCCAGCCTGGGCGACAGTGCGAGACTCGTCTCAAAAAAAAAAAAATTTCTTTGGATTTATCTTCGTTTGGGTTTGAACAGATTCTTGAATTTTTACATTTAAGTCTTTGTCCGAATTTGGAAAATAGTCAATCTTCCTTCAAACAGTCTTTGGGCATCACCCATCTGTCATCTTTCTTTAAGACTCCAGTGACACAAATTTCATATTTTTTGTTATAATGTTACAGATTTATCAGCATGAAATAATACTAAATATTATGAACAACTTTACAAAAAGAAATTTGCATGTAATGAATAAGTTACTCAAAATGTACAATGTACTCAAGCTGACAACATAAAATAAGAAGAGTTCCACATCACATAGAGAAAGTAAGCCCATTCCATAAAGCTTTCCTAAGACAAAACCTCAGGTTCATTTAGCTTCAGTAACTATTTTAAAATATTTAAGGAATAAACAACACTAACTTTATGCAAACTTCAAACATATTTGCAAAGAGGAAAAACACTTGCAGTTACATTTGATGAGATCTGCATAAACTTTACTTCAAGACATGAAAAGAACTGTACAACAAATAGGAATTTATAGACCAGTAACTCTTATGAGCCAAGTTCTTAAGAAAATGTTAGCCAACTGAATTCAGTGATATAAAAGATGGCTGCTACATCATGACCAAGTGGAGTTTATTCCAGAAATGCAGGTGGTTTGAGCATTTGAGAATCAATTAGTGGAGAAGTAAAGGAGTTAGGCAATGAAAATAGCAAGAAAAATATATAAAAGAGATAATAATTGCATCCAGGTAAAATGGTCATTATTTACTCTTGACATAATCAGGTACTTAGAAAATAAAAATAATAGACAAACTCATAGATTTAAGAAGTAAGTTTATATAATGTTGCTGGATACAAAGTCAGTATACATTAAAGCAATTATTGATATAGTTCGGATGTTTGTCCCCTCCAAATCCCATGTTGAAATGTAACCTCCAATATTGGAGGTGAGGCCTGTTGAGAGGTAGTTTGGTCGGGGGGCGGATCCTTCATCATTGGCTTAGTGCCATCCTAGCTGAAATGAGTAAGTTTTGATTCAGTTCACATGAGATCTAGTTGTTTAAAGGAGTGTGACTCTTCCCCACTTTTTCTGTACTCCTGCTCTCACCATGTGATACCCGGGCTCCCCTTTCCTTCCCCCATGATTGTTAGCTTCCTGAGGCCCTCACCAGAAGCAATTGCCAGCACCACACCTCCTGTACAGCCTGCAGAACCCTGAGCCAGTTAAACCTCTTTCTTTATGAATTACCCAGCCTCAGGTATTTCTTTTTAGCAATGTCAGAATGAACACAATTATGTTCTACCATAAACAAATAGAAAACAAAATCAAGAGTAATTTTATCAATTTTCTCACCTTTTTTTTTCTACTTTTTTAAAGTTAAATTTGCTTTTGTTGATTCTTAAGTTAGGTCTTTGATTTTTACATATTTATCCTTTTATGATACAACATTGAAAACTAAATATTTTTCTCTAAGGACTGCCTTGGTTGCATCTGAAAAATTTTTAAAATTCATTTTAGTATTATTTTCTTTAAAATTACTTTCTAATTTTCCTTCTGATTTTCTCTTTGACAAGTCATAGTTTATTTAGAAATATATTATTTTACTTCCAAAAATTTGGGCAATGTTCTGCATCTTACTAATTTGTAATTTGATAAGACTGTGTTCATAGAATACACTCTGTATGATTTTATTCTTGTAAAAGTAATTGAGACTAGTTTTATAGTCATAGTATTTGCTCTATTTTATGAATAATATTTGTGCAATGTAAAAAATAAATATTCTGTAGTTATCAGATATTGTCAATATATATGTCAATTGTAAATGCCAACTAAGTCAAGATGGTTGAAAGTACTGTTCCTATATTGATTTACTTCCTGATCTTTGTTTACATGAATCTACAGAGATGTTTGCTGTCTTCTATCTACCTCCCTAGTTCCCACACCACCAGGATGAAGTCAGAAAAAGTTCTAGAAGGAGAATCAGCTGGCAGGGTAAAATAGATAGATATTACTCAGGGGGTCTCCATAGATTGTAATGCATCACACAGGCCCACAGGGCTATTTACAACTCAGCTGGTTTGTCCTTACTCCCTCACAATCTCCCTTTCTCAGCCAGGCTTTATCTTCCACCCATGTTAAGATTCAGTAGGTGGACCAAGGAATAAAAGTGGACATTTGTCCTTGCTCACCTAAGTGGAATTTGTTCATCTCTGGAATTTGGAATTTTTATACTTTTGGATCTATGGTTCATTAAAATATTAAAAATAAGATTATTTTCCAGTTTATCCATTTAGTTTAGTCTATATTTTTTGTTCTTATATTACTAGTGACAATTCTTGTAATTTTCTACCTCCTAACTGGCATTATGGTTAATGGTTTTTTCCCAATCCATGTTGATAATCCCACATAACTTACTTAAAGCCCTGTATATTATTCTTTTTTATGGCTATACCACAATTTACCTTTCTTCTATCTAAATATTAAGAATGTTTCTTTTCCCTCCTGTTACATTTTTTATATGTAATCATGGACATACAAAGTAAAATGTATCGAGACTGTAAAAGTCTGGAGTGGAAATACTGTATTATCCAAACTACTCACGGGGTTACACCTATATATGCTCACAGTGCTCCACACAGCACCGAATGTCATCCTGCAATGTGCTGTCACTTCACATACTGCATAGTTTTTATGATGTACAAAAGTTTTCTAATCAAGACAAATTTTCAGTTTTTCTTTTAGAATTTGGAAATGTTTTTGTTATTCCGTACTGTGGCTCAAAAAACGACAAATTTTATGTCTCCTTGGGCTCATGTAAGATTGTTTAAGACAGATGTTTAGAATGGTTTTTTTGTTGTTTTCATCTAGCATGTAACAATTGCATTTTGAGTTTTAATAGATATTCCCGCACTGCCATCCACTCGCAATCCTAATAATATGAGAGAATCTATTCCCATAGAATCTTCTAAATCCTTGATTTTAAAACAAACTATTTTACTTGCCAATTTTGCTGGGGGAGAAATAGTTTATTACATTGCTGTTTGAATTTGAATTTTTCCGTTCATTGGTGAGTTTCAGCAAATATTTATATTTATTGACTACTGGAAGATTCTCTTCTATAGTCGGTCTTTATCCTTTGCCCAATTTTCTGTGGCATTTCCATTAATTTATTGATTGATTAGTTAACAATTTTTTTTTTTTTTTGACGGAGTCTCGCTCTGTCGCCCAGGCTGGAGGTTCAGTGGCGCGATCTGGGCTCACTGCAAACTCCGCCTCCCGGGTTCACGCCATTCTCCTGCTTCAGCCTCTCGAATAGCTGGGACTATAGGCGCCCGCCACCATGCCCGGCTAATTTTTTTTGTATTTTTAGTAGAGACGGGGATTTCACCGTGTTAGCCAGGATGGTCTCGATCTCCTGACTTCGTGATCAGCCCACCTCGGCCTCCTAAAGTGCTGGGATTACAGGCGTGAGCCTCCGCGCCTGGCCAACAATTTTTTTTATAAGAAAGTTATCCCATTGTCTGCCTTATATGATCAAAATTTTTCCTGAGCTTCATATACTTCTTTTAATTTTGTGATTTTCTTCATGCAAAGAAATCAGTAATTTTCTTTTCTGTCTTTCTTTCTTTCTTTTTTTTTGAGGCGGAGTCTCTCTCTGTCGCCCAGGCTGGAGTGCAGTGGTAGGATCTCAGCTCACTGCAAACTCCGCCTCCCGGATTCACGCCATTCTCCTGCCTCAGCCTCCCGAATAGCTGGGACTACAGGCGCCTGCCACCACGCCTGGCTAACTTTTTGTGTTTTTAGTAGGGATGGGGTTTCACCTTGTTAGTCAGGATGGTCTCGATCTCCTGACGTCGTGATCCGCCCACCTCGGTCTCCCAAAGTGCAGGGATTACAGGCGTGAGCCACCGCAGCCGGCCAGAAATCAGTAATTTTCTTGCAATATTGTTTTCATTTGTGTCTTCTGGATTTTGTCTTGCTTACCAACTCTTATTTTTTAAAAAAGAATTATTTTGGCCGGGAATGGTGGCTCACGCCTGTAATCCCAGCACTTTGGGAGGCTGAGGTGGGCAGATCACCTGAGGTCAAGAGTTGAGACCAGCCTGGCCAACATGGTGAAACCCTGTCTCTACTAAAAATACAAAAAATTAGCCAGGCGTGGTGGTGCATGCCTGTAGTCCCAGCTACTTGGGAGACTGAGGCAGGAGAATAGCTTGGACTCAAGAGATAGAGGTTGCAGTTAGCTGAAATTGACCACTGTACTTTACCCTGGACGACAGAGCAAGACTCTGTCTCACAAAAAAAAAAAAAAAAAAAAAAAAAAAAAAGAATTATTTTACCAGGTTTACTAAAGCAGAATTTACATACTACAAAATTCACTCGTATTTGTAAAATTTAGTGATTTTAGTAAATTAATAGATTTTTACAATTATCACAACAATCCAGTTTTATTTCTGTCATGTCCAAAATTTTTCTATTTATAGTTAATTCCCATTGATACCTCAAGCCCTAGGCACCCAATGATCTGCTTTTTGTGTCTATAAATTTACCTCTTCTAGATATTTCAAGTAAATGAAATCATCCCACATGTGAACTTTTGTGTCCAGTTTCCTTCACTTAGTTAACACTATTGAAGTTCATCAGTTTTGTAGTATATATCATCATTTTGTTTCTTTTCTCTTCATTTCTTTTTATTTTCTCTTTTTTCATTTGTGTAAATTTATAAGGTACAAGTGTAGTTTTGTTACCTGCATAGACTGCATAGATTGCATAATGGTGACATCAGTGTTTCTACAGTATCCATCACCCAAATCACATGCATTGTACCCATTAAGTAATCTCTCATCATCTAGAGTGCAAGGGTTGAAACTTGCCTTGGGAAAACTACCCTCATGTTCATGGTATCTCCTCTGCCAGACAAGTCTAGTTTTGTTCCCTTTTATTGTTGAATGATATTGCCTTGCATGGGTGTAGTTGATCCATTTTGTTTGTCCATTTACTAGTTGAAGGATATTTGGATTGTTTTCAGTTTGGGCCAACTACAGCTAAGGCTTTTCTGAACACTTGAGCACATATCTTTGTGAGGACATACGTTTTTATGTCTCTTATGTAGATTCCAAGGACTGAAATTGGGGGGTCATATGGCAAACATATGTTAAACTTTTAAAGAAATTGACAAATTTCCAGGTATTTGTAAAATCATACACTCCCACCAGCAACACATAAGGGTTTAGAAAGTCTATTCGTCTTCAAACATAATTATAATGATGATGATAGCATTAGAAATTACAACTGTCTTATTAATTTTATATTTTCTCTTTATGTTTCCATTTTTATTCATCTGGGATCCATTTAGTGAACGAAATGAGTTTGGAATACAACTTACCCAAAACTGAAACTGAATCTCAACTCCTTCTGTTTCTAATTCTAGACTCTGTTTTACTAGCATATAATAAAAAAGAGAATCAGTAAAAATGCATTTTTTTTTCTTTTGAGATGGAATCTCACTCTGTCGCCCAGGCTGGAGTGCAGTGGCACTGTCTCAGCTCACTGCAAGCTCTGCCTCCTGGGTTCACGCCATTCTCCTGCCTCAGCCTCCTGAGTAGCTGGGACTACAGGCACCCGCCACCACGCCCGGCTAATTCTCTTCTGTATTTTTAGTACAGATGGGGTTTCACCGTGTTAGCCAGGATGGTCTCAATCTCCTGACCTCGTGATCCGCCCACCTTGGCCTCCCAAAGTGCTGGGACCACACTCATGAGCCACCGCACCCGGCGACAATGCATTTTTAAAAATAAATACATAGTATGTTTTAGTACCTTATAGAGTTAGTCATTCCTTATTCTACTTTTTTTCAAAAATTTCCCTGGAAAATGTATTTACCTCATAAAATAACACGTCAGCATACTTGAGTTCTAAAAACAATCCTTTTTTGCTTGCTTTTTTTTGTTTTATGGTAATTGAGTAAATGGCTGACATTTAATTCTCTCTCTCTCTCTCTATATATGTGTGTGTGTATATATATATATATATGTGTATATATATATATACATATATATATGTGTATATATATATACATATATATATATATGTATATACATATATATATATATGTATATATATATATATATATATATATATATATATGTAGACCCCAAACCCTGAATTGAGGATGCCTATCAGGAATCTTTAGGCCTTCATGTGGAATTTAACTACAAATACTAACAACCTAAGAGTACCACAATCTATCATTTCCCTACCCTGAAATCAATTTCTCCTACTCCATCCACCATTTCTTTAATTTTTTTTTTTTCAGGGGGAGAAAATTAAACCTCATTTATTTTTAAAACCAAACCACTAGGAAAATATATCACAGCCTGGACCAGTAAATTGAAAGGCTATGTTATCATTTCAAGTAATAAGTTGGTGAAAATACAATGAGGTTGCTATCAAAACAATAAGTTGCCATGCCAGGGCAGGAACAGTGCAAGTTGTGAAAGCCCCAGGCAAAATGGTATTTGGTAATCAGGGCTGCCTCTCCTTTGCTCTAAGGGAGTCAGCTCATACTAGCCCAAATTACTTACTTTTTCTCCCTTGAATTTCCTTTTGCCAGGGGTTTGTCTCAATTGAGCTCTGTTAATTCAGAAGGCTAAGTAGGCAATGCTAGATTTAGGCTTTTATTCCATCTGTTCTATAAAAACCAGATTTTTCCAAAGCTAGTACTTCATAACTCTGTTATAATCAAGTAGCCAACTGCTCCTCTTTTACTGTTCATTCCTAGATACTAGTATATATCACAATTAAAACCCCCTTCTCGGCCTGCGCCCTCGCTGGAGGAACGCAAGCAGGAGGCGGGGGAGTCGGAGGAGGTGGCGGCGCTGGAGCTCCTCCCGGGGACCAGCGACCCGGGGAGCGAGCACGTCGCTCCGCACCGCTCTTCCTCCAACCGCTGAGCCGTCCCTTCTCGCCATGTCCCAGAGCAGGCACCGCCGAGGCCCTGCCGCTGGAGCGCGAGGACAGTGGGACCTTCAGTTTGGGGAAGATGATAACAGCTAAGCCAGGGAAAACACCGATTCAGGTATTACACGAATACGGCATGAAGACCAAGAACATCCCAGTTTATGAATGTGAAAGATCTGGTGTGCAAATACACGTGCCCACTTTCACCTTCAGAGTAACCGTTGGTGACATAACCTGCACAGGTGAAGGTACAAGTAAGAAGCTGGCGAAACATAGAGCTGCAGAGGCTGCCATAAACATTTTGAAAGCCAATGCAAGTACTTGCTTTGCAGTTCCTGACCCCTTAATGCCTGACCCTTCCAAGCAACCAAAGAACCAGCTTAATCTTATTGGTTCATTACAGGAATTGGCTATTCATCATGGCTGGAGACTTCCTGAATATACCCTTTCCCAGGAGGGAGGACCTGCTCATAAGAGAGAATATACTACAATTTGCAGGCTAGAGTCATTTATGGAAACTGGAAAGGGGGCATCAAAAAAGCAAGCCAAAAGGAACGCTGCTGAGAAATTTCTTGCCAAATTTAGTAATATTTCTCCAGAGAACCACATTTCTTTAACAAATGTAGTAGGACATTCTTTAGGATGTACTTGGCATTCCTTGAGGAATTCTCCTGGTGAAAAGATCAACTTATTGAAAAGAAGCCTCCTTAGTATTCCAAATACAGATTACATCCAGCTGCTTAGTGAAATTGCCAAGGAACAAGGTTTTAATATAACATATTTGGATATAGATGAACTGAGCGCCAATGGACAATATCAATGTCTTGCTGAACTGTCCACCAGCCCCATCACAGTCTGTCATGGCTCCGGTATCTCCTGTGGCAATGCACAAAGTGATGCAGCTCACAATGCTTTGCAGTATTTAAAGATAATAGCAGAAAGAAAGTAAATTTGGAGCAACTTAAAAAATCTTTCAGTAGCACATAAAAAGTTCCCCTCTGGCCCCTTCCCAAGTAAAACTTTTACCGTAGTGTTTATGTCTTGTTTCTAAATCTCTTCATAGATTCCATCAACACTCCAGATTTAATTATCTCCTCATAGTTGTTGTTAAGCTCTTTTTAATGGCTTCAACTTTGTATCAGTATATTGTATTTATAAACTTTGTACCACAAGAGAGAGTGTAGCACCCATTTTACAGTGCCATGCACATCAGAGAAAGAAACTGCATGTTTGTTGTTGATGATGAAATAAAAATGCTAGCAACAGTCTTTCTTACTGGTGCTTAAGCTCTTCTTTGCACAAAGCTTTATAAAGGGAATTCAAAGGAAGCCCTTTAGAATTAGAGTCTTGAGGGACAGCACTAACAGGCCTTTATTAAGTATGATTGTTAAATTTCAGGGAACATGATTGGTCTGCTGTGTATTTGAATTCATGTAACAAAGAACTGTTACGATGGGATTCTGCTCATTTTATTAAAAAGCTACTGACTTGACTGTCGTCCTGTTCTTGTTAGCCATTGTTGTGAATAAGATTTTAATGTTGATAATTCTGTTATTTACATATCTCTAATTTACTTTGAAATTCAAAGGTGAAAATAAAAAACGATGGCCTAAGTAAAATTTACAAACATAAAAAAAAACAAACCCTTCTCTCCAAGAGGAAAGTGTTACTGCAAGATTGTCCTGTCATTTTGCTACACACAGCCTCGGGGCCCATCAGCCAGTAATTCTGCTTCCCATAATTAATGTGTCATCCTCTCATGTTTTTGCATGGTCTCCAGGCTCAAAGATGCAGCATGTAATAATTTTAAGAAATGTACATCCACATCTTGATGACTAGAAATGGGGATCCACAAGGAATCTTTCGAAGTTCTTATCCAAACTAGTCTCCCTCCCAATTCCACATCTTAAAATCAACTTGTATGCCCTTGAACAAATTACACAAAACGAGGAAAACAAAGACCCAGAAAACTTTTTTCCCCAAGTTAGTGCCCTCATGAATTTTGTTTCACAGCTTATGGAAAATGGTAAGGTGACACTTCTGGTAAATAGGATGTTGGCAACAAAGAGAAAATATCTCTCCTCAAACTCCACCAACTCTAACCTGCCAGCCCGTTGTTACCTGTGTAGTAAGAAGAGTCTGGTACCTTGGAGAGCTCTGGCTTGTTACAGGAGAGATCCTTACTGCCAGGATAAACACTGGCCACAGGAAATATAAGTTCTAAAACTCTCCTGTAATATTTCTGATCCAATTTAGCACGACTTCTTTTCATTTTATTTTTTAGAACTGAAACATTTTAAAAGAACCAGTGTCCAGAGGCAAGTGACATATGCCTTACACGTGTGGCCATCCTTAATTTCTTCATTCATAAACTTTGCTTAAAAGTCTAAAATTCCCAATTCTGTATAAAAAATATATTCTTGCCCTCAGTCCTGATGGCCACTGGCAAAGACTTTTATTTCCCAATGGATGAGAGAGGCTCCTTTGTCTTCTTGGTCATAGTTGGGATGAGATGCATGTGGTCATCCACACACTTGGTCACACAGCCAACCAGCTGCTGCTTCACCTGAAGCTCCTTACTCCCAGCATCTATTGAATCTTTGGCTTTGTGGTTGCAATGCATGGTGCACCGGGCCAGGCAGTCCTGGAACTCACTGGTGACCAAAGCCTGGGATTAAGCCAGAGGAACATGGCAGAGTTTGACACACTGGTGCACCTGCTGCATGGAAGCCTGCCTGTCCTCACGACAGCTGGCACTTCAACGGAACATGAGACCCTGCATATTCCGGATGTTCTCTCTCTCCAGATTGTTCAGGATGGAGTCCACTGCCTCCTGCACCAGCAGCGGCTGCAGCTCCTCCATGGCGACCCCGTGCTGCCCCGTGTGGCGCCGCCCATTTCTTTATTTTTAAAAATATATGATTTTGCTCTTTTTCTTCCCATGTGCATTAGGCCCACTTTACAAAGGTTGAATCCTGGCTTGTCTGAGCCCGTGTGATCCCACGGTCATTCCAATGTGTGAGAAAGTGGGTACTGGGAATACCCTGGAAAGTGTAGTTGCTCCTCATAAAGGCACACAGGAAAGAGTAGTATCCTTTTCCTGCCTTTGGGACTTGTTGTGAAAGAATAAGAAACCTAAAGCTGCTGCGAGGGTCCTCCCACCATCTCAGCTGATGTGCTGCTTGTGATGGAGAGATGAGCTATGAAGTTCCAGGATCACTGGTGATGCCACCGGCCTGCTGAGTTGAGCAAACCTGGAGATGCCCAGCCTTGGATCTGTTAGGCTATGCGGATAATGGGTTAAAGAAAAATAAAGGTCGGATTTCCTGCTATTCGCAGCAGAAGTCATCTTCATTGAAATATTCATCCCACACATTTTAGTTCTACCTTATAATTCCACACAACAAGTCTGAAGACAAATCATTTCCTCAGCTTAGGGAACAAAGCCTATATGTTGCAACGCTGGAATCAAACAGAGCAGACATAATTATCAGGTTAATATATTCCTATAGGATTTACATTCTTATAGGATTTATATGTACTTGTACTGCTATGTATGTACAAGTAACATATAATTAAAAATAAAATGCATAAAACAAGCATTGAATTTGAAAACAAAATAACAGTTGTTTCTGACAGTAGAGAAATTATGCTCAAATGATTATTACTTTGAAATAAACTTTTGAATTGATTATGTACTTTTAGATTTCACATGTTTGATACTGACTCAGATAGAACACAATGGAGAACCCTCCATCTTCTAAATTTGTCTTTCTCTGAAATGTGTAAAAGTCCTTTGATAATACTATATTACTTACATCTCTGGAATGAAAAATTATGTACTAATTTACAGTTATGGATACACAATACTGTAGATGGGGTTAAGAAAGAGTCTGATGAACTTGCTAGCTGGTTTCTCATCTCATGTTGGCCAAGTTTGTTTTAGTTGTTATAGTCTGTTCTCAGGTTTTATGCATTGGCTTTTTAAACATTAGGTTTACTTTTTTAATTGACAAGTAAAAATTGTATATTTATGTTGTGCAGCATGAAGTTTTGATACATGCCTATGTGGAATGTCTAAATCAAGCTATTTAACATATACACTACCTCACATACTCATGACAGCTACATGAAAACCATCATTCTTTTGGGAAATAATTTTCTTTCTTTCTTTTTTTTTGTCCTTGGAGCCAAATGGTCCAGATGATTTTTTGTTTGTTTGTTTGTTTTGTTTTTTTGGCTTTTTTTTGAGACAGACTCTCACTCTCACCAGAGTGGAGTGCAGTGGCACGATCTCGGCTCACTGTAACCTCCACCTCCCAGGTTCAAGTGATTCTCCTGCCTCAGCCTCCAAGTAGCTTGGACTACAGGTGCATGCCACCACGGCCAACTAATTTTTATATTTTTAGTAGAGACGGGGTTTCACCATATTGGCCAGGATGGTATTGATCTATTGACCTCGTGATCTGCCCGCCTCGGCCTCCCAAAATGCTGGGATTACAGGCATGAGCCACAGTGCCTGGCTGGACTAGATGATTTTTATCTCCGTGTGTGAGAAACATTTAATAATGTAATGTGTTTGTGGCACAAGGGGGGAGTACAGATGCACGGGAGGCAGGAAGGGTTAGGTAAAGGGGAGCACAAAAGTTGAAGATGAGGTGCTGCCATCAATGCCAGGACTTCAGGCCAAAGGCAGGGGCTGAGGAAGCCACAAGGGAGGACATTTTCTGCAGAGTTGCTGAACCAGTAGCAACCAGATCCTGAGAAAGCCCTCTCTTATGGAAGAATAACAGCCAGGTGGGAAAGCTTTTCATCCTGCAAAGCTGGGGAAGAAGGTTCCTCCTTGAATGTGGTCATCTTCACTTCAGCTCAGGAGTCCTGCAAAAGACAGAGGAGAGTGTTGTTTTCAGATCTGGCTCTACTAACAGCTTCCTTTCCCCTCTTTCAAGGACTCAGATGAGAGCACTGCAGGAAGAAGAAAAACAAGTTCTTAAGTCTCCATGAGCCAGTACTCCTGCAGAGCACAGGCCTTTTCTATGTGGAGAGAAGGAGTTTTGGTGTAAATTGCCTGATCAGAAATTTGAATCCAAAGTCTTTTTATTATTTCTGTCTCATGCCTTATCACCTCCACTATCATTCTAGGGAAATTGAATCTGTTTCTAAAAGAGAATTAAAAGGTATTACCTGTTGGTTGAAGTCCAGAGTGTCCTAGGAGAAAGAGGAAAAGATATACACTTAAAAGATATGGAAGCAAATCTGTCCTCCAACACAATGTCCCAGCCCCAGATCTCCCACCTGAGATTTGTCTAACACCACAACCCACAGCAACCAGGGCAGAGAGGAGCAGAAACAGACCATGTGACCCATGAAGCGTGATATGTCTGTCACACGATCCAGTGTAATTGCATTAGTCTTAGTGGCTCTTCCTTAATTTGCTCCAGGATGTCAAACGAAAGGACTCTTTTTTTTTGAGATGGAATGTCACTCTGTCGCCCAGGCTGGAGTGCAGTGGCGTGATCTCGGCTCACTGCAAGCTCCGCCTCCCGGGTTCATGCCATTCTCCTGCCTCAGCCTCCCGAGTAGCTGGGACTGCAGGCGCCCACCACCATGCCCAGCTAATTTTTGTATTTTTAGTAGAGACGGGGTTTCATTGTGTTAGCCAGGATGGTCTCGATCTCCTGACCTGATGATCCACCCGCCTTGGCCTCCCAAAGTGTTAGGATTACAGGCGTGAGCCACCATGCCTGGCCTAAGGACTCTTTCTTATTAACCTTTCTCTTATCACTGCAGGCCACAAGCTATTATGCTTTGACATAGTAACCATGCACTGATGATTTCTGGATTATCAGGACATTGGAGGTCATTTGCGGAAAGAAAGGCTTTATCTAGGGCCACTCATATACTGAGAACTAACCTCAGCAAAGCCATATTTCCTCCTCCAGATAAGTCTATGGAGAGAGCCGATACAAAAGACTCCTCAGCTTTCTGATTCCTGAAGTAGATGAACAGCCCGGCCCCAAGGAAGAGCAGGCCCAGCACGAAGCCCCCGACTCCACTCAGCATCTTGCTCTGTGCAGATTCAGACCATGCTCCTGAGAGAGGAAGCAAGGATTAGTGATTTTTATCCTAAATGGAACCTCTTTAATTGAGACCCTGAGATTCAGAGCTTTGAAAATAAGAGAGAAGGCTTCCCTGCAAGAATGAAAATAACTGATCATTTCTGGAGAAAAAAATGATTTTCAAATCACACTGCACAGTTACAAGGTTCAGGCATCAAACTCATTCAAATATTACAGCCTTGATGTAAGGCACAACTTCAACATCTGATCAACAGAAAGTCTGAGACTCAATGAGGTTAAGTAGTTTGGCTAGAGTGACAGAGCTAATAAAAGGCAAAGCTGAGACTGGATTCCCCTCATGTCAGGAGGGCCCCTACATTACTTCTCTTCTCAGGTCAAAAAAACAACTCAGAGCAACAGCACCAGAAACACAGTCTCACACCCAGAGGCAGGGCCTGGAGCCCAGGGAGAGCAGGTGAGCCTGATCTGTGACATCATGGGGAGGTTCAAAACAGGGACAGCCTCTCCTGCTTGGCAGGCATGACTGCTTCCCCAGGGGGTACAGGTGTTTCTAGAAAGTATTACAGGGCTACCCCCCAGTGACCTGTGCTAATGGAGATGAGAACATGGAGCAAATGAAAACATGATGTGGGAGAGAAGAAACCTGACACTCAGGGATTACCAAAGACCCCTTCATGGTTGGTGAGAAATGTATGAAGTCAGAAAGCTGCTCACTCCATTCCACTGCATGAGAAGGCTCATCATGCTTGGGTGCTCCAGTTGACAGGTGTAAACCTCTGCATTCTGAGGAACTGTTTCCAGCATCACCAGGGTCTGGAAGGTCCAGTCTCCATTCTGGATCAGGCCTGTGGACACCACCCCAGCCTTCTCTTCCTGGCCATTCTGGAACCACCTGACTTCAATGCTGCCTGGATAGAAACCACTCACAGAGCAGACCAGGAGGTTGTGGTGCTGCAGGGGCTGGTCTTTTGAAGGATACACAGTCACCTTAGGTTGGACTAGGAGAAGAACAAGTAGAGGGAATGAGTCAGGAAGAAGAGTAAGTCTCCATGTTTTGCTGTTTGTCTGCTTCTCTGTAAACCCAGGCTCTGGCCTTGACCAGGCCTCCAACACAGCTGGCCATGTGGCCTCACAGTGTCATCAGCCTGGAATTGAATCTTTATAAGGAGGACCCATTAGATTTGAGAGATGTTGTGAAAAATTGTGTTTTTGTGAAAAGCTGTGTGTTGGGAGAGAAGCTGAGGCAGGGCTTGCATGTCTGCTAGACTTGCTTCTAGCACTCCTGTTATCTCAAGCAGCCATGTTTCTCATTCACTTGATACACTGTTTCCTTTCAACCCCCACATCCTCACCAATTGTTTGTTTGTTTGAGCACCAATAAGTAGCATGGGCTCCCAGAGCTCAGGGCCTTTGCAGCCTCCACACTCACAATGGCCCCCTGGTCCCACTTTCTCTCTTAGACTGTCTTTTTCTCATTCCTTTGACTCTGTTGGACTTCGTTGCCCCCATGATCTGGTGTTGGGTCTGATCACCCCAACATACCTGGCTGTCCAATGTGGGGTGACAAAGGCTCTGGTGAAGGAATGCTAGAGCATGTGACAGCAGAGGACGCATTGTCAAAGGACACTCAAGGACACTTAAAAGAAGCTCAGCAGGAAAGCTGAGTGCCCGGAAAACTAAGGTAACAATAGAACAAAGTGAAAGCAGACATTCTGCTTATTTAAATTTTTTTAAAGCATTTGTTATGAAGTGGGGGAGTGAAAGTTAGTACTCAGAGTTTGTTATCACTTTTTAGTAGAGTGAAGCAGTTTTGTCCATGGTTCCCGCAGCGGGGGACTGTGGAGTTGGATGGATGGGGGAGAATTGGAGGAGATTTTGGAAGGGCATATAGGGATGGAGTAGTGGCAGGTGCCATGGTGGGTGCTGCTGGGGCGACGATGGCAGGGGGCCCTGAGGTCACCCTCCCGGGTGCGGTGAGGGAGGAGGGGACCACGAGCCCATCCCTTCTTTGAGAGGCCCTCCAGCCACCACCATCCCATGCCCCTATGGTGGCCCCTGGGCTGGCCCATGGCCGCAGGCCTCACAGCTGCTGCCACTGATGGGTCAGAGCCACCCTGCAAACTTGGGAGGCATGGGGAGGTGGCCTCTGGCTCGAGGGCAGGGCTGCAGGGGCAGGCGGGCTGTGAAGCACCCAAGGCTGCGGCACCGCGGAGAGACTGGCACGGCTGAGCGCCCACAAGTGCTCCCAAGTTCACGAGTGGCTGTGGCAGTCCTACTGCGGCTACCTCACCTGGCGCAGCATCCCGGCTGCCTTCCCCACCTACTGCAGCCCCCAACCATCCCCACGGAGCTTCCCTTTGGGCAGCGCTGCTGTCCCCCAGGCCACAGGCCTAACCTGGGAACAGCTGCTGGCATCAGCACCCCGGCTCAAGTCGTGGGCCTGGGACCCCAGGCTCCTCATGTGCAGGCATCAGTCTGGGTCACTCCAGTGACAAAGGTAGGATCCATAGCCCCTTCGGGAAGCCCGAGCGAGACCAGGCGACAGGCAGGCAGATAATATGTTATTCTATCCTTGGCCCACAGATTTATGGTAGAGATGGTGGATTTCTTTATTCTCTTCTTTGTAAAAGCAACCATTATCTTAAGCATTATGCACCTCAGTGGGATAAAGGATATTTCTAAGTTTGCTATGCATTATACAATAGAAGAAATGAATGAAGACACATCACTGGAAGACTTGCAGAAAATGATGGTTGTGGCTCTTTTATACAGATTATTAATTTGTTTCTATGAGATAATTTGCATTTGGGGAGCAGGTGGAGCTACCCCAGGGAAGTTCCTGCTGGGCCTTTGAGTTGAGACATGTGATACATTAGTGCTTATTGCACCAAGTCAGGTTTTAGTGATGCCTTCCTCAAATGTTAGCAACAACGAGCTTTGATCAAGAATTTTTTGATTGCTTCTTTTTTTCCCTGCTTATATCACACTGCTGTTTTTTTCAGCATAATTGAACAGCCTATGACACTGTAGCAGGAACCATTGTGGTAAAAAGAAATGGGGTCAGATGATGCCCCCCAAAGCCCTGATTTCCACATGCTATAATAACGAGACTAAATTATGTATCAAGGCTATCAGTATCTCTAGGTTACACTAACTGATGATTTAGAAATTAAAGCAGTCACTCTAGTGTGATGCAGGTGACTACTCTGAAAGTATCGTTTTTACTTGAATGCCAAAGAATTTTTCCAGAAGAAAAACCTATTAAATTCAAGTATTAAAATTTTTAGATCAAAAAGGCAAATGATTATATAAACAATGGACAATATATACTTTCTTAAGATCTAAGAATTTGCTGAAAGCATTTTCAGCTTTGAAATCTCCAAATGAAACTTTAAAATTTATTTTGGTTTATCCCAAAATAATGGAAAATATCCAGTTGTGTTTTGTAAACACCTATGTAACTCATCTTTTAGTTCACACTTCCTGGGGAGCCACCAAAGAAGGTCCCCACGGGAGTTAGGGGACCCTTACCCTCAGGAACAGTTGGTCTATTACTTGGAAGGTCTAGTCTAAATTTAAAAGGTGTTACTGTACATACGAGAATAATTGACTCTGATTATACTGGGGAGATTCAATTAGTTATTAGTTCCTCGACTCCGTGGTCTGCCTCCCCAGGAGAAAGAATTGCTCACTTGTTGCTTTTACCTTATATAAAACTAGGAAGCAGCACAGTGAAAAGAACAGGAGGCTTTGGTAACACTAATCCAGCAGGAAAGGCTGTATATTGGGTTAATCAAGTGTCTGGCAAAAGACCTATTTGCACAGTAACTATACAGGGAAAAGATTTTGAAGGACTAGTAGACACTGGAGCTGATGTCTCTATTATTGCTATAAATCAATGGCCTGGCTCTGGCCTAAGCAAAAGGCATCCATTGGTATTGTTGGAGTAGGAGCTGCCTCAGAAGTTTTTCAAAGTTCCTTGATTTTACCATGTCAAGGACCAGATGGTCAGGAAGAGACAATTCAGCCTATCATAATACCTATTCCTGTTAATCTATGGGGTAGAGACTTATTGCAACAATGGGATGCTGAAATATCTATTCCTATAGACCAATATAGTAATAATGGTAGACAAATGATGAAAAATATGGGATATCACCCGGGAAAAGGACTGGAAAAAGATAAAGTTGGGCAATTAGAACCTTTAGAATTAAAAGGGCAAACAGATCGGACCGGATTGGGGTGTCATTTTTAGGAGCAGCCATTGTTGAGCCTCCGGCTCCCATTCCTCTTGTTTGGCTAACTGCCAAACTGGTTTGGGTGGAGCAATGGCTGCTGAAACAGGAAAAACTGGAGACTTTAGAAGAACTGGTGCAGGAACAATTGTAAAAGGAACATATAGAGCCTACTTTCTCCTCTTGAAATTCTCCTGTATTTCTCATTAAGAAAAAATCAGAGAAATGGAGAATGTTAACAGATTTAAGGGCTATCAATGCTGTGATTCAACCCATGGGCATGCTACAACCAGGCTGCCCTCCCCAACAATGATCCCAAAATACTGGTCTCTCATAGTGATAAATCTAAAGGATTGCTTTTTTACCATTCCTTTAGCTGCCCAAGATTATGAAAAATTTGCTTTTACTGTTCTAAAGAAATTGTGCAACACTGTTCTGCCTGTCAAGTCCTGTATCTGCTACATCAAGGAAGAGGAGTTAACCCTAGAGGTTTATCTCCAAATTCCATCTGGCAGATGGATGTAAGACATAGTCTTACTTTTGGAAAATTGTCCTTCATTCGTGTTTCAGTAGATACCTATTCACATTTTATCCAGGACACATGTCAAACAGGGGAAGCTACAGCTCATGTTAAAAGACATCTTTCATGTTGCTTTTCAGTTATGGGAACCCGAGAAAAAATAAAAACTGGTAATGGCCCAGGATACTGTGGTAAAGCCATGCCTATATTTTTTCAACAATGGAATATTACCCATACTGTGGGTATTCCATATAACTCAAAAGGACAGGCAATAGTGGAAAGAGCTAATTGTACTTTAAAAACTCAAATACAAAAGCAAAATGGAGGAGACCAGGAATATAAGACACCAAATATGCAATTGCATTTAGCTTTATTAACATTAAAGTTTTTTAATTTACAAAAAGATCAACCCATGACTGCAGCTGAACAGCACCTGAGAGGACAAAAAGAAAATAAAAAGGCTGGACAAGATATATGGTGGAGGGATGCACATACAAAGAGCTAGGAAAAGGGAAAGATAATTTTATGGGGAAGAGGATTTACTTGTGTCTCTCCAGGTGACAATCAGGTGCCTGTGTGGGTGTCCACCAAACATCTGAAGATCTATCATGAGCCACAGCATCTAGTGGACCCTCCTGTACAGTGCAAATTGAAGGCTTAAGGATTACATTTAAGCCTCGATTTGCTTTCTCTGTGCCTTCTGTTAGAAGGGGCCTGCTTCTCATTATCAACGGTAAGTTTTACCCTGTGGTAATTAACCAAAGAGGCCGAAGCTGAGTTACAAATGCTTCAGCAATGGCATGCCTCCCGGCTACAGCCACAAGTCTTCTTTTTCAGTAGCTTCTGTTTCAGTAGATTTACTAACGTGAGGGTGAGGGTATGCTTGTGTTTTTGCAGGAGATGAACAAACCATGTAGGTGCCCTCAAGATGTGTACGACCATGGAATGGGAGACCGGAGGGACCCATGGATCCCAACCATGGACCAGGTTCCCCCAGTACAAGCCATGCTGAGAAACTGCTGGAGTGCCAAGGTTTTACCTATAGATGCTTAACGGACCAATGCTTTCTGACTGAACGCCTCTCTATCCTGAATACAAGAGACCTTAATAGGTAGATAGGAGTATCATCGCCCCTAGTTAGCATGAAGAAGTTACGGAAGACGGACCTTCATCCTTCTGCAACCCCTAGGATTAAGAGTCCTCTTGTAAAAGGGAAAGGGGAGATATGTAGGAAGCATTCAAACCAAAGTTACTCCATTTTGAATAAGGGCTCATAAAAAGGAAGCTGGATCACCAACTGGCAATTAAGGGCTACATAGCCTGCAAAAAGAGAAGGGGGGCATGTTGGGAGAAAACTGAGTGTTGGGAGAGAAGCTTGAGGCAGGGCTTGCATGTCTGCTAGACTTACTGGCTCCTTGCTTCTAGCACTCTCATTTTCTCAAGCAGCCATGTTTCTCATTCACTTGATACACTGTTTCCTTTCAACCCCCACATCCTCACCAACTGTTTGTTTGAGCACCAATAAATAGCATGGGCTTCCAGAGCTCAGGGCCTTCGCAGCCTCCACACTCGCAATGGCCCCCTGGTCCCACTTTCTCTCTCAAACTGTCTTTTTCTCATTCCTTTGACTCTGTTGGACTTTGTCACCCCCACGACCTGGTGTTGGGTCTGGTCACCCCAACAAAATTGTGTTTGTTTCTTCATAGCTTGAAATTGGTATGCATTGTCAAAATGTTTACAAATCTTTGAAAGTACAGAGTGTAGTCATTAAAACTGATTTCTGAGGCAGGTTGCCTGATTCAAATCCAATGTCTACCTTTTACTGGTTGATCCTGTAAGAGTTTTTCGATTCTGTGTCACAATTTTCTCACCTATAATGGAGGATAATTATACTAATTTACCTCTTTGGGTTATATGATTAATATAATCCCAGGAGGTATATTGTTTTATATATTTTATGTGTATAAAACATTTATATATTGTTTCATATATTTTATGTGCATTAATCCCCAAGGGTTGAAATTAATGGATGTAAAATACATAAAACAATAACCGGGCCAGGCGTGGTGGCTCAAGCCTGTACTCTCAGCACTTGTGAGTCAGAAGCAGGTGAATTACGAGGTCAGGAGTTCAAGACCAGCCTGGCCAATATGGTGAAACCTGGTCTCTACTAAAAATACAAAAAATAGCTGGGCATTGTGGTGCGCATCTGTAGTCCCAGCTACTCAGGAGGCTGAGGCAGGAGAACTGCTTGAACCCAGGAGGCAGAGGTTGCAGTAACTGGAGATTGTGCCACAGCACTCCATCCTGGGCAATAAAGGGAGACTCCATCTCCAAAACAAAAAAACAGTGACTGAAGATAGCCTTCCATTGATGAGGTCAGAAAGCTGCTCACTCCACTCCACTGTGATAGGGCTCATCACACTTGGGTGCTCCACTGCGCACCTATTTATCATCCTTGAGAGATAAATATATTTTAAAGCAATGTGTATAGATAAAGGGACAGAGTAGAGTACATGAGGAAACTGAGTATGAATGTTTAGGAATATTACTGCCATGCACTCACACCTTAGAACACCACAGAGATGGTTTTGCCCCTGGGAAGGTGGGACAGACAGAAATCATTCTCCAAATCTTTAAGTTCCTAGAAAAGCATGAGTCCTAAGGCAGAGAGAAGGATTAAGGAACGTCATTTTAGTTTTGAAAGTTCTTATATTTACATTTAGCTGATCAATGCATCTCCCATGCAAAACAAGCATAACTATTATTAGGCCTGTCATGGTAAAATGATTTTTCTTTCCAGAATGAAATTTGGATCAAGGAAGGATCTGGGACTCACTACTTGGGATGCTTATGCCTATGCAAACCTCTGACACTAGGATACTCTTAATAAATACTATTTTTTTTAAGAAGGAAGGAGAAACCTGGAGACAACAATACCACAAAATGGTAGATTTAAGATGGATTGTAAATCATTAATATAAATTTCGCAATATATTTGATTAAATAAAAATGTTCAAAAAAAAATTTTTTTTTTGAGACAGAGTCTTGCTCTGTCACCCAGGCTGGAGTGCAGTGGCACGATCTTGGCTGACTGCAAGCTTCATCTCCCATGTTCACGCCATTCTCTTGCCTCAGCCTCCCAAGTAGCTGGGACTACAGGTGCCTGCCACCACATCCAGCTAATTTTTTTTTTGTATTTTTTGTAGAGATGGGGTTTCACTGTGTTAGCCAGGATGGTCTCAATCTGCTGACCTCGTGATCCACCCACCTTGGCCTCCCAAAGTGCTGGGATTACAGGCAGGAGCCACCACGCCCGGCCAAAATGTTCAAATTCTTAACATGGAAAAGAATTTTCAAAATCAACATACAAACCACAAACTGGAGAAAATGTTGACTCAAATATCAATAAAGTGTTAATAATCTTACCATACAAAAAACTCACAAAATCACTGAGGAAAGTACAAAGCCCTAAAGATAATAGATAGTAGATCATTGTCCATTACCTACCAAATGCAATAGGGAATTCTTAGAACAGTAATTATAATTGGCCAACAAATAGGTCAAAATAATTCAAAAGAACTATATGTCAAAAAATATAAATTAAAAATTAACCATAAACATACATTTTAAACTTTTGGTGAATGTCATAATAAAGGTCAACAAAGGGGAAAGTGAGGTAATTTGTGTCACAGCTATTATATATAAAAGAATAATACGTAAGTAGTAGAAAACTATTGGCATTATAATAAAATAGCAACTGTGTTAAAACTTTAATTCAAAAGTTAGTTTCACAGTCACTTCAACTATGTAAAAATACGCACACTAAGAAAACAAAAAAGTGGCAAGAAATTTAGACCTAAAGAAGCTTCAGAGGTATCTCAGAGGTCTCCTCAATTCCCCTAGAAATTAAGGGTATGTGCCAGGGACAGTCTGGAACTGGCCTCCTCACATTATCCCAAACCTTCCATAACCCTCACCTCTCCTCCCCTAAACCTTCACCCCAACCACACAAACCTTACATTTCCCTTCCCTGAATCTCTAAGGACCCAGAACAATCAAGGTCTCTCTCTGCAGCCCCCTGCACCCACTTCCCATGTCACCTCCCCACAGAGGCCTCCAAGGATAAGCAGCAGCCCCCTCCTGCCTCCCCTCCCACAACAGCCAAAGACAAATCCACACTCTACACACACACCTCTGCCCTCAGAACCCCTTGCTCAGGATTGAGAGGATTCTAAATGTTCACAGATGTGTGTGTGTGTGTCTCTCTCTCAACACACAAACACTCAGATTCCCAGCTCACAGGGACTCAGACCCCGCCCCCCGCCGTGCTCATTTCGCCGCTGCACTGTGAATCTCTCCACAACCCCATAGTTGTGTCTGCATTAGTTGTCCACTTCGGCCCGCTTCTGCTCCAGGATGTCCTTCTGGCTGTTCCAGTACTCAGCGTCAGGCCGCCCCAGCTCAGTCACCGCCCGGAACTCCCCCATGTCGCTGTTGAAGCGCACGTACTCCTCTTGGTTATAGAAATATCTTTACAGGTACCGCTCCGTCCCATTGAAGAAATGACACTCAGACTTAGCCTGCTCCAAGAAACGTGCTGTGGGGACACGAACGATCCGGTTACAGAAGCGGACTCCGGGGAAGACACTGACTGGCCCCACCCGCAACCTCGACTATGCGCAGCCCAGGGGCTCATCCTCTGTCTTTCTGAGGCGGACGGGGGTACGGGGGACCAGGTGGGAAAACTACCTCTGATCCCAAGGCTTTTGGGACCCCCTCCCTGCCTCCAGCCTGTTCTGGAGAACTCAGTGCAGGAGCTGGAGGAGGATCCACCTACCACCGCAGCCCACGCTGCCTCCTCCTGGGAGCCTCCACCCCCAAAACACTCTCTGCTCCTTCTCTCATCCCACACGCTTTACCGGTTCCTTCAGCAGTACCCACCGTGTTCATCCTGTGAACACTTCCTTAGTGATGACCTTGTGCCTGCCCTGCGCTGCCTCTAGGAATCCAAACAAGGGAAAACAGACCTCTCCACTCCACTGGGGGAGCTTAAAGAGCAGTGAAAGCGATGGCCAAAAACCAAACACGCAAGAGCTTAGACAGGGATGAGAAATGTCAGAAGTGTGGACTTCTAGAACAGAGGATAATAGGATGATCTCAATTACACTAGGGTGCCACAGAAGGACCCTCTGAAGAGTGTCAGTTCAGATGTGACTTGACAGGTTAAGCAGGTGTGAGCCAGGGGGCAGAGTGGAGCCTGTGTTGTCTGTTGGGACAAAACGGGAGGCACTTTTCAGGTTTAGGAAATCCCATGTACAAAAGCTTGAATTGATGAACTTCTTCAGGAAACTAGAACAAAGCTCACTAAAGCAGAGAGGCTGAGGGGAAGGAGGGTAAAATATTAGATTGGAGAAATCACAGGAGCCAGGTATTTAAAAGCCTCACTGATGGTGTTAGGATTTTGGATTTAACTAAAGACAATGGGAAAGTATTGAAGAGTTTTAAGGAGAATAAAACCATGATCCCCATAAATGAAATGTCCACAAGCCTGCCTTTGCATTTCTTTTTCTTTTTTTTTTTTTTTTGCTACAGAGTCTTGCTCTGTCACCCAGGCTGGAGTGCAGTGGCGCAATCTTGGCTCACTGCAACCTCTGCCTCCCAGGTTCAAGCAATTCTCCTGCCTCAGCTCCCAAGCAGCTGTAGTTACAGGCATGTGCCACCACACCTGGCTAATTTTTGTATTTTTAGTAGAGACAGGGTTTCACCATGTTGACAGGCTGGTCTTGAACCCCTGACCTCAGGTGATTTGCCTGCTTTGGCCTCCCAGAGTGCTAGGATTACAGGCATGAGCCACTGCGTCCGGCCCTTCTTTTGCATTTCTAAGTCAACAAAGCTCAGAAATTAAGTTAAAAGAAATTTGCAGCACTTTGGGTGGCTGAGGCAGGTGGCTCACGAGGTCAAGAGATCGAGACCATCCTGGCCAACATGGTGAAACCCCGTCTCTACTAAAAATACAAAAATTAGCTGGGGGTGGTGGCACACGCCTGTAGTCCCAGCTACTCTGGAGGCTAAGGTAGGAGAATTGCTTGAACGCTGGATGCGGAGGTTGCAGTTAGCCAAGACTGAGTCACTGAACTCCAGCCTGGCGACAGAGCGAGACTCTCTCAAAAAAAGAAAAAAAAATTGTTCCCAAAACTCATTTGGTAAATCTTATAAGGGAAAATGGTCAAAGGTGTCTCAGAGCTCTTATTGGTGACATGTGCTTCTGTAGTTTCAATACATATGAACATACATACATATATGTGTGTAAATATACACATATGTAAAACACTATGTATATTTTTTGATGTTTTTGTCTTTATGTTTGACTGAAGTGTGAAAATGACTAAAATAACTTAAAAATAATCTTGTGGTTAAAAGTGAAATGAATACATAGAAGCATTTTACATTGTGAATAATATCAAATGTAGAATTACTACAGAAATCTGAGGTATGTTACTGAAAAACAATTGCAGCAGCATCACTATTTGTGACTTATACAGACAGGCTGTTGAAAGTTAATAGAAATAGTGATGACTCATGAAAATGTTGAAAAATATTGCATAAGGCAAAAAATAAATATGAAGGTATTGAACTTGCATTGACTAAATGGATTCAACAACAAAGGTTGTTGAATTTATGCAACTGTCAAGTTTTTTACAATAAAACAAGCAAAAATAAACCATAAAGAGCTGAAGTGGATGGTGAGTGTATAAAAGATCTGAGTGTAGAATTTTCAGAAAGAGAACAGTGTGAACTGGTGCTCTCAGCCTCAGCACTATTAACATTTTGGACTAGGTAATTCTTTTTTTTTTTTTTTTTTTTTTTTTTTTTTTTGAGACAGAGTCTCGCCCTGTTGCCCAGGCTGGAGTGCAGTGGTGCCATCTTGGCTCACTGCAAGCTCCGCCTCCGGGTTCACGCCATTCTCCTGCCTCAGCCTCCCGAGTAGCTGGGACTACAGGTGCCCGCCACCACGCCCGGCTAATTTTTTGTATTTTTCGTAGAGACAGGGAGTCACCATGTTAGCCAGGATGGTCTCGATCTCCTGACTTTGTGATCTGCCCACCTCGGCCTCTCAAAGTGCTGGGATTACAGGCATGAGCCACCACACCCAGCCCAGATAATTCTTTGTTGGTGACAGAGGCCGTTCTGTACATTGTAGGTTCTCTAGCGGTGTCCCTGGCTCCTACTCATTAAATATCCGAAGAAAACCCTGTTGTGACAATCAAAAATTGTTATAAACATTGCCACACGTTCCCCAAAGGTGATGGGAGGGAAGGCATAGGTGGTGAACTTTCCCTTGGTAAACACCACAGGGAAATCTGTGTTGAACAAGCCACTATTAGTTATGGAGCAGCTGAGAATTACATTGAAAAATATCTGTTGAACATCTTGGTCCTACACAAAATAAATGTTTTGTAGAATTCTGGGCCCAATACAGTGCTATCTTTCCAGAAAATGAACTTGTTCAGAACCAAGATTTACTGATTTCCTTGCCTTACCAATCAGTCACCAAATCATGTTATTTATCTTTCATATCATCTTCTTTCTTAATTTCTCTGCCACTGGTCCACTAATTACCTGTAGTAATGAATCACAGCCACAGCTGTTTTATTTCCATTTAACGTGCCAACTAACTCATGTCTTTCAGTCTCCCACTCCCAACAATACCAGCAGGCATTAAATTACCAGCCTTGGCCAGAGGTAGAACTCTCGGTTTTGTAGTCAATTCTCCTCAGAAAGGGAGAAACCAAGAAAATGACATTCTCATACAGACAGTTTGCAAAAAATGAGCAGGTCCCCAGACGTTGAGTAGAGACCTTCACAAAACACCCTTTGCCCTTTAGAAATGATGGCAGAGAGGAGTGCACCCTGGATCAAACAATGTCTATCTTTTTATTCCTAAATTAACTAAGCACTTTCTTTACAGAGAGAAAGTTAAAAAATAAACATGTGTGAAGTTGCTGTCACTGTGGCTTGCATGGTTAGCACTGTAATCCATGCTTAAGTGTCCCACTTAGGGTTGACAGATTTGGCAAAGAAAATCAGAGGATGCCCAGTTAAATTTGAATTTCCAATAAATTATGGTTGTGTATCTGAAATTCGGATTTAACTAGGAACCTGTATTTTATTTGGCAACCCCAGGCCAACTTGCTAGTCAAACCTCAGAAGGAGTGATTTAATACTTCTTGTCTTCTTCAACACATGCCCATGATAGACATATAAAAGTTTTACAATGATAAATGCAAAATGAGCGAAAGTTTCTCCTATACAGGCCAGGTGCAGTGGCTCACGCCTATAATCCCAGCACTTTGGGAGGCCGAGGCGGGTGGATCACGAGGTCAGGAGATGGAGACCATCCTGGCTAACACAATGAAACCCCCGTCTCTACTAAAAATACAAAAAAATTAGCCGGGCATGGCGGTGTGCACCTGTAGTCCCAGCTGCTGGGGAGGCTGAGGCAGGAGAATGGCATCAACCTGGGAGGCAGAGCTTGTAGTGAGCCAAGATCGCGCTGCTGCACTCCAGCTCAGGTGACAGAGAAAGACTCCATCTCAAAAAAAAAAAAAAAAGAAAAAGAAAAAGAAAGGTTTTCCTATACATTGAAACTAGCAGCCCTTGAATCTCTGCCCCTACTCTAAGAAACAACCTGGTTCATATGAATATCAGAAATTTTGTCAATAATTCAGGCACAATCTAGTCGCTATTCACTAATGATGGACAGACTCTCAAACTGTAGAATCAGAAAATCCGAATGGAAACATGACCTCTTCTACTTGGGCCAATTTTTACCAACCGTAAGCCTTTTTGTAATGTATCAAATGCATTTAATAATAGTATAATCCTCGCAGGATTATTGTTAAGTGTAAAATTAGATAATGACTCTTCTTAGCACTGATCACATAATAAACACTCAAATATATCCCCATTTTAATTTTTATGATCCTGTAACTGCAGCTCACATTACTTTTTCTATTCCTTGATTCTAAAGCAATTAGTATATTCATCATGATTTTGCAATTGTCTTCTGTTCTTCTATTAGTTTCATAAAGAATTGTCATTCTGACAATATAGGGCAGAATCACTGGTTTATGTCTAATAATGCAGTATACCTAAACAAACCTCACACAAAAGGCATCTGCTGACATAGAAAAAAGGGACTTTCTACATGCTCAGATTTAAACTGCAATCTGATTTCCAGCACTAAATTTGTAACACTGGGTTTTACTTATATCCTCTCAATTTTAGATTCCAGAGATGTATATGTTTTTAAATACCACAGATACAACAGGATCATTATTGAAATTGCATACTGAAAATCATAGGCCTGGTACACAGTCACTGCAAAATGTTACATGGCATACACTGATGGAGACCAGATTCATTTTATTCATCACTTCATTCTCATGACCTAGAGTAATAGCTAGTGTATTCAAAGTCACTAATAAATATGGGCTGTGTGAAATATTGGCTGTGTGACCTTTTGCATGAGCAGTCACCACTGCACACAGGGACCCTCTAGTATTTCCTTGCCACTAATGACTGAGCATCACAGGTCCTCCTGCTTTTCTTCAGCCTCTTTAGCATTTTCCTTTAGATCCAGCTGGATCCCTGAACCCAGAACACAGTCCTTCCCTGAAGCTCACTACTCAAAACAGTCAACCTTAACCTCATCCTCACTCCTACTCGCTCTTCAAAGGATCCAATCCAGTTTTCATCCTGGATATTCCACTGACTGCAAATATCAACTCCACCAAACCCAGCATTTGCTTCTGTTTTACATTCTCACTTCACTCTCCTCTTAGTGGCACTCACCACAATTGACCTCTCCTGTCTCCTTGAAAAAAATCTATTTTCCTTGACTGACATGCATTATGTTCTCTTGGTTTTTCTCCAACATCCCTGGGCTCTTTTTCAGTCCTTTGCTGGCCTGTGCCCTCTTTTTTCTCCACACAATCTATCTCGCTGTCACCTCTTCCACTCCCTGGAATTTAACACAGTACACGTATTGATGCCGCCAACATAAATACTTCCAGCCCTGGCCTCACCATGAGTCTCTTAAATGCCATTGATCTTCTGATTGCTCCACATAAGTATCAATAAATCATCTCAAACTTAAACAAAACTTTTATTTCCAACTTTTATTCCAATAAATATTTCCAAAATATTTATTTTTTATTTCCACCCACTTCAAATCATTTCCTCCCACAGTTTTTCCTATCTCAGTAAACAACACCACAATCCACTTATTTGTCAAAATAAAATCCTTAGGAATAAGCTTGATTTTCTACTGCCTTTACAATAATCCATTAACAAGTGAAGCAAAATACATGCCGAGTCTGTCCACTTTATCTTTTTCACTGTCTTTATCACTAATGCACTGCATGAAGCCGCAAGCCTGTTTTCGCTGAGGATTCCCTGCTCTGCTCCTAAAGTCTTCCTGACCATTTGTGAACCCCAACAATCCAATCCCCACAGAGTAACTAGAATTAGTTTTAAAAACTGAATATAAATGGACTCTCCTTGTAACCATCCAGTAGCTTCCCATATCTATTTACATAAAATTCAGGCCAGGCGCGGTGGCTCACGCCTGTAATCCCAACAGTTTGAGAGGCCAAGACAGGCAGATTACCTGAGGTCAGGAGTTCAAGACCAGCCTGGACAATATGGTGAAACCTCATCTCTACTGAAAATACAAAAAAATTAGCCAGGCATGGTGGGTGGGCACCTATAATCTCAGCTACTTTGGAGGCTGAGGCTGGAGAATCACTTGAACCGAGGAGGCGGAGGTTGCAGTGAGCTGAGACCACACAACAAGAATGAATCTCCGTCTCAAAATAAATAAATAAATAATAAAATAAAATAAAATTCAAATTTCTTACCATGGACATCAGAGCCTAATATGATGAGGCTTCTGACTACCTCTTTGTGTTCTACCTCGTCTTCTGCCCTTCCATTTCCTTGCTTGCTATACATCAGACCCTCTAGCCTTCTTTCTGTCCCTGGACATAATTTCTCACACCAGGGCTTCCCCCCATGCTGTCTCCCTGGAACTTTCGTTCCTTAGATCGTCACATGACTGTCTACTTATTTTGTTGTCTCATCTGAATGTCACTTTCTCAGGTAGAGCTGCCTAAACACATGAACTAAAGTTTGGTGAATCCATTTCTCTCTTTTCCACAAACCTGATGTCTTTTCTTTAGTGCACTATTACTATCTGAAATTTTCTTTTTTGATAAATGATTATTGGGTTATTTTTTATCTCCTCTACTCTTGTGTAACTTCCATGAGAGTAGCGACCCTCTCTATCTTAATCAAATAGAATGATTTGAACCTAGAATAGAGCCCAGTACACAGTAGCTGCTGAGAAAAATAAGTGTGCTTTACATGAATAAACCAGGGTTCTGGGAACTGATCACTGCAGGGATCCTGGAAAGCAAGAAGGGGCTCAAGCTCAAGCACTCTTTCATTTTGATGTCATACTACACCCCTTCTCTTCCCAGTGTGAAATACAGGCAAACTTCTTCTTTCTCCTCCTTCTAGGTGGAAGAAGAATTCACAGATAAAGAAACAGTGATTTAAGCAAAAAGAAATTTTTTTATTAAGATTCATCTCTTTTTGCCTGGGTGGAGTGGCTCACACCTATAATCCTTGCACGTTTGGAGACCAAAACAGGAGGATTGCTTGAGTCCAAGAGTTTAAGACCAGCCATAGCAACATGGCAAAACCTCATCTCTACCAAAATTACAAAAATTATCTGGGCATGGTTGCCTGCTGAAGTCTCTGCTACTCTGGAGGCTGAAGAGGAGGAACCCTTGAGCCTTGGAGGTGGAGGTTGCAGTGAGCCTAGATGGCACCACTGCACTATAGCCTGGGTAACAGAGCCAGGCCCTGTCTTCAAAAAAAAAATCTCATTTAATGGATCTCATAGTGCCCTGGCTCTGTGCAAACTTTAGGGATTTCTGGAAATGATGACAACATAGCTGAAGAAAAATAGAGAGAAACTGGAGGAAGAGGCAAGTGAACATGGCTAATTAAGGAAAGCTGAGGGCATGATGAATGAAACTATGAAATTTAGGAAAAGACCACAGTAAGACAATGAGTTCCCAGGACTTGCTCATTGACTTTCAGCCCTATGAGATGCGGACAATGTCCACATCGTCTCTGCAACCCCACACAGAGTATATAGTTTGAACATTATTAAATTTCAGATATTTTACTATTTTTGACGTACAAAAATAGAATTTTATATAATTTATCCTATGTTAGTTGAATCTTTTCTTGTCATGTCTAGTTAGAACATGTAGGAGTTGTAGGAGAAACTAGCATAGAACAGTTAAAAAGGATTCAAAATAAACACTAGTGACTTAAGTTTTTTTTTTTTTGAGAGGGAGTCTCACCCTCTCGCCCAGGCTGGAGTGCAGTGGCATGATCTTGGCTCACTGCAACTTCTGCCTCCTGGGTTTAAGCGATTCTCCTGCCTCAGCCTCCAGAGTAGCTGGGATTACAGGTGTGCGCCACTACCCCGGCTAATTTTTGTATTTTTAGTAGAGATGACGTTTCACCATATTGGTCAGACGGATCTCAAACTCCTGACCTTGTGATCCGCCCACCTCCATGTCTCAAAGTGCTGGGATTACAGGCGTGAACCACCATGCCTGGCCAGATGCCTTAAGTTCTTTAGGTACCGAAGAATACCTCATAAATACTCTTTATCTGATCTAAGTACTAAAGATCTCAGCTTCCGCTCCAGGGATTTTTTCCCCCTAAGAAAGAAAGAGCACTTAGTATAACTTCTGTCAGAGAATCTACATACATGTACAGGGATACAGGCTTTATAAACATTGGAGTTCAGAAAGAAAAGAAAGGAGATAATGGGGAGGTCACTGGGTACATCCTCACATATGAGGAAGAAGGGCCAACACCACAGGTCCTTTGGAGGACATAACACAGGATCATCTAGGAGAGACCTTTTGAATTCCCTTGACTCCCACAAAGTTTTCAGAAAATCCTCGTTTTGTCTGGCATAAGTCAACATGATAAAGGGAAGTGCTGTATGGGGAATTTATTTTAGCATCCTTATTTCTAAATCCTCTAAAGACCCTGAGGAAATGTGATGCAAAGGTTTTATTGGTGGAGATTTGAAAAGAAATGGCCGGTATGGAAGTTCCTTACACAAACCTCATGGAGAGGGCAAGTACCAAGCTCCTTTTGTGGTGGAAATAACTTAGGATCCCGTGATAAAGATGGGCAATCTCTGAAGAAAACGTCACAATCTCTTAAGGGGCATTGCCTGGGCACGGTGTTAACAAAACTCCCTATTTTCCTGACCTCGTAGTAGCTCAGCACCCACAATGTGCACTTGCGTCGGGTGTCCCCAGCCAAAGCCAGTGGGGAGCTCAGCACCATCAGTGTCACTGTCAGAGCTGCCATGCAGGAGCCTCCAGGGGGCTTCAGACACACCATGCTAAGGAGCATGACAGGTCCAGGGCCCAGAGGGGCAGTCAAGTCTCACTCAGCGAGAACTATGACCCTGCTCCACCCATATTCCAAATTATAGGGAGGAAGTTACTGATTTCCTTGCTCCTGGATTGGGTAATCTAGTGTTGGAGAATGAATCAGCGTCTGAGTTCAATAGCATCATCAGTTGCTGGTCAGAGATGCTGTATGAAGGTCCTTTTCTGAAACAGAATTTACTTCTTTAAAGAATTTTTTTTACGAATTATTTTTTTTATTATACTTTAAGTTCTAGGGTACATGTGTACAACGTGCAGGTTTGTCACATAGGTATACATGTGCCATGTAGGTTTGCTGTACCCATCAACTCATCATTTACATTAAGTATTTCTCCTAATGCTTTCCCTTCCCCAGCATCCCACCCCCTCAACAATAGGCCACGGTGTGTGATGTTCCCCACCCTGTGCCCATGTGTTCTTGTTGTTTGGTTTTCTGTCCTTGTGATAGTTTGCTTAGAATGATGGTTTCCAGCTTCATACATGTGCCTGCAAGGAACATGAACTCATCCTTTTTTATGGCTGCATAGTATTCCATGGTGTATATGTGCCACATTTTCTAAATCCAGTTTATCATAGATGGGCATTTGGGTTGGTTCCAAGTCTTTGCTATTGTGAATAGTGCTGCAATAAACATACGTGTGCATGTGTCTTTATAGCAGCATGATTTATACTCCTTGGGTATACACCCAGTAATGGGATCGCTGGGTCAAATGATATTTCTAGTTCTAGAACATTGAGGAATCACAACACTGTCTTCCACAATCGTTGAACTAATTTACACTCTCACCAACAGTGTGAAAGCGCTCCTATTTCTCCACATCCGCTGCAGCAGCTGTTGTTTCCTGACTTTTTAATGATCGCCATTCTAACTGGCATGAGATGGTATCTCATTGTGGTTTTGACATGCATTTCTCTGATGACCAGTGATAATGAGCATTTTTTCATGTGTCTATTGGCTGCATAAATGTCTTCTTTTGGGAAGTGTCTGTTCATATCCTTTGCCCACTTTTTGATGGGGTTGTTTGTTTTTTTTTCTTGTAAATTTGTTTAAGTTCTTCATAGATTCTGGATATTAGCCCTTTGCCAGATGGGTAGATTACAAAAATTTTCTCCCATTCTGTAGGTTGCCTGTTCATTCTCATGATAGTTTCTTTTGCTGTGCAGAGGCTCTTTAGTTTAATTAGATTCTATTTGTCTATTTTGGCTTTTATTGCCATTGCTTTTGGTGTTTTAGTCATGAAGTCCTTGCCCATGCCTATGTCCTGAATGGTATTGCCTAGGTTTTCTTCTAGGGTTTTTATGGTGCTAGGTCTTACATTTAAGTCTTTAATCCATCTTGAGTTAATTTTTGTATACGGTGTAAGGAACAGATCATTTCAGCTTTCTACATATGGCTAGCCAGTTTTCCAAGCACCATTTATTAAATAGGGAATCCTTTCCCCATTTCTTGTTTTTGTCACATTTGTCAAAGATCAGATGGTCATAGATGTGTGGTGTTATTTCTGAGGACTCTGTTCTGTTCCATTTGTTTATATCTCTGTTTTGGTACCAGTACTATGCTCTTCTGGTTACTGTAGCCTTGTAGTATAGTTTGAAGTCAGGTAGCATGATACCTCCAGCTTTGTTCTTTTTGCTTAGGATTGTCTTGGCTATGCAGGCTCTTTTTTGTTCCATATGAACTTTAAAGTAGTTTTTTCCAATTCTATGAATAAAGTCATTGGTACTTGATGGGGATGGCATTGAATCTATAAATTACCTTGGGAAGTATGGCCATTTTCAAGATATTGATTCTTCCTTCACTTATGAAGCTTAGTTTGGCTGGATATGAGATTCTGGGTTGAAAATTCTTTTCTTTAAGAATGTTGAATATTGGCCCCCACTCTCTTCTGGCTTGTAGGGTTTCTGCCAAGAGATCTGCTGTTAGTCTGATGGGGTTCCCTTTGTGGGTAACCCGAGCTTTCTGTCTTGCTGCTCTTAACATTTTTTCCTTCATTTCAACCTTGGTGAATCTGACAATTATGCATCTTGGGGTTGCTCTTCTTGAGGAGTATCTTTGTGGTGTTCTCTGTATTTCCTGAATTTGAATGTTGGCTTGCCTTTCTAAGTTAGGGAAGTTCTCCTGAATAATATTCTGAACAGTGTTTTCTATCTTGGTTCCATTCTCCCCATCACTTTCCGGTATACCAATCAAACATATATTTAGTCTTTTCACATAGTCCCATATTTCTTGGAGGCTTTGTTCATTTGTTTTTGCTCTTTTTTTCTCTAATCTTGTCTTCTTGCTTTATTTCATTAATTTGATCTTCAATCACTGATATCCTTTCTTCCACTTGATTGAATCAGCTGTTGAAGCTTGCGCATGCATTACGAAGTTCTTGTGCCATAGTTTTCAGCTCCATCAGGTCATTTAAGGTCTTCTCTACACTGTTTATTCAGTTAGCCATGCATCTAACCTTTTTTCAAGGTTTTTAGCTTCCTTGTGATGGGTTAGAACATGCTCCTTTAGCTCGGAGAAGTTTGTTATTACCAACCTTTTGAAGCCTACTTCTGTTTACTCGTCAAACTCATTCTCCATCCAGTTTTGTTCCCTTGCTGGCAAGGAGCTCTGATCCTTTGAAGGAGAAGAGGTGCTCTGTTTTTTGGAATTTTCAGCTTTTCTGTTCTGGTTTCTCCCCATTTTTGTAGTTTTATCTACCTTTGGTCCTTGATGTTGGTGACCTACAGATGGGTTTTGGTGTGGATGTCCCTTTTGTTGATGTTGATGCTATTCCTTTCTGTTTGTTAGTTTTCCTTCTAACAGAAAGAACCCTCAGCTGCAGGTCTGTTGGCATTTGCTGGAGGTCCACTCCAGATCCTGTTTGCCTGGGTATCACCAGCGGAGGCTGCAGAACAGCAAATATTGCTGCCTGATCCTTCCTCTGGAAGCTTTGTCCCAGAGGGGCACCCACCTGTTTGAGGTGTCTGTTGACCCCTACTGGGAGGTGTTTCCCAGACAGGCTACATGGGGGTTAGGGACCTGCTTGAGGAGGCAATCTGTCCGTTCTTGGAGCTGGAACGCCATGCTGAGAGAACCACTGCTCTCTTCAGAGCTGTCAGACAGGGAGGTTTAAGTTTGTAGAAGCTGCCTGCTGCCTGTTGTTCAGCTATGCCCTGCCCCCAGAGGTGGAATTTGTAGAGGCAGTAGGCCTTGCTGAGCTGCGGTGGGTTCTGCCCAGTTTGTGCTTCTTGGCCGCTTTGCTTACTGTAAGCTACTCAAGCTTCAACAATGGTGGATGCCCCTCCCTCTGCCCCCCCCCGCCCCCCGCTGTGCCCTGTCAAGCTGCAGCATCACAGGTTGATCTCAGACTGCTGCACTAGCAGTGAACAAGGCTCCATTGGCATGGGACCCACCGAGTCAGACAAAGGAGGGTATCTCCTTGTCTGCTGGTTGCTAAGACCATGGGGAAAGCACAGTATTTGGTCAGGAGTGTACCATTTCTCCAGGTACAGTACACGTCTTCTGTCATGGCTTCCCTTGGCTAGGAAAGAGAAATCCCCCGAGCCCTTGCGCTCCCTGGTTAAGGCGATGCCCCGCCCTGCTTCAGCTCGCCCTCCATGGGCTGCACCCAATGTCCAACCAGTCCCAGTGAGATGAACCAGTTACCACAGTTGGAAATGCAGAAATCACCCATCTTCTGCGTCAATCTTGCTGGGAGCTACAGACCGGAGCTCTTCCTAAGGATTGTTTTAATTTAATACTTCATTGGTTTGATCCACTTACAAGTAAGATACTTTAATTGAGCCCCTATTGTTAGCCGGCTCTGTGCTGGTCAGTAATGTGTTCACAAGTTTGAGCCTTGTAAGAGCATTCATTTCTCACTTGACAAGACAACTGTTTGCAGGAGTGAGTGTGTGAGTGTGTTTAGGAATAAAGGAGATGGAGGGAACATGGTTGCAAATTTGGAGACTTTAATCTGATCCTTATTGTACCATATGTTAATGTTGTAGATTTCAGAAAATTATTTCATGTTTCACAGTTGAAATAAAGACACTATGTTCTTTCAGGTCTTTCAATACTGGAAAATGCTGTGATTCTCTGGACGCCTCAAGGAGCAGCAGCCCCGGGTATCTGATGATATGACAGAATGACAGCTGTTGACTAGAGAGTTTAATCTCTACCTATTTACAGGTAGGGATGCCTTCAATAAGTTAAAGTAAACTGAAAGTTTGTGAATAATTTAATCTGAGTAAAAACATTTTTCAGCAGGGTGAGGTGGCTCATGCCTGTAATCAAAGCACTTTGGGAGGACAAGGCGAGCGGATCACAAGGTCAGGATATTGAGACCTTCCTGGCTAACACAGTAAAACCCCACCTCTACTAAAAATACAAAAAATTAGCCTGGCATGGTGGCAGGCACCTGTAGTCCCAGCTACTCGGGAGGCTGAGGCAGGGGAATCACTTGAATCTGGGAGGTGGAGATTGCAGTGAGCCAAGATCACACCACCGCACTCTAGCCTGGGCAACAGAGCGAGACTCCATCATGGAAAAAAAAAAAAAAAGTTTTTTCAAGCGTGTCTCCTGATGCTGCCCCCAAGTTTAATGGCACCTCCAGAACATACACAGGCAAGGGGCTTGCAGGGGCCACCTGTGTGCAATGGAGGTTCTGAAGGTGCCTTTGTATAGCACTTACTCTAACAATGTGACAAGGTCAACTGTGCAATCAAAGAATTTAGGGGTTCGAGAGATCGATCAAGGACTCAAAGTTAGCTGTTGACAGAACAACTCTGTTTTAAAATAATTAATATTTTATGTGAAGAGTGTTCAATCCCTCATTCCTGGTTCCCACTGTGATTTTCTCATTTGATTGAGGCTATGGCCCGTTACTATTATGTTCTTTTGTTTTATCATAAGGGAAGATATAAGAAGACTGTGCTAATACGTTACAGAATGTTCAGGAAAGAGAGCCCTAGGGAAAAACTATGAATTACATCAGTTGATGTAATCATGTAATTTTAAACATATAATTCTACATTTAGATAATTATTATCCCTTATATTAATATAAATGTGACATCTAAGATTCAGAATGGACCTCAAAGTGCAACTATACATATAAATTTCTGCATTTAAATGCTACAATGAAAATGAGCATTTTACTTTGTTCTCAGAATTGTACTAAGGGATTTCTATACTTCATATTTTTTTTAATTCCCACATCAGCTCAGTAAAATAAACACCCTTTTCATGCTTACAGGTGGAAAGAGTAAAATGATGGAGATAAAACAACTTTTGCAAAGATATAAAGCTAGTAAATGGTACACTATAGGTTGAACCAAATTATATACCTGCAGGGGTCTGTCCCACAGAACCTGACCCAACAATGGGTGAATAATGTACACTGACATAGATATTATGCTTGTCAGTCTGGCTGAGAGTCCGGGCCGCTTACAGACTCCCAGGAGAGTGCTGTGAAGAGTTGCAACCGTGGCCCCAACTCACTGGCCCTCCAGGCATTTATTCAGCACACATTAAATGACAATAGTCTAAAGTAAACACCACTGCTAGGTAATTACAGGTGCTGACCCCAAGTAGAGAGCAATCATGCAACCTTGGATGGTCAAAGGTTAGTCTTAGGGCCACATAAGTAAACAAGCTATTTAGATAGACTCCCCTATATTACTATGTTAATTACCCTTGCTATAGCTCAAAAAGGATTAGGCTGCCTTCAGCTGTAACTCTAACCTGAGGCTTTTGCAAAAACCTTCCGGGTTTCCAAGAAGGTTTGTGTTTATTTTACAATTTTTCACACTGTCCTGACTGAACCCCTACATTTCCCCCTCAAGCTCAGCCACTATATCATACTCCTTCACATTCTATTTCTGAGAACAATGTCCCTTGTATTAAAATTATTTGCATCCCTTTAATTTATGGATGTGCATAGCAATAAGACTACTTCTTTTAATGAACGGCAGCATTATACAATTGGAGGAAGATACTGTGTAGCAATTCTATTTCTTTAAAAGGATTCCTCTCATCATCATCCTTACCCTCCTCTTGAAATGGCAACATTTGCATTTATCTTATGTGATGACACCCATAGCTTCTGAAAAGTCTCCTTATTAAAGGTAACAGTGACCTCAAAATTCCCAAATAGAAACTATTTCTCAGAATTATTATTTAGATTTCTCATCATAAAGTAGTAAATTTGATCATCATAAAGTAGAAGAAAAAAATGCCTCATTTACTTTGGAAAAACACACTTCTATTAATATACAAAGTTCAAAATCTCTTGGGTAAAATCACTATTTTCCCTGGATTTGAGAATAAACTATGTCCTACTTTAGATTTCTTACTACTTTAGATTTCTCATCATAAAGTAGTAAATTTGATCATCATAAAATAGAAGAAAAAAATGCCTCATTTACTTTGGAAAAACACACTTCTATTAATACACAAAGTTCAAAATCTCTTGGGTAAAATCACTATTGTCCCTGGATTTGAGAATAAACTAAAGGATTATTAAAAAATAATCCATATGATACCAGTACACTCAGCCCAGTGCAATACAAATTAGTGTATTTTGGTAAGAAAGACTTGTTAATAGACATAGCAATTTTTGGTTATAGACTCTTCTGGTACTTGGTAGTATGGGCTTGTACATACATAAAGCTAGGCCCCTAAGATTTTTGGGTAATTACATGTCTCCAGTTTGTTGGAACTGTCATGCTGTCTTTATCAGTTTCCAAAGGAACTGACCAGTTTATCTTTATCAATTTCCAAAGGAACGTCCCAATAATAATTCAATACTATTGGAAGTTGTGCAATTGCAACCAGAACATCAATTTAACTTGGTCAACAGAAAATGATAATTTACTTAGAAACTAATTTGGTCCCAGCTACTCAGGAGGTGGGAGGATTGCTTGAACCTGGAAGGTCCAGGCTGCAGTGACCCAAGATCATGCCACTGCATTCCAGCCTGGGAAACAGAGGGAGAGCCTGTCAAAAAAAAAAAAAGAAGGAAAGAAAGAAAGAGAAAGAAAGAAAGAAAGAAAGAAAGAAAGAAAGAAAGAAAGAAAGAAAGAAAGAAAGAAAGAAAGAAAGAAAGAAGAAAGAAAAGAAAGGAAAGAAAAGAAAAGAAAAAAGAAAAGAAAAGAAAAGAAAAGAAAAGAAAAGAAATTGTGAAAAAATAAAGAAACTAATTGTGAGGATGGTAATCTAAGAAAGCCAGCTAAGGTTCATGATGACACCCACCCAGGCCTCCCCTGCTCCATACAGGCAAGGGGGAGCCCCAGGCACCCCTGAGTGCTATAGGAAGAACTTGCAAAGACATTACCCTTGCCCCAGATGCCCAACTAAGCCCAGCAAGGGGAGCTGCCCACCCCACACTGTGAAAAGGTGTGACAGGGGCTACCTGTAGGCTCCACGGAGTGGGTGAAAGCCCCACCCTCCCCACAGCAGGATCCAGGCCTCTCTGCACTCTGTGCACTCAAGGCTGAGAAGACGCCCCGTCCCTGCAGGCTTGGGGGTGTCTACTCCCACTGCCTGGCCTCTCTGGTCTCCCAGGCATGCACTCTGATGTAAGAGTGGAGTTGGGGCTAAGCCCCGGTACTGTCACAGCCTGGCGGGGTGTGTGCATGCTCAGGGCAACATTGACACACCAGCCTCCTGCCATCTCAGCCATGGGGAAGCTGAGGGGAGATGGGTTGAGGGTAACTGGCACTGGCCTACAGGTGCCCCTTGCCATGAGCAGCCTGGGCACCAGGGAGGGCCTGAAGGCTGTGGGCTGGGCTGCCAGTCCTGCTGACAGGAGTGGGAACTTGTGCCTTATCTGGGCCTGCCCCATAGCCATCCATGATGTGCACTTCCTCCCCTCTGAGGCCCGTAAAAGCCCTGGGCTCAGGCAGACGTGAGCAGAAGATGGAGAGAGTGGAGAGAGAGGACAGGGAGATTAGGGATGACCTGCTGCAGAGAGGAGTTGCCCTCCCCAGGGTCTCCTCTCAGCGGTAGAGTGGAGCTGCCCTCACCAGGGTCTCCTGTCTGCTGAGAACTGAGGAAAGGACAGGATGATCAGCTGCAGAGAGAAGCTACCCTTTCTGCTGAGAGCTGAACAGGTGTCTGGACAACCTGGCTATGGAGAGGAGCTGCCCACTGAGGGTCTCTGAGCTGTCCTATTGCTTAATAAAGCTCCTCTTTATCCTGCTCATCCTCCACTTGTCTGCATACCTCATTCTTCCTGGACACAGGACAAGAACCATGGATCTGCCAAATGGTAAGGCAGAAACCTCAAACACAAAGAGGGCTGAAAATGCCCCTTGCTTGCCATGTCGTGGGCAAGACGTGTCTCTTCAGAGAGCCCAAATCTTGGAGCTCAGAGCCAGGGATGTGACCACCTTTTTGGGGCCTGTGGTTCCCGGGGTCTCCAAGCTTCCAGGTGCCACCACTTTCCCCAGTGCCGGCTGTGGAAGTTGCTTGCAGTGCGCCTGGTTCCAGCTGCAGCCTCACAGGGAGCTGGCACCCATGCCGTCTCCCAGAGCTGCCTGCCCTATACAGCCAATATGCCTGGCTGTGCACAGTGGCTGGACCCCTGCTCACTTGCTCACACATCCCTCACTATGTGAATCACACTTGGCAGGTGTGGAATCCAGGCTGGTAGTGTGAGCAGAGCAGAGCCTGCCAGCCAAAGTGGGTGGAATGAGCCCAGCTAGCCTGAGCAAAACTCAGGCAAAGGCATTACCAGCCACAAGATTCTGGCAAGAAAAGTGAAACCCAGTGATCCCGTATCAGTTATATGGTTAGGCTGGCTCTGTTTCCCCACCCAAATCTCATCTGGAATTATAATCCCCATAATCTCCACATGTCCAGGGTGGGACCTGGTGGGAGATTACTGGATCATGGGTGCGGTTTCCCCCATGCTGTTTTGTAATAGTGAGTGAGTTCTCATGAGATGTGATGGTTTTATGTGTTTGACAGTTCCTCCTATGGGGTCCATACTCTCTCGCCTACTGCCATGTAAGATGGGCCTCTTCCCCTTCTGCCATGATTGTAAGTTTCCTGAGGCCTTCCCAGCCACGCAGAACTGTGAGTCAATTAAACCTTTTTTCCTTTATAAATTTCCCAGTCTCATGTATTTTCTTATGGCAATGTAAAAACAGACTATTACAGGTGGCAAAGAAAAGTAATTCTTTATCAATAGCATACTGAAATAGGGTTAAAGGGAGCACTTTCAAAACTTGTTCCAATCCTTTTATTATCACTATGCAATGCTTCTGGAATATACTGCATAGGATTCTTTCTGTACTATGGAATTTTCTAAACATTCTGTGGGGACCTTTTCCATGTACTTACTGCTTCAAGTTTCTTCAAATAGTGATTTTTCTGAATATACTATACTATTCTGATGGTTCTTGGGTGAATTTTCTGATTTGCAGTGAGGGGAGCTAGAGGATTTATGTGATCCCTGCATCCTGAATAGTCTGAATGTCGAATGTATCATATAAGCTCTGGAATTGTTAGAGTAGGCAGAGAGCCAGAAATGAGCAGGCAAGGGAGCCCCTGGGAAAAGAAGTCTTGGAGTCACTGACCACTAATAATCAGCACTGCGCACTAATAGCAAAAAGGACAATGGCTACAATGGCTACATCTGGCCTTGTGGTTGGGCTCCTCCGGCCCTGGAGGGGACGTATCAGGTCCTAGCCAGAAACAGCCATGGCAGGGACTTCCTCCACTGACGAAATTGTGCACTCCTCCAATAACTTGCCCTAGAATAGCTTTTTGCTCATTATGGTAGTGAAAAACACAGCTCTGGGTGGAGATTTTAAATACTGAGACATGCAACATGTGTAGTAGCAAGTACAAGACAGAGCATGCGCACCCAAACAGTCCTCCTGAAACATGCTTGCAAGAGACACCCCCTCAGGCCCCTTCCTGAATAGTCATGTAAGATTCTCATAAAGAGAGTCCTTCAGCACTGGCTGCTGCTGGCTCCTTCTTTTGAACACCCCAGTCTGTCTCCTCTTTCAGAGCATACTGTCTCTAAATAAACACTGCTACCACTATTTTTCCAGTTGGAACAGCCCAGAACGGTTTTCTACTTCTCTCTAGGAATGTACTTTATCTTCCTTCAACAAACTCTGCTACTCAACCCTTCCTATGCATCCTTGGCTGATATTTTTCTTCTAAGTGAGACAAGAATGGGGGATTCGTGCACTTTTTAGTAACGGAATTAATCAGAAATATCCAGGCTCACTGGGCTTGGTTTCTTTCTGAGCATGTGCAGGCAATTCTATTGCTGTCGTCTAGTCTTCAGTAGGAAAACCATAAAGCATGGTTTTTTCTGTTGGGAGACATCTACTGGGCAATGGGTTCAGAATAGGTTTTTGGTTCTTGAGTCTACAAGTCAACAACATATCTGTATCTTCAGTAGAGTGAATCTGAAACCCCAGGGTTTGGCCTCTGAGAATGGGTGAGACGGAGAGGAGAAATAAGGGGTAGACTGGGGAGTAGAATGAGAAGAGGACCCACAAATATGACAAGATTTACATATCATCATTGCTCACTCCAGACTTAGTGAGGAATGAGATCAGACACTGAAGATTGACATTGCCTGTTCTTTTTTTCCTTTATTTTTTTTCCCTTTCTTTCTTTTTTTTCAGACAGTGTCTCGCTCTGTCATCAGGCTGGAGTGCAGTGGCTTGACCTTGGCTCACTGCTATGAATACAGACGTGAGCCACCGAGCCTGGCCAGGTCAATTTTTACCAACCATAAGTCTGTAATCCCAGCACTTTGAGAGGCTGAGGTGGGCAGATCACAAGGTCAAGAGATAGAGACCATACTGGCCAACATGGTGAAAACCCGTCTCAACTAAACATACAAAAATTAGCTGGGCATGGTGGTGTGTGCCTTTAGTTTCAGCTAGTCGGGAGGCTGAGGCAAGAGAATCACTTGAACCCAGGAGGAGGATTGCCGTGAGCCGAGATCGCACCACTGCACTCCAGTCTGGTGACAGAGCAAGACACTGTCTGAAAAAAATAAAGAAAGAAAGAAAAGAAAAGGAAAAGGAAAAGCCTTGGATGCCTGTTTTATTACCAGGAAAACAGTCTGACTTGTTACTGAAACCATCATATATTTGGACATGTATATTTAAGTAGAAAAACTGAGTAATGGGAACAGGGGCAGGATACAGCATTAAGATGAGAAGAGAATATTAGAAACACAGTGAGCTATTGCTCATTTATCTGTAAAAGTATGATGATACTTATTTCTAAAACTGTTATTAGAACCTACCACAAACCATAAAGATGAATTATCCATAACAGTGTGATAGACTGCAAGTAAATATTGAGTTAGATTTGGATTTCATCTGGGCTGTATCATTTACTAGCTATGTTTTCACTGGTATCTTACTTACCTTAGCCTTGGATTCCTCATAGAAATACTGATGTGAATTTTTACTACATTGAATTATTATCAGAATTAAAGGGAAAAAGTAAGCAAAGTAATTAGGTAACATGTTTGGTGATAATAACATACTGCAAAAACTATACTTTCCATTCTATTCCTCAAAATGTCTATGACATAATTATAAAAAATAAAACAAGCACACATAAAGACAGCATGACCTTGTAAGACTTACCAACAAATAACAAGTTTCTCTATCTATGGTTTAGAGAATCCAAGCAGAATTTTGAAAATATTATGGATAGAATAGGCATGAATGTTTTGTAACATATCTACAATTTTAATATAAAGTAAGTAGATGAGCAGTAGAAAATGCAGTCAAATGTAGAAAAATATGGAATGAAAAAGCAAAAATAAATCCATATCATTTCATGTAACAAGACCTTTTTTTAAAGTAGATTTAAGTGTACACAAAAATTGCAGAGGAATTTCAGGGAGTTCCCATATCCCCTCCTCCCTAAAACAGCCCTCTGCTCATTTTCTCCTATTATTAACATCCTATTTGAGTGTGGTACACTTGTTACAACTGATGAACCAATACTGGTACTTATTGTTAACTGAGGTCCATAGTTAAATTAGGGTTAATTCTTATTATATAGTTCTATGGGTTCTGATAAATACATAATGTCATATGTCCACCATTAAAGTGAAACTGACCCAAGAGTCCCATAGACAATTTTTAAAATAAACATAGAAATGGACACTTATTGTCTTTTCTGTTTGTTTTGTTTTGTTTTGTTTTGTTTTGAGATGGCTTCTCACTCTGTTGCCCAGGCTGGAGTGCAGTGGCGCAATCTCAGCTCACTGCAAGCTCTGCCTCCTGGGTTCACGCCATTCTCCTGCCTTGGCCTCCCAAGTAGCTGGGACTACAGGCGCCCGCCTCCATGCCAGGCTATTTTTTTTGTATTTTTAGTAGAGATGGGGTTTCACTGTGTTAGCCAGGATGGTCTCCATCTCCTGACCTCGTGATCTGCCCGCCTCAGCCTCCCAAAGTGCTGGGATTACAGGCATGAGCCACTGCACCCAGCCTATCGTCTTAAAGCTTGAAACTTGTATTTGTTTTATCTGAGTTCCTTTCCAAAAAAAAAGATCCCCCAAGCCTCTCAAAAATAATCCAAGAACTGGAACTCACCAGATCATCTCATCCAGACAATGAGACTCCAGGTTCCTCATTCATCATGATTGTTCCCTTACCCCTCCCTGGTTCCTGTTTTTCCATACATAGTTACATTTCCTCCCTGCTGTATAAACCCCTAATTTTATTCAGTCACAGAAATGGCTTTGACGCTGGTCTCCTATCTCCTAAGCTGCAGCACCTGATTAAAGATTAAAACCTTCTTTGGCAATACTCATTGTGATCTCAGAGATTGGCTTTCTGTGTGGCAAGCAGCAAGACCCAGGCTGAAGCCCTCGTGTGCAAGACCTAGACTGAACTCCTGGTGTCTCAGTAAAAAGAGTAACCTATGAAGTAGTTTCACTGACCTAAAATTGCCCCAGGCTCCACCTACTCATCCATTCTTCCTCCTCCTGAACTCCTGGAAACCATTATTTACTGTCTGTATTTTTGCCTTTTCTAGAATGTTATATAGTTGTAATCATATGGTATATAGTTTTTTCAGACTGGCTTCTTTCACTTAACAGTATGCATATAGGTTTTCTCCATGTCTGTTCATAGCTTGATAGCTTATTTCTCTTTAATGTTGAATAATAACCCATGGTATGGATATACCACAATTTGTTTATCCATTCACCTACTGGAGCACATCTTGGTTGCTTTGGATTTTTGGCAATTATGAATAAAGCTGCTATAAACATTTGTGTACACCTGTTTGTATGGACCGAAGTTTTCCATTCATTTGAGTAAATACTTTGGATTGCAATTGCTGAATCTTATAACAGAGTATGTTTAGCTTTGAAAGAAACAGCCAGAGTGTCTTCCAGATGAGGCAGGAGAATAGGGTCTGGAGGCAGGGAACCTAAGGCCTCTATTCATGCTGACTTCTGAATAGAACTAAATTGAAAGGAAAACCCTAGCTTTCTATGCCTAAGCAACAAAAGGACCAGAGACTACTCCCTTTGCAAACCCCTACCTTTTCTGCAAGGCAGATGGGAAATTGAAAGTACCTCTGATTTGTTGTTTTTTGCAACCAATCAGATTTTTGCATAGGAGTGTAGCATTGTAACTTCATTTCGGCCTCGATTGGTTGTGGAATTGTTTCCCTCAAAATTTCTACAGCCCGGTGATGAAAATCTAAGAAAAGCAAAATAAAACAAGCACAAAACAAGGTGCCATAACCTAGTAAGACTTACTAATAAATAACAAGTTTCTTTACCTATGGTTTAGAGAAAGCAGACTGTTGAGAATGTTGCAAATAGGATGTTTGTTAACATCTACAATTTTAATATAAAATAAATAGATGAACAATAGAGAATAAACTCAAACTCAGACAAGCATAGAATGAAAAGCAAAACTAAATCCATATCCTCCCATGTAACAAGACCATTTTTAAAGCAGTTTTAAGGTATAAAAAATTTTCAGAGAAAATTTAGGGAGTTCCCCATACCTCCTTCCCTAAAACAGCCCTCTGTTCAGTTTCTCCTATTATTAACATCCTGCATTAGTGTGGCATGCTTGTTACAATTAATGAACCAATACTGATACTTATTGTTAACTGAGGTTCATACTTATATTGGGGTTCACTCTATTACACAGTTCTATGGGTTCTGGAGATACACAATGTCATGTATCTACCATCAGTGTGAAACCAACCCAATAGTCCCATAAGATAGTTATTTGGATAAACGTAGAAATTGACCCCTCTGCTCTTAAAGCTTGAAATTTACATTGTTTTGTCTGAATTCCTTTCTCAAGAAAGGATGCTCAGGTCTCTCAACAATTATCAAATAACTGGAACTCACCAGATCATCACATCCAGATCATGAGATGCCAGTCCCCATCATTCATTATGATTGCTTCCTTATTGTCTGGAGTTCTTGTTTTCCCATACATAGTAACATTCCTTCTTTCTTTGCACATAAACCCCTAATTTTAGTCAGTCAGGGAGAGACTGATATCCCATCTACTCAGCTGCAGTGTCTGATTAAAGATTAAAGCCTTCTTCCTTGGCAATACTTGTCATCTCAGTGATTGGCTTTGTGTGTGGCCAGGGCAGGAGCTAGACAAACCCACGGTGTTTCAGCAACAAAAGCATCATACAAAGTAGTTTCCCTAACTATGCCTGAGGCTCAATCTACTCACCCATCCCTCCTCCTCCTGAACCCCTGGACTATTTACTGTCTGTATTTTTGCCTTTTCCACAGTGTCATATAGTTGTAATTATACAGTATAGAGCTTTTTCAGGCTGGCTCCTTCCACTTAGCAATATCCCTATAGGTTTCCTCCATGTGTTTTCATAACTTGATAGCTTATTTCTCTTTACTGTTGAATAATACTCCACGGTATGGATATATCACAATTTCTTTATCCACTCACCTGTTGAGGACATCTTGGGGGCTTCCAATTTTTGGCAATTATGAATAAAACTGCCATAAACATCCATGTACAGGTATTTGTGTGGACATAAGTTTTTCAGTCATTTGAGTAAATACTCAGAGGTGCCATTGCTGGATTATATGGTAAGAGTATGTTTAGCTTTGTAAGAAACAGCCAGAGTGTCTTCCAAAGTGGCTGTACTGTTTTGCATTCCCACCATCAATGAATCTGAGTCCCTGTTGTTCTACATCCTTGCCAGCATTCGGTTTTGTGAGAGTTTTGGATTTCAGCCAAAAAGAAAAATGCTTTTTAAAAACTTTTTACTTGGAAATCATTATAGAGTCACAGGAAATTGCAAAGATGGTACAGATGACACGTGTGCCCTTTCACCCAGTTTTTCCAAATGTTTATATCTTAAGTAGCTCTAGCACAGTAGCAAAACCAGGACTTTGGTAGAATATGTGTCCATAGTTCTATGCCTGTGTCTTATCATATTTGCAGATTTATGTAACCACCATGCAATCTAGAGCTATTCCATCCCACAGAGATCTCCCCTCATGCTGCCCTTCAGAGTCACACCCTACTCCCTACACACCATCACCCTGACAACTAAAAACCACTAATCTCTTCTCCACCAATCTCTATAATAGTGTCCTTTTGAAAATGTTACGTAAATAGAATCACACAGTATGTGACTTTTGTGACGGGCATTTTCCCCTCGGCGTAATGTCCTTGAGATTCATCCAAGTTGTTACATGTATTAACAATTTGCTCTTTTTTATTGCTAAGGAATACTCCATCAGAGGAAGGCACTGCAGTTTAACTCTTTGCCTGTTGAGGGATATTTTGGCTGTTTCTAGTTGTGGGGCTATTACAAATAAAGCTGTTATGAACATTTGTGTAAGATTTTTGTGTGAACATGTGTTTTTGTTTCTCTGATATAAATGTGTCAGAATGTAATTCCTGACTCATATGGCAAATATATGTCTAGTTCTTCAAGACATTGACTCACTATTTTTAGAAGGACTGTACCATTTTACATTCTCACCATCAGTGTATGAGAAATCCAGTTTTTCTGCATTCTCACCAGCATTTACCATTGTCAGTTTTTTTAAAATTTTAGCTGTAGTAAGAAGTGTGTAGCACTATTACATTAAGTCCTTAATTTGCATTTCCCTGATGGCTAGTGATTTGCATGTCATTCATTGTGCTTATTTGCCATGTATATATATCCTCTTTGATAAAATGTCTCTTCATATCTTTTGCCCATTTTGAAATTAAATTTTATAGTTTGCATTCTACTATAGATTTTATATTAGAGCTTTTATAGTTGATCGTATGTTCTAGATACTGTATTCTTGGTAATGTATGTGGTTTTAAATATTTTCTCCATAACTCTAGCTTGCTTTTCATTTCTTAGCAAGACACCTTACAGAACAAAAGTTTTCAATTTTGATAAAGCCCAATTTATTGATTTTGTTTGTTTATTTGTTTGTTTTTTGTTTTTTACACATAGCACTTTTGGTGTCATGTCTAAGAACTCAGAACTCAGACCCCCGGCCCTAGCTCCTGATGATTTTCTCATGTTTTCTTCGAAAAGTTTTACATGTAAACATGATTTAATTGGGGAAAATGTTTTCATAAGGTGTGAGAATTTGTTAAGTTTGTTTCTTGCTTCTTTTTCCTTTGAGTTCTTTTTTGTTTTTGTTTGGTTTTGTTTGGTTTTGTTTTTGTCTATGGATTTCCACTTTCTCCTAGACTATTGTTTGAAAAGACTATAGACTATATTATCTCCATTGAATTATTTTGCATCTTCATCGAAATGAGTTGGCATAAGTGTTTTTCTGGATTCTCCATACTGCTCCACCAATCTATGTCTATCCCTGTACTAATGTCAATCAATATTATTATAGTTATAAAAATTCTGAAATTTGGTTACAGTTAATTCTCCATCTCTTTTTCCCTATGAAATTCGTTTGACCTATACTAGTTCCCTTGCTTCTCCATAAACATTTTAGAACAACTTTGTCTACAACTATTACAAATCTTGCTGGAATTTAGAGAGAAATTGTGTTAAACCTGAATATCAAATTGGGTAGAATTGACATCTTTCTTATATTTAGTTTTCTAGTTGATGAACACAGTAAATCTCTCAATTTCTTTAGATTTTTTAATTTCTTTATCAGCATTTCAGCATATCGACTGTGTACATGTTCTGTTGGCATACTTATGAGGTTTTTTGAGTGAAGCTAATTCATGTTGTATTTTTAATATTTGTTTTGATTTGTTTATTACTGTATATTCCAATAAAATTGATTTTTTGGTTGATCTTGAATTCTGTGACCTTTGTGAATTTCATCATTAGCTGAAGCAGAAGAGGAAAAACTTTCAGTCTTCCACCCTTAAGTATAATTTAGCCGCAACATTTTTGTAGAAGTTATTTATCAAGTTGAGTAGGGCCTCCTCTATTCCTACTATTCAGAGGCTTTTTTGTTTTGTTTTGTTTTGTTTTTTACCATAAATGAACATTGAATTATGTTGAAGGTCGTTTCTACATCAATTGATAGAATCATTCAATGTTTCTTCTTTAGCTTGTTAATAAGATGGATGACACTGATTTCAAACATTAAACCAGACTTGCATCCCTAGAGTAAATGCTACTTGGCATAGTTTATATATTTTTTCAGTTTGGCAGATTTTTATTTGCTACTATTTTGTTAGGGAGTTTTGCATCTATAGTCAAGCAAGTATATTGCTTTTTAATTTTCTTTTGCTGTTCTATTTTTGTGTCCTTTTGATTTTAGGAAATGCTGGCCTCATGAAGTGAGTTGGGATGTGTTCCCTTCTCTTCTGTTTTCTGGAGGAAATTTTGCAGGCTTGTCTTAATTCTACTGAAATGTTTGGTAGATTTCTCCTGTGAAACTATTCTGGCCTAGAGGTTTCTCTTTCAGCAGTCTTTATATTATAAGTTCAATTTCTTTCATAATTACACTGCTTTTCAATTTATCTATTTGATATTGAGTTAGTTGTAAAAGTGTGTACTTTTTAAGAATTTTTTTTTCCATTTCACCTAAGTGTTTTTGGTGTATTCCTCTGGTATACTATTGATGCCAAAGGATCTGTAGTGATATAACATGTTTCAATCCCAATATTGGTGTTTTTTCTCCTTTTTCCCTTTATTTTGTCTAGAAATTTGTGAGTTCTATTAATCTTTTCAAAGAAGAAAATTTTTTAGTTGTAAAAGTGTGTACTTTTTAAGAATTTTTTTTCCATTTCACCTAAGTGTTTTTGGTGTATTCCTCTGGTATACTATTGATGCCAAAGGATCTGTAGTGATATAACATGTTTCAATCCCAATATTGGTGTTTTTTCTCCTTTTTCCCTTTATTTTGTCTAGAAATTTGTGAGTTCTATTAATCTTTTCAAAGAAGAAAATTTTTCTTTCACTGGTTTTCTCTATTTTTTTTTTTTTTTTTGAGATGGAGATTCACTCTTGTTGCTTAGGCTGGAGTGCAATGGTGCAATCTCGGCTCACCACAACCTCTGCCTCCCGGGTTCAAGCAATTCTCCTGCCTCTGCCTCCTGAGTAGCTGGGATTACAGGCATGCACCACCATGCCCAGCAAATTTTGTATTTTTAGTAGAGACGGTTTCTCCATGTTGGTCAGGCTGGTCTGGAACTCCAAAGCTTACAGAGCAACAATGGTTCGGCTTTTAATAAAAACCACAATAACTCAGGGAATTTCCAGGGCGCTAGGGATACAATATCACCTTCACTGGGCCTGGAGGCCACAATCCTCAGGGAAGGTTGAGAAGGCAAATGAATCACTTAAGAGGCACTTAAGAAAACTAACACAAGAAACTCATCTCCCATGGCCTACTCTTTTGCCCATGACCTTGCTGAGAATCCAAAATTCTCCTCACAAAATGGGGCTCAGTCCATACGAAATGCTGTATGGATGACCTTTTCTCACAAATGACCTCCTACTTGATCAGGAAATGGTCAACTTGGTCAAAGATATAACTTCTTTGGCAAAATATCATCAAAACCTTAAAAACCTACCTGAGGGATGTCACAGAGAAAAGGAAACAAGAGTTGTTTCAACCAGGAGATCTAGTGTTGGTCAAATCTCTTCCCTCTACCTCCCCATCTATGGACTCTTTGTGGAAATGACCATTCTCGGTAATCCTCTCTACCCCCACTGCAGTTAAGGTGGCGGGAGTGGAATCTTGGATTCACCACACCGGAGTTAAATTTTGGACACGCCCTGAGGAACCTGCGGGACCGTCCCAAGATCAGCCAGACCAGCCTCGATACACCTGCGAACGAGTGGAGGACTTGCATCTCCTATTTCGGAAGGAAACATCCCAGACTAAAAAAGCTCCTACTACTGATCCTGAAGAAAAAAACCCTTCCTTCTTAAAAAAGACAAGTGAAAACCTACATAATCTTTACTTTTAACACCTCTCCTTGCCCCTTTAATGGGATCCTTTTACTATTTCATCATATTATTAAGCAGCGTACTAACCATACTCTTTGTGATAGGACTATAAACTGTAGCTCCTGCCGGGACGAAAATCCTAATCACGTCAACCTTCTTTCTTTTTTTTTTTTTTTTTTAATTGATCATTCTTGGGTGTTTCTCAAAAGAGGGGGATTTGGCAGGGTCATAGGACAATAGTGGCGGGAAGGTCAGCAGATAAACAAGTGAACAAAGGTCTCTGGTTTTCCTAGGCAGAGGACCCTGCGGCCTTCCGCAGTGTTTGTGTCCCTGGGTACTTGAGATTAGGGAGTGGTGATGACTCTTAACGAGCATGCTGCCTTCAAGCATCTGTTTAACAAAGCACATCTTGCACAGCCCTTAATCCATTTAACCCTGAGTGGACACAGCACATGTTTCAGAGAGCACAGGGTTGGGGGTAAGTCACAGATCAACAGGATCCCAAGGCAGAATAATTTTCCTTAGTACAGAACAAAATGAAAAGTCTCCCATGTCTACTTTCTACACAGACAGGGCAACCATCCGATTTCTCAATCTTTTCCCCACCTTTCCCCCCTTTCTATTCCACAAAACCGCCATTGTCATCATGGCCCGTTCTCAATGAGCTGTTGGGTACACCTCCCAGATGGGGTGGTGGCCGGGCAGAGGGGCTCCTCACTTCCCAGTAGGGGCGGCCGGGCAGAGGCGCCCCTCACCTCCCGGACGGAGCGGCTGGCCGGGCGGGGGGCTGGCCCCCCACCTCCTTCCCGGACGGGGCAGCTGGCCGGGCAGAGGGGCTCCTCACTTCCCAGTAGGGGCGGCCGGGCAGAGGCGCCCCTCACCTCTCGGACGGAGGGGGTGGCTGCCGGGCGGAGACGCTCCTCACTTCCCAGACGGGGTGGGTGCCGGGCGGAGGGGCTCCTCACTTCTCAGACGGGGCGGCAGGGCAGAGACGCTCCTCACATCCCAGACGGGGTGGCGGCCGGGCAGAGACGCTCCTCACTTCCTAGATGGGATGGCGGCCGGGAAGAGGTGCTCCTCACTTCCTAGATGGGATGGCGGCTGGGCAGAGACGCTCCTCACTTTCCAGACTGGGCAGCCAGGCAGAGGGGCTCCTCACATCCCAGCCGATGGGCGGCCAGGCAGAGATTCTCACTGCAACCTCTGCCTCCTGGATTCAAGTGATTCTCCTGCCTCAGCCTCCCCAGTGGTTGGGATTACAGGTGCCTGCCACCACGCCTGGCTAATTTTTGTATTTTTAATAGAAATGAAGTTTCTCCATGTTGGCCAGGCTGGTCTCAAACTCCTGACCTCATGATCCACCCGCCTCGGCCTCCCAAAGTGCTTTGATTACAGGCGTGAGCCACTGCGCCTGGCCAGGATTGTTTCTTTAACACGGATGTTTAGAATGGGATTTTTGTTGTTTCATTAAGCATGTAACAATTGCATTTTGAGTTTTAATAGATACTATCACACTACCATCCACTCACAATCCTAATATGAGAGAATCTATTCCCATAGAATCTTCTAAATCTTTGATTTTAAAGCAAACTATTGTGTTTGCCAGTTTTGTGGAGGATAGTTTATTACATTGCTATTTGAATTTGAATTTTTTTGTTCATTTGTGAGTTTGAGCTAATATTTATATATATTGACTATTGAAATATTCTCTTATATAATCAGTCTATATCCTTTGCCCAATGTTCTGTGGCATTTCCATTAATTTATTGATTAGTTAACAATTTTTCATAAGAAATTTAGCCCATCGTCTGCCTTATGTGATCAAAATTTTTCCTGAACTTCATATACTTCTTTTAATTTTGTTATTTTCTTCATGCAAAGAAATCCATAATTTTCTTCAATTTTTTTCACTTGTGTCTTCTGGATTTTGTCTTGCTTACAGTGTCTTATTTTTTAAAAAAGAATTATTTTAACAGCTTTACTAAAGCGTAATTTACATATTACAAAATTCACTTATTGTACATGTAAAATTTAATGATTTTAGTAAATTAATAGATTTGTGCAATTATCACAACAATCCAGTTTTATAACATTTCTGTCACGTTCAAAATTTCTCTATTTATAGTTAATTCCCACCAATAGCCCAAGTCCTAGGCATCCAATGATATGCTTTTTGTGTCTATAATTTATCTCTTCTGGATATTTCAAGTAAATGAAATCATACGACATGTAATCTTTTGTGTCCAGTTTCCATCACTTAGTTAACATTATTGAAGCTCATCAGTTTGTAGTATGTATCATCATTTTGTTTCTTTTCATTTCTTTTTATTTTCTCTTTTTTCATTTGTATAAATGTATAAGATCCAAGTGTAGTTTTGTTACATGCATAGATCGTATAGTGGTGAAGTTAGTGTTTCTACAGTATCCACCACCCAAATCACATGCATTGTCCCCATTAAGTAATGTCTCATCATCCAGAGTGCATGGGTTGAAACTTGCCTTGGGAAAACTATCCTCATGTTTATGGTATCTCCCCTGTCAGATAAGTCTGTTTTTGTTCCCTTTTATTGTTGAATGATATTGCCTTGCATGGATGTAGTATCATTTTGTTAATCCATTTACTAATTGAAGGATATTTGTATTGTTTTCAGTTTGGGCCTGCTATGGCTAAGGCTGTTCTGAACCCTTGAACACATATCTTTGTGAGGACATATGTTTTTATGTCTCAGGTAGATTCCAAGGAGTGAAATTGCTGGGTCATATGGCAAATTTATGTTAAACTTTTTAAGAAATTGTCATATTTCCAGATATTTGTAAAATCATACATTCCCACCAATAATACATAAGGATTTAGAAAGTCTGTTTGTCTTCAAACATATTTATAATGATGATGATAGAAATAACATCTGTCAGCTGGATGTGGAGGCTCACGCTTGTAGTCCCAGCACTTTCGGAGGGCGAGGTGTCAGATCACGAGGTCAGGACTTGGAGACCAGCCTGGTCAACATAGTGAAAACCCGTCTCTACAAAAAATATAAAAATTAGCCGGGCATGGTGGCGGGCGTCCATAGTCCCTGCTACTTTGTAGGCTGAGGCAGGAGAAATGCTTGAACCCAGGAAGCAGAGATTGTGGGGATCCGGGATCGCGCCACTGTATTTCAGTCTGGGCAATAGAGTGAGACTCCGTCTCAAAAAATAAAAAAAAATCTATCTTGTTAATTTTATATTGTCCCTTTATGTTTCAACTTTTATTTATCCAGGATCCATTTAATGAAAGAAATGAGTTTGGAATGCAACTTACAAAAAAATGAAACTAAATCTCAACTCTTTCTGTTTCTAATTCTATACTCTGTTTTACTAGCGTATTTAATAAAAAAAATCCGTAACAAATGCATTTTAAAAAATAAATGTATAGTACGTTTTGGGACCTTAAAGAGCTAGTCATTCTTTATTCTACCTTTTTTCAAAAATTTCCTGGAAAATATATTTATCTCATAAAATAACATGTCAGCATGCTTAATTGAGTTCTAAAAACAATCGTTTTTGCTTGCTTTTTTGTTTTATTGTAATTGAGTTAATGGCTGACATTTTATATATATACACACATATATACACATTTTATATATATGCACATATATACACATATATACACATATATATACACATATATATGTGTATATATATGTGTATATACTCATTCCAATATGTGAGAAAGTGGGTACTGGGAAAACTCTGGAAACAGTTTAGTTGCTGCTTATAAATGCACACAGGAAAATGTAGTATCTTTTTCCTGCATTTGAAGTTGTTGTGAAAGAATAAGAAACCTAAAGCTGCTGCGGGGGTCCTCCTACCATCTCAGGAAAGCTGACATGCTGTGTGTGATAGAGAGATGAGCTATGAAGTCCCAGGATCACTGGTGATGCCACTGGCCTGCTGAGTTGAGCAAACCTGGAGATGCCCAGCCTTGGATCTATTGGCTATGTGAGATAATGGGTGAAAGAAAAATACACCCCACTAGATCAGATTTCCTGCTGTTCACAGCAGAAGGCATCTTCATTATAATATTCAACCCACACATTTTAGTTCTACCTTATAATTCCACACCACAAGTCTCATATGAATGAGACAAATCATTTTCTCAACTTAGGGAACAAAGTCTTATTTGTTGCAACTCTGGGATCAAACAGAGCAGACATAATTATCAGCTTAATATATTCTTATAGGTTTTATATTCTTATAGAATTTATATGTACCTTTACACACCTGGTATGTATGTACAAGTAACATGTAATATAACTAAAAATGAAATATGCACAAAATATACACTGAATTTGATTGAAAATAAAATAACAGTTGTCTCTGACGGTAGAAAAATTATGCTCAAATGATTATGTTGAAATAAAATTTGAATTGATTATGTACTTTTAGATTTGACATATTTGATACTGACTCTCAGAATACGATGGAGAACCCTCCATCTTCTAAATTTGTCTTTCTCTGAAATCTGTACAAGTCCTTTGATAATACCATATAATTGAAGTCTCTGGAATGAAAAACTATAATTTGCAGTTATAGATACACAATATTGTAGACGGGGTTGAGAAAGAGTTCTGATTGACTTGCTAGCTGGTTTATCATCTCATGTTTGCCAAGTTTGTTTCTGTTCTTATAGTCTGTTCTCAGTTTTTATGCATTGCCTTCTTAAACATTAGGTTTACTTTTTAAATTGACAAGAAAAAATTGTTTATTTATGTCATACAGCATGAAGTTTTGATATATGCCTATAGTGTAAAATGTCTAAATCAACCTATTTAACATATGCATTACCTCACACACTTCTGACATATCCATGAAAACCATTATTCTATCGGGAAATAATCTTCACTTTTTCTTTTCTTTTTATTTTTTGTCCTTGGAGCCAAATGACCAGACGATTTTTAACTCCATGTTTGAGAAACATTTAATAATGTAATGTGTTTGTGGCACAGGAGGAGTACAGATGCATGGGAGGCAGGAAGCGTTAGGTAAAGGGGAGCACAAAACTTGGAAGATGAGGGGCTGCCATCAATGCTGGGACTTCAGGCCAAAGGCATGAGCTGAGGCAGCCACAGGGGAGGACATTTTCTGCAGAGTTGCTGAACCAGTAGCAACCAGGTCCGGAGAAAGGTCTCTCTTGTGGAAGAATGAGAGCCAAGCGGGGAAGTGTTTCATCCTGCAAAGCTGGGGCAGAAGGTTTTTCCTTGAATGTGGTCATCTTCACTTCAGCTCAGGAATCCTGCAGAGACACAAGAAAGTGTTGTTTTCAGACCTGGCTCCACTAACAGTTTATTTTGCCCTCTTTCAAAGACTCAGATGAGAGCACTGCAGGAAGAAGAAAAACAAGTTCTGAAGTCTCCATGAGTCAATACTCCTGCAGAGCACAGGCCTTTTCTAAGTGGAGAGGAGGAGTTTTGGTGTAAATTGCCTGATCAGAAATTTGGATCCAATGTCTTTGCTATTACTTCTGTCTCATGCCTTATCACCTTTACCATCATTCTAGGGAAAGGAAATCTCTTTCTTTTCTTTCTTTCTTTCCTTCTTTCCTTCCTTCCTTCCTTCCTTCCTTCCTTCCTTCCTTCCTTCTTTCTTCCTTCCCTCCCTCCCTCCCTTTCTTTCTTTCTTTTTTTTTTTTTGAGACGGAGTCTCATTCTGTTGCCTAGGCTGGAGTGCAGCGGTGCAATCTCGGCTCACTGCAACCTCTGCCTCCCGGGTTCAAGCGATTCTCCTGCCTCAGTCTCCTGAGTAGCTGGGATTACAGGCGCACACCACCACGCCCCACTAATTTTTGTATTTTTAGTAGAGACGGGGTTTCACCATGTTGGTCAGGCTGGTCTCGACTCCTGACCTCCTGATCTGCCCCCCTCGGCCTCCCAAAGTGCTGGGATTACAGGTGTAACCCACCACGCCCGGCCTCCAAATCTGTTTCTTAAAGAGGATGAAAAGGTATTACCTGTTGGCTGAAGTCCAGAGTGTCCTAGGGAAAAGAGGAAAAGATATGGACTTAAAGGATACGGAAGCAAATCTGTCCTCCAACACAATGTTCCAGCCCCAGATCTCCCACCTGAGATTTCTCTAACACCACAACCCACACCAACCAGGGCACAGAGGAGCAGAAACAGACCACGTGACCCATGAAGCGTGAAGTGTCTGTCACAGGATCCAGTGTAATTCCATTAGCCTTAGTGGCTCTTCCTTAATTTGCTCCAGAATCTCAACCAAAGCACCCATACCTGTTAACCTTTCTGTTATCTCTGTAGGCCACAAGCTATTATGCTTTGACATAGCAACCATGCACTGATGATTTCTGGAATTGCAGAACATTGGAGGTCATTTGGGAATAGAAAGGCTTTATCCAGGGCCATTCATATACTGAGAACTAACCTCAGCAAAGCCATAGTTCCTCCTCCAGAAAAGCGTATGGAGAGAGCCAGTTACCAAAGGCTCCTCACCTTTCTGATTCCTGAAGTAGATGAACAACCCGGCCCCAAGGAAGAGCAGGCCCAGCACAAAGCCCCCGACTCCACTCAGCATCTTGCTCTGTGCAGATTCAGACCGTGCTCCTGAGAGAGGAAGCAAGGATTAGTGATTTTTATCTTAAATGGAACCCCTTTAATTGACACCCTGAGATTCAGAGCTTTGAAAATGAGAAAGAAGGCTGCCCTGCAAGAACTAAAATAACTATTTCTTGAGAAAAAAAGGTTTTCAAATCACACTGAACAGTTACAAGATTCAGGCATCAAAGTCATTCAAATATTACAACCTTGATGTAAGGCAGGACTTCAACATCTGATCCACAGAAAGCCTGAGACCCAATGAGGTTAAGTAGTTGCCTAGAGTGACAGACCTAATAAAAGGCAGAGCTGAGATTGGACTCTCCTCATGTCAGGAAGGCCCCTATACTTCTCCTCTTCTCAGATTACAACAAACAACTCAGAGCAACAGCACCAGAAACTCAGTCTCAGACCCAGAGGCAGGGCCTGGAGCCCACGGACAGCAGGTGATCCTGACCTGTGACATCATGGGGAGGTTCAAAAGAGGGACAGCCTCTCCTGCCTGGCAGGCATGACTTCTTCCCCAGGGGGTACAGGTGTTTCTAGAAAGTATTACAGGGCTACCCTCAGTGACCTGTGCTGATGGAGATGAGAACATGGAGCAAATGAAAATAGGATGTGGGAGAGGAGAAACCCGACACTCAGGTATTAGCACAGTCCCCTTCTTGGTGGGTGAGAAATTTATGAAGTCAGAAAGCTGCTCACTCCATTCCACTGTGAGAGGGCTCATCACACTTGGGTGCTCCACTTGGCAGGTGTAAACTTCTCCACTCCGAGGAACTGTTTCCAGCATCACCAGGGTCTGGAAGGTCCAGTCTCCATTCTGGATCAGGCCTGTGGACACCACCCCAGCCTTCTCTTCCTGGCCGTTCCGGAACCACCTGACTTCAATGCTGCCTGGATAGAAACCACTCACAGAGCAGACCAGGAGGTTGTGGTGCTGCAGGGGCTGAGTCTTGGCAGGATACACAGTCACCTCAGGATGGACTAGGAGAAAACAAGGTAGAGGGAATGAGTCAGGAAGACAGAGTAAGTCTCCTTGTTTAGTTTTTTGTCTGCTTCTCTGTAAACCTAGGCTCTGGCCTTGAGCAGACCTCCAACACAGCTGGCCATGTGGCCTCACAGTCTCATCAGCCTGGAATTTAATCTTTATAGTGGGGACCCATTAGATTTGAGAGATACTGTGAAAAATTATGTTTGGCTCTTCATAGCTTGAAATTGACATGCATTGTCAAAGTGTTTACAAATCTTTGAACGTACAGAGTGTAGTAATTAAAACTGACTTCTGAGCCAGGTTGCCTGGTTCAAATCCAAGGTCTGCCTTTTACTGGTTGATCCTGGAAGAGTATTTGATTCTTTTGTGTCTCAACTTTCTCACCAGTAATGGAGGATAATTATATTAATTTACCTCTTGAGGTTATATGAGGATTAATGCGAGTAAAATATATAAAAAAAAGACTGAAGATAGCCTTCAATTTATGAGGTTAGAAAGCTTCTCACTCCATTCCACTGTGAGAGGGCTCATCACACTTGTGTGCACCACTTGGCACCTATTTATCATCCTTGTACACCTTGAGGGAAAAATATGATTTAAAGCAATGTGGATAGAGAAAGGGACGGAGTAGGGCACATGAGGAAACTGAGTATGAATTTTTAGGAATACTACTGCCATGCACTCACACCTTAGAACACCACAGAAATGGTTATGCTCCTGGGAAGGTGGGACAGACAGAAATGATTCTCCAAATCTTTAAGTTCCTAAAAAAGCATGAGTCCTAAAGCAGAGAGAAGGATTAAGGAACGTCATTTTAGTTTTGAAAGTTCTTATATTTACATTTAGCTGATCAATGCATCTCCCAGGCAAAACAAGTATAACTATTATTAGGCCTATCATTGTAAAATGATTTTTCTTTCCAGAATGAAATTTGGATCAAGGCAGGGTCTGGGACTCATTACTTGGGGTGATTATGCCTAGGGAAATCCCTAACACACTAGCATGCTCTCAATAAATACATTTTTTTTAAGAAGGAAGGAGAAACTTGGAGACAACAATACCACAAAATGGTAGACTTGAGCTAGTTTGTAAATCATTAATTAATATTTTGCAATATATTTTACTAAACAAAAATGTTCAAATTCTTAACATGGAAAAGAATTTTCAAAATATACATACCACAAACTGGAGAAAATACTGAATCAAATATCAATAAAGTGTTAATAATCTTACAGTACAAAGAACCCACAAAGTCACTGAGAAAAATACTAAGCCCTAGAGATAACAGACAATAGATCACTGTCCATTACACAACAGGTAATTGGTTGAGCAGTAATTATAACTGGCCAATAAATAGGTCAATATAATTCAAAAGAATTACAAACCAAAAAAATATAAATCAAAAATTAACCAGAAACATACATTTTCAACTTTTGGTCAATGTCATAATAAAGGTCATCAAAGGGGAAAGTGAGGTAATTTGTGTCACAACTATTAAATATAAAAGAATAATATGTAACTATGGAATTATTAGCATTATAATGAAATAGTAACTGTGTTCAAACTTTAATTCAAAAAGTTAGTTTCACAGTCATTTCAAGTATGTAAAAATATACACACTAAGAAAACAAAAAAATAGCAAGAAATTTAGACCTAAAATAAAGAAGCTTCAGAGGTGCCTCAGAGGTCTCCTCAGTTCCCCTAGAAATTAATTTAATGCTTTTGCAAACAAACAGCACACACTTTTATTTCAGAGATTGCATGAAGGGTGTGTGCCAGGGACCGTCTGGTACTGGCCTCCTCACATTATCCCAAACCTTCTATACCCCTCAGTTCTCCTCTCCTAAACCTTCACCCCAACCACACACACCCTACACTTCCCTTCCCTGCATCTCCAAGGACCCAGGACAATCAAGGTCCAATCTGTCTCCAGCCCCCTGTACCCCCCTCCCACGTCACCTCCCCACAGAGGCCTCCAAGGATAAGAAGCAGCCCCCCTCCTGCCTCCCCTCCCACAACAGCCACACAGACAAATCCACACTCTACACACACACCTGTGCCTTCAGAACTCCTTGCTCAGGATTGAGAGGATTCTGAATGCTCACAGATGGCGGTCTCGCTCTCTCTCTCTCTCTCACACACACACACACAACCACACTCAGATTCCCAGCTCGGAGAGACCCAGGCCCCGCCTCCGCCGCGCTCACCTCGCCGCTGCACTGTGAAGCTCTCACCAACCCCGTAGTTGTGTCTGCACACGGTGTCCACCTGGCCCCGCCTGTCCTCCAGGATGTCCTTCTGGCTGTTCCAGGACTCGGCGACAGGCCGCCCTAGCTCCGTCACCGCCCGGTACTCCCCCACGTCGCTGTCGAAGCGCACGAACTCCTCCTGGTTATAGAAGAGTCTTTCCAGGAACTGCACCCGCTCCGTCCCGTTGAAGAAATGACACTTATACTTACCCTGCCACAGGAAACGTGCTGTGGGGGCACAAACGATCCGGTCACAGGGGCGGTCTCCGGGAAAAACACTGACAGCGACGCCGCCATCCGGGGCTCCCTGGGCAGGGTGCGGGCACTGGGAACCTTGACCGGCCCCACCCGCAACCCCGACTGCGCGCAGGCCAGGGGATCATCCTCTGTCTTTCTGAAGCGGACGGGGGTCTGGGGGACCAGGTGGGAAAACTACCTCTGATCCCCAGGCTTTGGGACCCCCTCCCTGCCTCCAGCCGGTTCTGGAGACCTCTAAGCAGGAGCTGGAGGAGGATCCGTCCAGCACCGCAGCCCGCACCGACTCCTCCTGGGAGCCTCCACCCCAAACACACTCTCTGCTCCTTCTCTCAGCCCTTTACCCTTTAAAGGCTTTACCCTTCCCTTAAACAGCACCCACCGCGTTCATCCTGTGCACACTTCCTTAGTGATGACCTTGTGTTTGGCCTGCGCTGCCTCTAGGAATCCAAACAAGGGAAAACAGACCTCTCCACTCTGCTGGGGGAGCTTAAAGAGCAGTGAAAGTGATGGCCAAAAACCAAACACGCAAGAGCTTAGACAGGAATGAGAAATGTCAGAAGTGTGGAGTTCTAGAGCAGAGAATAATAGGATGATCTCAATTACATTAGGGTGCCAGAGGAGGACCCTCTGAAGAGTGACGGTTCAGATGTGACTTGACAGGTTAAGCAGGGGTGAGCCAGGAGCAGGGTGGAGCCTGTGTGTCTGCTTGGACAAAACGGGTGGCACATTTCAGGTTTCGGAAATCCCATGTACAAAAGCTTAAACTGATGAACTTAATCAAAAAACTAGAACAAATTTCACTAAAGCAGAGAGGCTGAGGGGAAGGAGGGTAAAAGATTAGACTGGAGAAGTCACAAGAAGCCAGGTATTTAAAAGCCTCGTGGGTGGTGTTAGGATTTTGGATTTACTAAAGACAATGGGAAAGTATCGAAGAGTTTTAAGGAAAATAAAACTATGATCCCCATAAATGTTCACAAACCTTCCTTTGCATTTCTAAATTCACAAAGCTCAGAAATTCAGTTAAAAGAAATTTGTTCCCAAAACTCATTTGGCAAATCTCATCTGATAAGGGTAAGTGGTCAAAGGTGTCTCAGAGCTCTTATTGGTTACATGTGCTTCTGTAGTTTCAATACATATAAACACACATACATATATGTGTGTAAATATACACATACGTAAAACACTATGTACATGTTTTTGATGTTTTTGTCTTTATGTTTGATTGAAGTGTGAAAATGACAAACATAACTTTAAAATAATCCTGTGGGTAAAAGTGAAATGAATAAATAGAAGCATTTTACATTGTGAATAATATCAAATGTAGAATCACTACAGAAATCTGAGGCATGTTAGTGAAAAATAATTGCAGCAGCATCACTATTTATGACTTATAAGGGCAAGCTGTTGAAAGTTAATATAGTGCTGACCAAAAACTCATGAAAATGTTCAAAAATATTGCATAAGGCAAAAAATAAATATGAAAATGTTGAGATTGCATTGACTAAATGGATTCAACAAGTAAGTGGTTGAATTTATGCAACTGTCTAGTTTTTTATAGTGAAACAAGCAAAAATAAACCATAAAGAACTGAATTGGGCAGTGACTGTATAAAAGATGTGAGTCTAGGCCAGGCGCGGTGGCTCAAGCCTGTAATCCTAGCACTTTGGGAGACTGAGGCAGGTGGATTGCCTGAGCTCAGGAGATCAGCCTGGGCAACATGGTAAAACCCCGTCTCTACTAAAATACAAAAAATTAGCTGGGCATGGCGGGGTGCACCTGTAATCCCAGCTACTCGGGAGGCTGAGACGGGAGAATCACTTGAACCTCGGAGGCAGAGGTTGCAGTGAGCCGAGAGGGAGCCACTGCACTCCAGCCTGGGTGACAGAGCAAGACCCCATTTCAAAAAAACAAACAAACAAAAAAGTGAGTCTAGAATTTTCAGAAAGAGCACAGTGTGAACCGGTGCTCTCAGCCTCAGCACTATTGACATTTTGGACCAGATAATTCTTTGTTGGTCATGGAGTCTGTTCTGAACATTGTGGGTTCTCTAGCAGTGTCCCTGGCTTCTACTCATTAAATATCAGAAGAAACCCCTGTTGTGACAACCAAAAAGTGTTCCAACATTGCCACACATTCCCTAAGGGTGGTGGGAGGGAAGGGAGGGGTGGTGAACTATCCCTGGGTAAGAACCACGGGTGTGAACCATCTGAAAAAATCTGTGTTGAATAAGCCACTATTAGTTATGGAGCAGCTGAGAATTGCATTGAAAAATATTGGTTGAAAATCTTTGTCCTACATAAAACGAATGTTTTCTAGAATTCTGGTCCCAGTACAGTGCTATCTTTCCAGAAAATGAACTTACTGAGAACCGAGATTCACTGATTACCTTGCCTTACCAATCAGTCACCAAATCATATAATTTATCTTTCACATCATCTTCTTTCTTAATTTCTCCGCCACTGGTCCACTAATTATCTGTAGTAATGAATCACAACCACAGCTATTTTATTCCTGTTTAATGCCCCAACTAACTCATTTATTTCAGTCTCCCATTCCCAACAATACTAGCAGGCCTCAAATTACCAGGCTTGGCCAGAGGTAGAACTCTCAGTTTTGTAGTGAAGTCCCTTCAGAAAGGGAGAAACCAAGAAAATGACATTCTCATACAGACAGTTTCAAAACATGAGCAGGTCCCCAGACTGTAAGCAAGACCTGCGGAAATCTCCCTTTGCCCTTTATAAAGGTTGGCAGAGAAGTGTGCACCCTGGATCAAATAATGTCTACCTTTTTATTCCTAAATTATCTAAGCACTTTCTTTACAGAGAGAAAGTTAAAAAATAAACATGTGTGAAGTTGCTTTCACTGTGGCTGTGGCTTGCATGGATAGCACTATAATCCATGCTCATGTGTCCCACTTAGGGGTGACAGATTTGGCAAATAAAACCAGAGGATACCCAGTTAAATTTGGACTTTCAGTAAATTATGATTGTGTATCCGAAATTCAGATTTAACTGGGAACCTGTATTTTATTTGGCAATCCTAGCCCAGCTTACTAGAAAACCTCAGACAAACCTCAGAAGAAGGAGTGATTTAATACTTCCTTGTGTTCTTCAACATATGCCCATGACAGACATATAGAGCTTTTAAAATGAATGAAAATTTCTCCTATACATTGGAACTAGCAGCCCTTGCATCTCTGCCCCCACTCTAATAAACAACCTGGTAACATATGAATATCAGAAATTCTGTCAATAATTTAAACACAATATAGTCACTATTCACTAATGATGGACAGACTCTCAAACTCTAGAATCAGAAAATCTGGATAAAAACGTGACCTCTTCTCCTTGGGTCAATTTTTACCAAACATAAACCTTTTTGTAATCTATCAAATGCATTTAATAATAGTTTAATCCTCACAGGATTATTGTTAAATGTAAAATTAAATAATGACTTCTTAGCACTGATCACATAATAAGCACTCGAATATATTCCCATTTTAACTTTTATAATCCCTATAACTGCAGCTCACATTTTTGTATTCCTTGATTCTAAAGCAATTAGTATATTCATCATGATTTTGCAATTGTCTTCTGTTCTTCTATTAGTTTCATAAAGAATTGTCATTCTGAAAACATAGGGCAGAAATGCTAGTTTATGTCTAATAATGCAGTATACCTAAACCTCACACAAAAGGCATCTGCTGACATAGAAGAAAGGGACTTTCTACATGCTCAGATTTAAAATGCAATCTGATTTCCAGCATTAAATTTGTAATACTGGGTTTTACTTATAATCTCTCAATTTTAGATTCCAGAGAAGTATATGTTTTTAAATACCACAGATACAACAGGATCACTATTGAAATCGAATACTGAAATTCATAGGCCTGGTACACAGTCACTGCAAAATGTTACATGGCATATACTGATGGCGACCGGGATTCATTTTATTCATCCCTCCATTCTCATGACCTAGAGTAATAACTGGTATATTCTATATTACTAATAAATATTGGCTGTGTGACCTTTTGCATGAGCAGTGAGCACTGCACACAGGGACCCTCTAGTATTTCCTTGCTAATAGTGACTGAGCATCTCTGGTTCACAGGTCCTCCTCCTTCTCTTCAGCCTCTTTAGCCTTTTCCTTTAGAGTCAGAGGGCTCCCTGAATCCAGAGCACAGTCCTTCCCTGAAGGTCTCTACTCAAAACAGTCAACCTTAACCTTGTCTTCACTTCTACTCGCTCTTCAAAAGGTCCAGTCCAGTTTCCATCCTGGATACTCCATTGACTGCAAATATCAACTCCAGCAAACCCAGCACTTGCTTCTCTGTCACATTCTCATTTCCCCCTCCTCTTAGTGGTACTCACCACAATTGGACTCTCCTTTCTCCTTGAAAATAATCTATTTTCCGTGACTTACACGCATTATGTTCTCTTTTCTCCAACATCCCTGGGCTCTTTCTCAGCCGCCTTTGCTGGCCTGTGCCCTCTTCTTTTTTCTCCACACAATCCATCTCCCTATGTATCCTCTTCCACTCCCTGGAATTTAACACACTACATGTATTGATGCCGCCAACATAAATACCTGAAGCCCTAGCCTCACCATGAGTCTCTTAAATGCCATTGACCTTCTGATTGCTCCACAGAAATGTCAATAAATCATCTCAAATTTAAACAAAATTTTATTTCCAACCACCCATTTCAAATCATTTCCTCCCATAGTTTTTCCTGTTTCAATAAACAACACCATCATCCATTTATTTGTCAAAACGAAATCCTTAGGAATAAGCTTGATTTTTCTACCCCCTTTAGAGTAATCCATTAACAAGCTAAGCAAAAATACATGCCGAGTCTGTCCACTTTGTTGTTTTCACTGTCTTTATTGCTACTGCACTCTATGAAGCCACAAGCCTGCTTTCCCTGGGGAATTCCCTGCTATGTTCCTAAATAGTCTTCCTGACCACTTGTGAAACCCAACAATCCAATCCCCACAGAGTAGCTAGAATTAATTTTAATAATTGAATAGAGGCCGGGTGAGGTGGCTCAAGCCTGTAATCCCAGCACTTTGGGAGGCCGAGGGGGGTGGATCATGAGGTCAGGAGATCGAGACCATCCTGGCTAACACGGTGAAACCCCATCTCTACTAAAAATATAAAAAATTAGCCGGGTGTGGTGGCATGCGCCTGTGGTCTCAGCTACTTGGGAGGCTGAGGCAGGAGAATCGCTTGAACCCAGGAGGCAGAGGTTGCAGTGAGCCAAGATTGTACTACTGCAATCTAGCCTGGGCAACAGAGCAAGACTCCATCTCAAAAAAAAAATTGAATATAAATTGACTCTCCTTGTAACCATACAGTAGCTTCTCATATCTATTTAAATAAAATTCAGGTTGGGCACGGTGGCTCACGCCTGTAATCTCAGCACTTTGGGAGGCCAAGGCAGGCAGATCATCTGAGGTCAGGAGTTCCAGGCCAGCTTGGGCAACATGGTGATATCCTGTCTCTACTAAAAATACAAAAAAATTAGCCAGGTATGGTCACGGGCACCTGTAAATCCCAGCTACTTGGGAAGCTGAGGCAGGAGAATCACTTGAACCTGGGATGTGGAGGTTGCAGTGAGTCGAAATTGTGCCATTGCACTCCAGCCTGGGCAACAAGGATGAAACTCCATCTCAAAAAATAAATAAAAATAGGGAATCCTTTCCCCATTGCTTGTTTTTCTCAGGTTTGTCAAAGATCAGATAGTTGTAGATATGTGGCGTTATTTCTGAGGGCTCTGTTCTGTTCCATTGATCTATATCTCTGTTTTGGTACCAGTACCATGCTGTTTTGGTTACTGTAGCCTTGTAGTATAGTTTGAAGTCAGGTAGCATGATGCCTCCAGCTTTGTTCTTTTGGCTTAGGATTGACTTGGTGATGAGGGCTCTTTTTTGGTGCCATATGAACTTTAAAGTAGTTTTTTCCAATTCTGTGAAGAAAGTCATTGGTAGCTTGATGGGGATGGCATTGAATCTATAAATTACCTTGGGCAGTATGGCCATTTTCACGATATTGATTCTTCCTACCCATGAGCATGGAATGTTCTTCCATTTCTTTGTATCCTCTTTTATTTCCTTGAGCAGTGGTTTGTAGTTCTCCTTGAAGAGGTCCTTCACGTCCCTTGTAAGTTGGATTCCTAGGTATTTTATTCTCTTTGAAGCAATTGTGAATGGGAGTTCACTCATGATTTGGCTCTCTGTTTGTCTGTTATTGGTGTATAAGAATGCTTGTGATTTTTGTACATTGATTTTTTATCCTGAGACTTTGCTGAAGTTGCTTATCAGCTTAAGGAGATTTTGGCTGAGACAATGGGGTTTTCTAGATATACAATCATGTCATCTGCAAACAGGGACAATTTGACTTCCTCTTTTCTTAATTGAATACCCTTTATTTCCTTCTCCTGCCTAATTGCCCTGGCCAGAACTTCCAACACTACGTTGAATAGGAGTGGTGAGAGAGGGCATCCCTGTCTTGTGCCAGTTTTCAAAGGGAATGCTTCCAGTTTTTGCCCATTCAGTATGATATTGGCTGTGGGTTTGTCATAGATAGCTCTTATTATTTTGAGGTATATCCCATCAATACCTAATTTATAGAGAGTTTTTAGCATGAAAGGTTGTTGAATTTTGTCAAAGGCGTTTTCTGCATCTATTGAGATGATCATGTGGTTTTTGTCTTTGGTTCTGTTTATATCCTGGATTAATGGTGCTGGGAAAACTGGCTAGCCATATGTGGAAAGCTGAAACTGGATCCCTTCCTTACACCTTATACAAAAATTAATTCAAGATGGATTAAAGACTTAAATGTTAGACTTAAAACCATAAAAACCCTAGAAGAAAACCTAGGCATTACCATTCAGGACATAGGCATGGGCAAGGACTTCATGTCTAAAACACCAAAAGCAATGGCAACAAAAGCCAAAATGGACAAATGGGATCTAATTAAACTAAAGAGCTTCTGCACAGCAAAAGAAACTACCATCAGAGTGAACAGGCAACCTACAAAATGGGAGAAAATTTTCGCAACCTACTCATCTGACAAAGGGCTAATATCCAGAATCTACAATGGACTCAAACAAATTTACAAGAAAAAAACAAACAACCCCATCAAAAACTGGGCAAAGGACATGAACAGGCACTTCTCAAAAGAAGACATTTATGCAGCCAAAAAACACATGAAAAAATGCTCATCATCACTGGCTATCAGAGAAATGCAAATCAAAACCACAATGAGATACCATCTCACACCAGTTAGAATGGCAGTCATTAAAAAGTCAGGAAACAACAGGTGCTGGAGAGGATGTGGAGAAATAGGAACTCTTTTACACTGTTGGTGGGACTCTAAACTAGTTCAACCATTGTGGAAGTCAGTGTGGCGATTCCTCAGGGATCTAGAACTAGAAATACCATTTGACCCAGCCATCCCATTACTGGGTATATACCCAAAGGACTATAAATCATGCTGCTATAAAGACACATGCACACGTATGTTTATTGCGGCACTATTCACAATAGCAAAGACTTGGAACCAACCCAAATGTCCAACAATGATAGACTGGATTAAGAAAATCCATATACATCATGGCACATATACATCATGGAATACTATGCAGCAATAAAAAATGATGAGTTCATGTCCTTTGTAGGGACATGGATGAAATTGGAAATCATCATTCTCAGTAAACTATCGCAAGAACAAAAAACCAAACACCGCATGTTCTCACTCATAGGTGGGAATTGAACAATGAGAACACATGGACACAGGAAGGGGAACATCACACTCTGGGGACAGTTGTGGGGTGGGGGGAGGGGGGAGGGATAGCTTTAGGAGATATACCTAATGCTAAATGACGAGTTAATGGGTGCAGCACACCAGCATGGCACATGTATACATATGTAACTAACCTGCACATTGTGCACATGTACCCTAAATCTTAAAGTATAATAATAATAAAAAAAAGAAAAAAAAAGAAAAGGAAAAATAAATAAATAAATAAAAATAAAATTCAAATTTTTTACCGTGGACATCAGAGTCTAATATGATGAGGCTTCTGACTTCCTCTCTGTGTCCTATCTCATCTTCTGCCTCTCCATTTCCTTGCTTGCTATACTTCAGTCCCTCTAGCCTTCTTTCTGTCCCTCCACATAATTTCCCACACCAGAGCTTTCCCCCTATTTGTTCTCCCTGGAACTTTCATCCCTTAGATCTTTACATGACTGTCTACTTATTTTGTTATCTCAGCTGAATGTCACTTTCTCAGGTATAGCTGCCTAAACATATGAACTAAAGTAGGTGAATCCATTTCTCTCTTTTCCACAAACCTGATATCTTTTCTTCAGTGCACTATGACTCTCTAACATTTTCTTCTTTGTTAAATGCTTTTTGGGTTAGTGTCTGTCTCCTCCACTGTTGTGTAACTTCCATGACAGTAGTGACCCTCTCTGTCTTACTCAAATAGAATGATTTGAACTTAGAATGGAGCCCAGTAAAGAGTAGCTGCTGAGAAAAATAAGTGTGCTTTACATGAATAAAACAGGGTATGGGAACTGATCACTGTGGGGATCCCGGAAAGCAAGAAGGGGCTCAAGCTCCAGCACTCTTTCATTTTGATGTCATACTAGACCCCTTCTCCTCCTGGTGAGAAATACAGGCAAACTTCTTCTTTCTCCTCCTTCTAGGTGGAAGAAGAATTCACAGATAGAGAAACAATGATTTAAGAAAAAGGAAAATTTTTAATTGAGATTCATCTCTTTTTGCCTGGGCACAATGGCTCACATCTATAATACTAGCACGTTGGGAGGCTAAGGCAGGAGAATTGCTTGAGTCCAGGAGTTTAAGACCAGCCTGGGCAACATGGCAAAATCTCATCTCTACCAAAATTGTGAAAATTAGCTGCACATGTTTGCCTGCCTGTAGTCTCCGCTACTCTGGAGGCTGAGGAGGGAGGATCACTTGAGCATGGGAAGCAGAGGCTGCAGTGAGCCTAGATCACACTACTGCACTACAGCCTGGGTGACAGAAGCAAGCCCTGTCTCAAAAAGAAAAAAATTATGTCTTTCAATGGATCTCATAGTGCTAAGGATCTGTGCAAGTTTTAGAGATTTCTGGAAATGATGACAACATAGCTGGGGAAAAATAGAGAGAAACGAGGTAGAGGTAAGCAGACATGGCTAATTAAGGAAAGCTGAGGGCATGATGGGTGAACCTATGAAATTTAGGACAAGAACCCAGTAAGACAATGAGTTTCCAGGACTTGCTCATTGACTTTCAGCCCTATGAGATGTGAACAATGTCCACGTCATCTCAGTAACCCCACACAGAGTATATAGTTTGAACATTATTAATTTTCTGGTATTTGACTATTTTTGACTTACAAAAATAGAATTTCATATAATTTATCCTACGTTAGTTGAATCTCTTCTGTCATGTCTAGTTAGAGCATGTGGGAGAAACAAGTATAGAAAGGTTAAAAAAGATTAATAATAAGAACTAACCTGGGCCAGTTTTTCAGAGGATGCCTTAAGTTCTTAGGCACCAATGAATACCTCATAAATGGTCTTTACCTGTAGGGTGACTCCAAGTACTAAAGATCTCAATTTCAGATCCAGGGACTTTTCCCCATAAGAAAGAAAGAGCACTAAGCATAACTTCTGTCAGAGAACCTACATATGCTACAGGGATACAGGCTTTATAAACATTAGACTTCAGAAAAAAAAGAAAGGAGACAATGGGGAGGCCACTGTCCTTACATATAAGGAAGAGGGGCCAACACCACAGGTCCTGTGGAGGACAACACAGGATCGTCTAGGAGAGACCCTTTGAATTCCTTTGACTCCCACAAAATTTTCAAAACAAAACCTCGTTTTGTCTGACATAAGTCAACATGATAAAGGGAAGTGCTGTATGAGGAATTTATTTTAGCATCCTTATTTCTAAATCCTCTAAAGACCCTGAGGACATGTGATACAAAGGTTTTATTGGTGGAGATTTAAAGAAAAAAAATGGCCTATACAAAGGCCCCTTACACAGTCTCATGAAGAGGGCAAGTAGCCACGTTCCATTTGTGGTGGAAATAATTTGGGATCCATACAATAAAGATGGGCAATCCCTGAAGAAAATGTCACACTTTCTTAAGGGACATGGCCTGGGCACAATGTTAACAAAACTCCCTTTTTTCCCCACCCCATAGTAGCTCAGCACCCACAATGTGCACTTACGTTGGGTGTCCCCAGCCAAAGCCAGTGGGGAGCTCAGCACCATCAGTGTCACTGTCAGAGCTGCCATGCAGGAGCCTCCAGGGAGCTTCAGACACACCATGCTGGAGAACAGGACAGGACCAGGGGCCAGAGGAGCAGGTGAGTCTCACTCAGGGAGAACTATGACCCCTCTCCACCCACATTCCAAATTATAGGGAAGAAGTTACTGATTTCCTTGCTTGTGGATTGGGTAATCTAGTGTTGGAGAACGAATCAGCATCTGATTACAATAGCATCATCAGTCGCTGGTCAGAGATGCTGTATGAAGGTCCTCTTCTGAAACAATTTCCTCCTTTAAAGGATTGTTTTAATTTAGTACTTGAAAGGTTTGAACCAGTTGCGTGTAAAACACTTTAATTGCGTCCCTATTGTGAGCCAGCTCTGTGCTGGTCAGTGATGTGTTCACAAGTTTGAGCCTTGCAAGAGCATTCATTTCCCACTTGACAAGACAACTGTTTGCAGGAGTGAGCGTGTGAGTGTGTTTAGGAGTAAAGGAGATGGAGGGAACATGGTTGCAAATCAGGGGACCTTTAATCTGGTCCTTATTGCACCATATCTTACTGTTGTAGATTTGGGAAAATTACTTCATGTCTCACAGTTGAAATGAAGGCACCGGGATCTTTCAGGCCTTTCAATACTGGAAAATGCTGTGATTCTGTGGATGCCTCAAGGAGTAGCAGCCACGGGTATCTGTTGATATGACAGAATGACAGCTGTTGACTAGAGAGTGTAATCTGTACGTATTTACAGGTAGAGATGTTTTTAGTAAGTTAAAGGAAATGAAAAGTTTGTTAGTAATTTAATCTGAGTAAAAAGGGTTTTTTCAAGTGTATCTCCTGATGCTGCCCTCAAGTTTAGTGGCAGCTCCAGAACACACTCAGGCAAGGGGCTTGCAGGGGCCACCTATGTGCAATGGAGGGTCTGAAGGTGCCTTTGTACAGCACTTACCCTAACAATGTGATAAGGTCAACTGTGCAATCCAAGTATTCAGCGGTGTGAGAGACTGATCAAGGACTCAAAGTCAGCTGTTGACAGAACAACTCTGTTTTTGTTGCGGGAAGTCAGGGACCCCGAATGGAGGTACCACCTGAAGCCATGGCAGAAGAACATAGATTGTGAAGATTTCATGGACATTTATTAGTTCCCCAAATTAATACTTTTGTAATTTCTTACACCTGTCTTTACTGCAATCTCTGAACATAAATCGTGAAGATTTCATGGACACTTATCACTTCCCCAATCAATACCCTTGTGATTTCCTATGCCTGTCTTTACTTTAATCTCTTAATCCCATCATCTTTGTAATCTGAGGAGGATGCACATCGCCTCAGGACCTTTTGATGATTGTGTTAACTGCACAAATTGTTTGTAGAGCATGTGTGTTTGAACAATATGAAATCTGGGCACCTTGAAAAAAGAACAGGATAACAGCAATGTTCAGGGAACAAGAAAGATAACCTTAAACTCTGACCACTGGTGAGCCACGTGGAACAGAGCCATATTTCTCTTCTTTCAAAAGCAAATGGGAGAAATATTGCTGAATTCTTTTTCTCAGCAGGGAACATCCCTGAGAAAGAGAATACTTCCCTGAGGGTAGGCCTCTGAAATGACCGCTTCAGGGGGCGCCGTCTTCTATGGTCGAGCTGTAGAGATGAAAGAAGCCCCAGTATCCCATAGTGCTCCCAGGCTTATTAGGACGAGGAAATTCCCACCTAATAAATTTTTGGTCAGACCGGTTGTCTGCTCTCAAACCCTGTCTCCTGATAAGATGTTATCAATGACCATGCGTGCCTGAAACTTCATTAGCAATTTTAATTTCACCCCGGTCCTGTGGTCCTGTGATCTCGCCCTGTCTCCATTTGCCTTGTGATACTCTATTAGCTTGTGAAGCATGTGATCTCAATCTCTGTGACCCACACCCTATTTGTACACTCCCTCCCCTCTTGAAAATCACTAATAAAAACTTGCTGGTTTTGTGGCTTGTGGGGCATCACGGAACCTGCCAACATGTGACGTCTCCCGGGGACACCCAGCTTTAAAATTTCTCTCTTTTGTACTCTGTCCCTTTATTTCTCAGACTGGTCGACGCTTAGGGAATATAGAAAAGAACCTACGTGAAATATCGGGGGTGAATTTCGCCTGATATCTGGCTGAATTTCCCCTGATAGTTTTAAAATAATTAATATTTTATGTGAGGAGTGTTCAATCCCTCATTCCTGGTTCCCATTAGGATTTCCTCATTTGATTGAGGCTATGGCCCTTTACTGTTACACTTCTCTTGTTTTATCATAAGGGAATATATAAGAAGACTTTGCTGGCAGGACGCGGTGGGTCATGCCTGTAATCCCAGCACTTTGGGAGGCCGAGGTGGGCAGACCACTTGAGGTCAGGAGTTTGAAACCAGCCTGGCCCACATGGTGAAACCTCATCTCTACTAAAAGAAAAAATACAAAAATCAGCTGGATGTGGTGGTGCATGCCTGTAATCCCAGCTACTCAGGAGGCTGAGGCACGAGAATTGCTTGATTCCAGGAGGCAGAGGTTGCAGTGAGTTGGGAGCATGACACTGCACTCCAGTCTGGTCGATAGAGTGAGACTCAGTTACAAAAAAAAAAAAAAAAAAGACTTTGCTAACTAATATGTTACAGAATGTTCATGAAACAGAACCCTAGGGAAAATCTATGAATTACATCAGTTAATGTAATCATATAATTTTAAACATATAATTCTACATTTAGATACTTATTATGCTTTATATTTATATAAATGTAGCATCTAAGATTCAGAATGGACTTCAAAGTACAACTATACAGATAAAGTTCTGCATTAATTCACACTGTATCACAGTTCTGATAGGCACTCCTTCCTTATGTGCCTTAGTGTTTCTAGGGATGAGATACTCACCATGCTGCAATAAAAATGACTAAAATTTCTTGAGCAATTTTTGAGCATTTTGCTTTGTACTCAGAATTGTAGCAATTCTCAGAATTGTAACTCGGCCTCCCAAAATGCTGGGATTACAGGCGTGAGCCAGTGCGTCTGGCCAGCAAAGTCGTCTTATATCTCCCTTTATGATAAAACAAGAGAAATGGAATAGTAAAGGGCCATAGCCTCAAACAAATGACGAAATCATAATGGGAGCCAGGAATGAGGGATTGAACACTCTTCACATGAAATATTAATTATTTTAAAGCAGAGTTGTTCTGTCAACTCTACTGAACCAAGTAATTATATATGTGATTCCAACCCCTCAAGCTCTACCGTTGTATTATACTACCTCACATTCAATTTCTAAAGAGAATTACGTCCCTTATACTAAAATTATTTTTATCCCTTTAATTCATGGCTGTGCAAATCAGTAAGACTACTTCTTTTAATGAATGGCAACATTTTATAGACTTTGGGGTAGATACTGTGTAGCAATGCTAGTTCCTTCAAAAGATTCCCCTCATCACCATGGTTATTCTCCTCTGGAAATGACACAGTTTGCATTTATGTTACATAAGGACACCCATAGCTCCTGCAAAAATCTCCTTCTTATTAAAGTTTACAACAACAGCCTCAACATTCCTAACTCCATTCTATTACTCTCAATCATCATTTCCAATTTCTCAGCACGAAGTAGTGCAAGTTTGATCATTTCAGAATAGAATAAAAATATTGTCTCATTTACTTTGGAAAAATATATTTCTGTTAATGTGGAAAGTTGAATATTTCTTGGAGAGGTTGGGTAGAAATCACTATTGTCCCTGGATTTGAGAATAAACTGTGTTCCTACACTACAGTGATAATTCAGTACTATTGACAATTGTGCAGTTGCAACCAGGAGAATATCATATTTCATTTGATAATAGGAAATGTAATTTACTAATTAACTAATTGCGGTGTGGTAATCTAGGAAAGGAAGCTAAGGTTCACCTTAGTATTACAGGATAAAAGCGGAGGCAAAAATAAGTAATTCTACATCAAGACTGTACTAAAATATAGTTAAAGAGAAACTTTCAAAACTTGTTTATATAAATTTGACACACTATTTATAAATCATACAAATTTATATTTTAAAAATGGCCAATGGCAATGAACTAAATTCTGTATGTTTTATACACTTATGAGTAACAAAGATGTTGTCTTAGTTCATTTGTGCTGTGATAAAATACGTTAGACTAGGTAATTTATAAAGAACACATGGAGGCTGAGAAGTCCAAGATTAAGGCACCAGCATGTTCAATGTCTGGCAAAGGGCATGGTCTCCACTTCCAAGACGGCACCTTGCATCCTACAGAGGGGATGAACGCTGTGTACTCACATGGTAGAAGGTGGAAGGACAAGAGGCTAAAAACTGTGTGAAGCGTTTTTTACAAGGGCCTTAATCCCATTCATCAGTGAGGAGCCCTACCTGAATTTTAAAGGCGACACACTTAAACTATAACAGATATGCTTCTTTAAATTATATATCTCACACTTTCCTTCAATATTCAATATAAGCATAGTTCAGGCTAAACAATGTAGCAACTGTCACCAAACCATCAATCGTACAGGTGATCTCTAGGCTGAACTTTTGCACTGAAAACAAGAGAAGAATCCTCTCAACTCTGCTGTGTGTGAGAGGTGTCAAATACGAGAGCTTATTTCCTGAGGAAATGGCAATTAAATTGGTTTCTGGAAGAAAGTGGTTTTCCGTACGGAAGTTCCATGGTCTCTGGTCTTGATGAATGAAACCATAGGCTTGGTTTTACAGGAAATAAATCCCAGCATTCTCAGGACTAAACAGGTAAAATCAGAAGCACAGACTTTTGCTGAACAACAGGCAGGTTGACATTGGTAGGATTACAGCATGTCTTGAGTCCTACTGATTGTCACAGAATGGGGCTCACTTGTAGTAAGCCTGAAAGCTTGCAACACATTTTGGAAAAATAGGCTCTTTTGGCTATCAGCAAGCCCTGGTTATCATAGAATGTCTGTCACTTGTCCAGGTAGTCACAAAATGTTCTCAGGAGTTTTCAGAAAGCAACCACCACTAATCTGGAATTTAAAGTAAAAAGCAGATTACTAATCCTTATATCTAAAGAAAAAATGATAATAACAATAAATGGATAAACAGAACCAGTTTCTTCTTAGCATGGAAGGTGTGTATCCTGAACAGAAAACTGTGCCATTTAGAGGCCTCATTAGTATTCATCACACTTGACAGGACCCTTTCCAGTAAGATCTCAGCAATGTCCTCCACTAAGGAACTTTGGTAGCGCCAATCATTACACCATGACACTATCTAGGTCAGTTGACAGGACTTCTTTAACTTCCAAATGTCATTCTTTGGCTCAACTTAGCTGTTTTATAACAGAATGCTTGCCATTGCATATAGAGAAAACAACTAGAATTCCCATAGGCCTTTCTACTAATATTGTAAGTACAAAGAATTTTCTTTTGATTTATCTTTCTAGCTCTTATGTTAATTGTGCTGTGGTAAGTATCCACCTATCTATCCAGTCCAAAATAGGCCAGGTTATTTTTCAAAATTTCATTTTGGTGCTCCACTAGCCCACTCCCCAGTGACTGCAGTGTGGACAGTGAAGACATTGATGAACCTGTTGAGCTGTACCAACCTCTTTGCAATCTGTCCTGTGAAGTGTGTGCCTGGTTTGTTGCTTATTTTATTTAAAATAAATAATAAAATCTTTTACCTGTTATTTTTCTAATAGCTCATCCTTGCAGACAATTTATTATCTTGAAAAAGTAAACTTACTAGTACTTATTTATGTTAACAACATTTTACCTAAATAAAATCAACTTATGTGTGGCAAAAGAATTAGCTAATCCTTTTGTCATGACATCTCTTCCTACCCTGTGTGCCTGTCAAACAAAGCAACTCTCAGTATCATACAGCAATTCTGAGAAAAATGAAGCATAAGAACCACACTAACTATTGCTAGCATCCCTGTGTTGGTCATGTGGTCATTCAAGGGGTTACACCAGCAAGATAAAGGTGTAAAACTTGGTACTATTAAGTATCCATCTAGAGATGCTAAAGATGATTTGGGTGCAAACAAAACCCTGTCAGTGTCCATAGTTCACAATTTTGGATTTGACCTTAAAGAGGTGTCTAGTCAACTGTTAGAATAAGAAAAAAGGTACCAGCTAGTAAAAAAATAATCTAAGCCATAGCTATATTATTAACCAGAGGAAAATACTTTATAATAACCACAGCAGAAGATAATATAAGGATTATTAGAAATTTTTGAGTTTTTCCAGAAATGAGGAATCTTTATTGCTATTACAAGTTCTAAAGCTATGAAAAACAAAAAAGCATAACAAGAATCAGTTCTAAAAGCAACTGGTTCTGCCACTGAGGCAAAATACATAGACATGGGTTTATTTTCTCTCCAGAACAGGAGTTAAACACTAAATTCTTTTTTTTTCTTTTTTTCTTTTTTTTTTTTTGAGACAGAGTCTGGCTCTGTTGCCAGGCTGGAGTGCAGTGCCGTGATCCTGACTAACTGCAACCTCTGCCTCCTGGGTTCAAGCTATTCTCCTGCCTCAGCCTCCCGAGTAGCTGGGACTACAGGTGCACACGACCATGCCCAGCTAATTTTTGTATTTTTAGTGGAGATGGGGTTTCACCATGTTGGCTAGGATGGTCTCTATCTCTTGACCTTGGCCTCCCAAAGTGCTGGGATTACAGGCGTGAGCCACTGTGCCCAGCCTCCTAAATTATTTTAACTGTCAACGTTTCCTTCAGTGGTATTGCTGATACTAATTGCAATATCATTAATATTGACCATGGTTTTTTCACTTGTAGACTTACAGCCATGACCTAGATAGTGCCATGGTGCAAAGACTGGCTCCACCCAAAGTTCCTCGATGGATGACATTGCTGAAATCTTACAGGAAAGGGTCCTGTCAACTCTGATGAATACTAATATGGCCTTTAAATGGCACAGTCTTCTGTTGAGGATACATATCCTCCATGGTAAGAAGAAATTGATCCTGTTTATCCATTTATTGTTATTATTTTTGCTTAATAACTTTACACCATCAGAAACCAATTTGTGTTCCCATATGGGCAATTAATTGGAGTGTTTATCTAGATAGACTCTAGACCTAATTCCTTCCAAAGGGCCCACCTTCTAATCCTATAATATTGGGGCTTAGGATTTAACATATGATTAGGAGGGAACACAAACATTTAGTCTATAACATCTTTTTCCAAGACATATCTGTTCAAGTCCTTTGCCCATTTTTTAATCAGGTTGTTTGTTTGGTTGGTTGTTTTGCTCTTGAGTTGTATGAGTTCCTTATACATTTTTGAAATTAGCCCCTTATCAAATATATGGTTTGCAAATATTTTCTTCCATTCTGCAGGTTATCTTTTCATTCTGTTTATTGTTTTCTTTGCTATGCAAAAGCTTTTTAGTTTCACTTATGCTGAGTGAAATAAGCCAGTTACAGGAAGACAAATATTGCAGAATTCCTCTTATATGAGGTAACTAAAATACTCAAGCTCATAGAAGCAGAGAATACAATAGTAGTTAACAAGAGTTGGGGGCTGGGGGAAATGGAACGTTGTCACTAAAAGGGTATAAAGTGTTAGTTATGCTGGATGAATAAGTTCTAGAGATCTGCTATCTAACATAGTGCCTATAGTTAACAAAATAATGTTGTGCACTTCAAAATTTGTTTAGAGTTTTTTTGTGGCCTAACATCTCATCTGTCCTGGAGAAAGTTCAATGTGTGCTTGAGAAGAATGTGTATTATATCTAAAACATGCTAAAAAAATTCACCAAAACGCTATTAGAACTAATAAATGAATACAGTAAAGTTGCAGCATATAAAATCAACACACAAAAATCAGTAGTATTTCTATACACTAACAATGAACTATTCAAAAAACAAATCAAGAAAACAATCCCATTTACAATATCTATGAACAATATAAAATTCATATGGAACCACACAAAAAGCCTGAATAGCTAAGACAATCTTGAGCAAAAAGAGCAAAACTGGAGACATTACACCACTTGACTTCAAACTATATTACAAAGCTATAGTACTTAAAACAGCATGGCTGGGCACAGTGGCTCATGCTTGTAATCCCAGCACTTTGGGAGGCTGAGGCAGGTGGATCACAAGGTCAGGACTTCAAGACCAGCCTGGCCAAGATGGTGAAACCCCATCACTACTAAAAATACAAAAATTAGCTGGGCATGGTGGCAGCCACCTGTAATTCCAGCTACTCAGGAGGATGAGGCAGAGAATTGCTTGAACCCAGGAGGCGGAGGTTGCAGTGAGCCAAGATCACACCACTGCACTCCAGCCTGGGAAACAGAGCATGACTCCATCTAAAAACAATAACAACAACAACAACAAAACCCAGCATGGTACTGGCATAACAGTAGACACATCTACTGATGAAACAGTATAGAGAGCCCAGAAATGAATCTACTTATTTATGACCAAGTTATTTTCAATAAAGTTACCAAGAACACACAATGGGAAAAGGACAATCTCTTCAATTAACAGTGCTGAGAAAACTGGATATTCACATGCAGAAGAATAAAATTGGATCTTTATCTCACACCATATACAAAAATCAACTAAAAATGGATTGGAGACTTAAATATAAGACCTGAAACTGTAAAATACTAGAAGAAAACAGAGAGAACCTATACAACGTTGGTCTGGACAATGATTTTTATTTTATTTGACCCCAAAATCTTAGGCAACAAAATTTAAAATTAGACAAGTGGGATTACATCACATTAAAAAGCTTCTGCACAACAAAGAAAACAACAGAATGAAGAGACAACCTATCAGCTGGGAGAAAATATTTTCAAGCAATACATCTGATGAAGGGTTAACATCCAAAATACATTAGAAACTCTCAATAGCAAAAAAAATAAAATAAAAAAATAAGATTTAAAAATAAGCAAAGAATATGAATAAACATTTCTCAAAAGAAGACATTGAAGTGGCCAACAGGCATATGAAAAAATGCTTAACACTGGTGGGTGCAGTGGCTCACGCCTGTAATCCCAGCACTTTCGGAGGCTGAGACGGGTGGATCACGAGGTCAAGAGATTCAGACTATCCTGGCTAACACAGTGAAACCCTGTCTCTACAAAAAATGCAAAAATTAGCTGGGCATGGTGGCACACACATGTAGTCCTAGCTACTTGGGAGGCTGAGGCAGGAGAATTACCTGGGCCCGGGAAGCGGAGGTTGCAGTGAGCTGAGATCGCACCATTGTACTCCAGCCTGGGCAACAGAGCAAGACTCTGTCTCAAAAAAAAAAAAAAAAAGCTTAACATCACTAATCATTAGGGAAATGCAAATTAAAGCCACAATGAGATATCACCTCACACCGGAAAGAATGGTTCTTATTGAAAAGGTAAAAGAAAAGTGTTGGTGAGGATGTGGAGAAAAGGGAACACTTGGCCAGGTGTGGTGGCTCACGCCTGTAATCCTAGCACTTTGGGAGGCTGAGGTGGGCAGATTGCCTGAGCTCAGGAGTTCAAGACCAGCCTGGGCAACATGGTGAAACCCTGTCTCTACTAAAAAATAGAAAAAAAAAGAAAAAAAAATTAGCTGGGCATGGCAGTGTGCGCCTGTAGTCCCAGTTATTTGGGAGTCTGAGGCAGGAGAATAGCTTGAACCTGTGAGGCAGAAGTTGCAGTGAGCCAAGATCTCACCATTGCACTCCAGCCTGGGTGACAGAGTGAGACGCCATCTGAAAAAAAAAAAAAGGAAACACTTGTACACTGTTGGTGGGAATGTAAATTGGTATAGCCATTATAAAAAACTGTATGGAAGTTCTTGAAAAAATTAAAAGTAGAACTACTATATGACTCAGCAATCCCACTTCTAGGTGTATGGACTAAGGACTTAAAATCAGTATGTTAAAGAGATATCTGCACTCTCATGTTCATTGTAATGTTACTTATAATAGCCAAGATGGTAAGCGTCCATCAACTGACAAATTTTTTAATGTGGTATATATACAGAATATATTCTGTATAACAGAATAACATATAGCCTTTTTAAAAAAGGCTGCTCTGGGTCGGGCGTGGTGGCTCACGCCTGTGATCCCAGCACTTTGGGAGGCCGAAGCGGGCGGATCACGAGGTCAGGAGATTGAGACCATCCTGGCTAATACGGTGAAACCCTGTCTCTACTAAAAATACAAAAAATTAGCCGGGCGTGGTGGTGGGCGCCTGTAGTCCCAGCTACTCAGGAGCCTGAGGCAGGAGAATGGTGTGAACCCAGGAGGCGGAGGTTGCAGTGAGCCAAGATAGCGCCACTGCACTCCAGCCCAGGCGACAGTGTGAGACTCCATCTCAAAAACAAAAAAAAACAAAAAAAAACGCTGTTCTGCCATGTGTAACAACATGAATGAACCTAGAGGACAGTATGCTAAGTGAAATAAGCTAGACGTTTCTAAGTGAAATAAGACAAATACTGCATATTCTCATTTATATGTGGAATCAAAAACAATCAAATTCATAGAAGCAGACAGTAGAATAGTGATTATCAGAGGCTGCAGATTGGGAGGAATAGGAAGACATCAGTCAAATAGTATAAAGTAGCAGACAGACAGAAGGAATAAATGAAAAGTTTTTAAGGTGATGGATATATTAATTAGCTTGAGTCAACTACTCCACATTGTGTATATATATCATAACATTACTTTGTACCCTATAATTATATGCAATTATAATTTGCCAAAAAAATACAATAATTTAAAAAATCATAGGATAGAACAAGGTTCTTATATTTATGGGAGGATCAGGATAAATCTTCAAATACCTTCTAGAGGTATAGTTGAGGTGAGATATGTACTGAAAGCAAAAATGGAGGCTGGGAACTAAACACCAGGCATTTCCTGTGCATGTGTCTATTCAACAATCATGCCAATCGACACTTCTTTCACTGCCTCCCACCCAAATGCAGAGAGTGCATCTGTATTGTGACCAGAGAAGTGGTTGTAAAAAGTAGGGCTACCCTGACATTTATTCACCAATATCCATGAATAAATAAATATGTACACGTAAATTTATAGATATATACATCCATACTTACATAAATAATTTTAAAAGTGTCCATTTTTACTTCAAGAGAACTAAGGATACTTTTGTAGACATTAGGGCAGATAAAAGATGGTAGATAAAGAAAAGGGAAATGAGAAGGAAACATTTCTGTAAGTGCAAGTGTTGGGGAGAAGGAGTGGGAGCTGGGGGGAAGCTGAGAATTGTGTTTTGTGACAAAGAGCATGGTTCATGGACAGTAGCACATGTGAGTCACAGAAGGACAATAAGATAGGGAGAATCAGCCAAGATGGCCCTCCAGCCAGGGTTACCAGTGTCTAGACAGAAAGCAAAGTAATAGCTCAGCAGCCGCATTGAATGGGAACAGTGAATAGTGTGAAAATGAGAAAATATTGGGGCAAGGCCACTGATTCCCACAGGATGCTCTAGTAAAGCTCTTGACTAGGCCTCCAAATTAAACATATGGCTGAGGCTAGCCCCTTCTCACTCAATGGACTCCAGTATTTGGTGAGGAAATGAGGAAAAGAGAGGTCCCGAAGCAAGTAATTGTATGAAATATCAGGATCCAGTTTTGACAAGACTGTTTGTGGATATACCAGAAGAGCAGGAGAGAGTTCCAGAAGACCCAAACATCCAGCATCCAGAAGGTCTTTTGTAACTGGTAATTAAATTATGAAGTGAGGACTGATGGGCATCATTGAGAACATGATTTGGGGGCTGTTTAACCCCTTGCTCACTAGTCAGTTCATCCTCTCTTGTTTTCTACAAAAATGTAGTTATCTGCTTCTCATAGGAGAAGCTGTTGTGGGAGCCACACAGGGTGGTAACAGTCAGCGGTAATCTGGTGAAAACAATTTTGTAGAAGGGATTGTCCCTCCTTCACATATTTCCATATATAAATCCTCACAGTCAGAAAAATATTCTTAATATCTATCTCATATCTTTTGCCGCACTTAACATTCGGTAAATTTTAACTGAGGATCCACCATATGCATGTGCACATACACATGCAATCTAGGTGGGGATATTCAATCACAAAAAGTGTGTTCAGTGCTTCCTTTGTGCAAAAGATTCTTCTAATGCTGGGGATACAAAGATTCACATGAATTAGATCCTACTTTTAAGTAGATCCTACACAGACAAAAGAGCGCATTGTAATGACAGACATATAAAATTCATATAAAAATGTCACAAGATCTACAACAGACATATCTATAAAAAATAATCAAACACAATTTGGTGTTATTAATTTTTAAGACAAAAATTTTAAAACAAAAATGGTTAAAATTAAGTATAAACTTATATTTACAACAAGAAGGAAGCATTTGTATAGATGTAAGTTCCAGAGGAAGTGAAACTCAGAACACAGAGAAAGGGTTACGTTTCAGGATGGCTAGAGACTCGCTGGGGAACAGGAACTATCATGAATAACATGTGTGCAAGAAGCAGGAGGAGTCGGGAAACGGAAATAGAGATAGAGGGGAGTCTGTTAGACTAGAATTGAAAGGCTCCCTTAAATAATGCTGGGAGATCAGAGTGGATGTGCAGAGCTGAAGTTCTAAGAAAGGCATTGAAAATTTGGCAAAGAAGTTACATCTTTTAGAAATATGTGGATGGACGCAGGAAAAAATATCAAGCAGTAAAACTTTTACAATCCAAGGTTAGTTATGAAGGATTGGACACAGAGATCAGTGTGGTGACAACAGAAATGGATGATGGGAATACCATGCTCCTTTTGCATTTCCAGATGTGCATTAGAATTGGTATTTGATGAATAAGGGAGGAACGGAAGGTCTTTTAGAAGGAATACATTTTCTTTCCTTTTGTAGGTAACACCCAAAGGGATCAATCTTCCTATCCATCTGTGTGCTGGTTCTTTCTTTCTGGTTGAGACATTTTGTAGAAAAAAGAGAGAAATTTACTGGAAATCCCCATCCCTTCACAAACAGTTGTTGCTGTTTTTTTCTATAACCAATAGGGATAAAGACTGAAGCAACATCACTTATCTCCGGCAGATACATCTGACCAGAAGGTCTTATATAAAGTCTTGGAGAGAAGCTGCAGGAGAACAGGATGACTAAATTAGGTGTTGATAAGAAAGGCTGATAACTTCCTTTGTGGAATAAATTAGGACATAAGTAGTTAGCAAATAAAGAATATTTGCAGAGTAAAGCAAAATGTGCAGTGAGGATTGGAGGAGCTGGGCATTTAGAGTGATAGGGACATAATGCCTGGTTTTCCATTCCTGTCCCTGGGTAGTATTAAAAGCACAAATAAAAAGCTATCCTGCTGCTATCTGCCTGCTATTCTTGTTATACAAGAGATGGAGACTGTCAGAGAGATCTATTATGCCAACTCTGATTGCCATAGGTTTATGCACAGACAAATGAAGGGAAAATAAAATGATGAGTTATTGTTTATTTTACACCAGGCACTGAATTTTCTACTTCCAGACACTTTGTATCATTTGATTCTCATCATAACCCTGCAGTGGATGTATGTATCACACTATGTTTTCACTTAACTGCTATATCCCCAACACATTCAATAATGTCCATCACTTATAGTATTTAATAAATATTGATAATGACTGGGTGTGGTGGTTCACACCTGTAATCCCAACACTTTGGAAGGCTGAAGCAGGCAGATCACAAGGTCAGGAGTTCGAGACCAGCCTGCCCAATATGGTGAAACCCCGTCTCTACTAAAAATACAAAAATTAGCTAGGCATAGTGGCGGGCACCTGTAGTCCCAGCTACTCAGGAGGCTGAGGCAGCAGAATCCCTTGAACCCGGGAGGTGGAGGTTGCAGCGAGCTGAGATTGCACCACTGCACTCCAGCCTGGGCAACACAGCAAGACTCTGTCTCAAATAAATACAAATAAATAAATAAATATTTATTTATTACTGGGATATGATTAGGAAACCAAATGTGTTACATTTTTAACATTGTATAGTGACATAGAACACACATATAGTAAGACATGTAAAGCATAAATGTACAACTTAATCAATCATTACAGTGCCAACATCCATGAACCCACCACCCAAATCAAGAAACAGCATGAGGCCAGCACCAGAAGCTCTCCCGTGCTTCCTCCTGTCTACATTGCTCTCCCTTCCCATCAAGACAACTCACCATCAGACTTCCATGGCAATCCCTTCATTGCTTTTCAATACACCTTCAAAATCTAATATTTATTCCTAAACATGCTTAGTAACATTATACAAATTAAACTATACAGTATGTTCTCTTTTGTGCCTATTTTGTGATCTAATAATTGTCAATTTAGTGACCCGGAAAGAATCAGCCTGTCAATAAATGCTGCTGGATCAGTTGTATATCCTTACTGAAAAAAAAAAGAAAGAAAGAAATTTGACACCTATCTCACTTTATACACAAAATTAATTCCAGTAGAAAACATATCTATCCATAAAAATCAATACAATAAAACTTCTAGAAGATGATATTAGAGAATATCTTCCTGATCTTGAAATAGAAAAATATTTTTAAAATAGAATCCAAAACTCAGAATCATAAGAAAAAGGTTCATCAGTGGTCACAAATATCATGTATCTAAAACAGGGACAGTAAGAAATTACTGGGCATAACTAGCAGGTGCCATGGGATGTGCCTGGAAAGCTTCTCATGACGACCTACCATGAGCCTATCACACTCGTGCCAGGAGCCTCTCACCAGGGGCTTCAGTGTTTGTGGTTAGGAAAAGAGAAATAAGAACAACAGCAGAATGCACCCTTAGGTACTTTGGAAGTCACAGAAGGGAAAAGGGCAGGAAAATCGGAAACATCGGCACACATGTTAATGAATGTTTGTTGTAGTTAAATTGAAGTTGAAGGAGAGGACGGAGTGAAGGACACTGGAAGCGGGGGCTCCAGGAATAGTCCTGTGATTCAGTTGGTATTTCTTGTATATAGTTCCAGTTCTTGTCAAACTTTTTGGTCACTAAACTGTTCCTTTCTATATGTTAAGGCAAGTTTCACCTCCTTTCTGACTTTAGAATAAGTTGGTAGAGGGCTTCACAGAGTGACAAACACCCATTGTCTTCTTTAGGAAGGCGATTAACTAAAACATGCACATACTTCCATAAGAAGCACAGAGTATAACTGATGATATTCAAAGAGCAAATGCTTATTGAACGTCTCCCATGTTTCAAAGAGTGCGGTAGGAGCTAAGGTTCCAGGGTGAAGATCTCATGAAGATCAATATATACCAGGAAAAAAAGACACATATACAGCATACACTCCATACACCAGGAACTTTCTGCACTATTCTCTCCTCAGTTCCTAGAAAAATGCCTGGTTCAAAATAGTTATTAATAGTTGTTGAATTAATAAACAATGTATTAAGTATAAATATAAACATTTATAAATTGCAATGAAAATACAAATGGGGGTTGGGGGTGGTGGCTCACACCTATAATCGTAGCACTTTAGGAGGCCAAGGCAGGCGGATTGCCTGAGCTCAGGAGTTCAAGACCACCCTGGGCAACATGGTGAAATCCCATTTCTACTAAAAATACAAAAAATTAGCCAGGCGTGGTGGCACACGCCTGAAATCCCAGCTACTTGGGAGGCTGAGGCATAAGAATCGCTTGAATCTAAGAGGCAGAGGTTGTTGTGAACTGAGATCGTGCCATTGCACTCCAGCCTGGGCAACAGAGTGAGGCTATCTTTGAAAAATAAAAATAAAAAAAAAGAAAGAGAGAGAGAGAGAGAGAGAGAAAGAAAGAAAAAGAAAGAAAGAAAGAAAAAAGAAAGAAGGAAGGAAAGAAAGAGTGGGTATAATTTAAAAGTAACAAAATTCAAGAATAGCAGATAAAGGATATATTCATACAGACTGGAGTATTTGGAGAAAACTTGAAAATATAGTTCATTTGCAGAAGTAAGACTTGAAGCAGAGAAGAGGAGGAAATGATTCCGAGGAACAGCAGTGGGAAAGGAACCATCATGAACTGCATGAGTGAGAGCAGTACTGGCAGCGGGGGTGGGACAGGGAGTGGGTTGATTTAGGGAAAAGCCCAGATTGACTGGAGTGAACATCTAGATTAAAGAATAGTATAGGATAAGAGAATATGCACAGAGAGGACCTGTTTTTATGAGAGGCCTTAGAAGCTGAGCAGTCACTTCTTAGGAAGGTGATGAACTGAAGTGTACAAATGTAAAACAGCAAAATCATCTGTTGGTAAGGCAAGTGTCATATAGGTAGAGGAGGAGCATCAAGGCTGGGGAGGTGACAGTGAGACTAGGGTACTGGTTTTACTGAGTGCCTTGTGTCCTTCCAAACTTGTGCAAAGTATTACTATCTAATGGGTAGAAAGAGAAAATGTGGAATTTTTTTAGACCTCTTTTCTTCTTTCAGAGATAGCATCCAAAGACTGAGTTCTCAAACCCCCAGGTTGGTTATCTATCCTGGTTCCCAGACTCTGTGCTTTAAGATGAAGCAGGTCAGTTTTCTGGACAAAGGGTCTTTATAAAAATCTCCATTACTTATCAGTTTTCTTCCTATGCAACCACTGAGTGAAGTAACATCATTTGTCTCCAGCAAATAACACTACTGCAATAGTCCCAGCATTAGTCTGGTTTTGAGACCCTGTGAAAACGTGGAGTAGGGCCAAATTATTAGTTATGTGGTGCGAGAAAGATATAATACCTGAAATTTGTAGAAAGAAACAGGTGATAGCTGTGTGGATTGACAAGAACTCTCCCCTTTTCAAGTAAGATCCAGCATGCTTAATGAATGTAGAGCGTGAATCAGGATACTTGTTCTTTTTCAGACATAGGTGGAAAGTCCCTGCCCAGGACTAAATGAAAAGAAAATTGCTTTAATGCTAGGATCTCATCACTGGTAGAAAACTAAAATCTGTGGTAGGGACAAAATTGAAAGGAAAGAAGAAACAGATTGATTAAGGGTCATCTCCCCACCTGCTGGTTATAAGAACATGCAGGGACAATGATGGAAAAGAGAATCAATGGTTCCAGGGTCTGGTTAGCCATTTTTCAATTATCTCATTTAATCTTTATAACAACTCTGAAAATAATCTTTTGTACCCCTTTTGGAGGTGATGGTAGAAACATGGGAATTATACCCTGACTTGAAAAAGATAACATTTATTCCTTTGGGGGAACATTAAAAAGTTCATACTGCTGCATTTGTGCAAATCATTCTTCAAGATTATGCATTATTAGGATAAATAGGATCTGCAGATCTTGTTTCCTAGGAGTTCAAAGCCAACATAAACTTGCTATAATACACTGCAACAAGCGCTGCAATCGATTGGTTTATAAAATACAATAAGAGCACAAATTTGTGGGTTTTCAAACATGAGCCAAATTGTTAAAATGGTTTACACACTGACCAGGCGCAGTAGCTCACGACTGTAATCTCGGCACTTTGGGAGGCAGAGACAGGTAGATCACCTGAGGTCAGGAGTTTGTGACCAGCCTGGCCAACATGGCGAAACCCAGTCTCTACTAAAAATACAAAAATTAGCTGGGTGTGGTGGCACACACCTGTAGTCCCAGCTACTTGGGAGGCTAAGGCAGGAGATTTGCTTGAGCCCGGGAGGCGGAGGTTGCAGCGGGCCGAGATCTCGCCACTGCACTCCAGCCTGGGTGACAGCGAGACTTCGTCTCAAAAATAATAATAATAATAAAATGTTTTACACACCTACATGAACCTTAAAAATTAAAGATTGGAGCTCTCTATGTGCATGAGATAGTAACACTCATTAAAAAGGGCAAGTTTGGTTAATTAAGACAGTAGAAGGGGTAGAGAAAATATAATGAAACGATATGTAAGGGAAACGAAGGATGAAAGATGCAGGCCGGGAGAGGAGTACTGTCTGATGGGAGTGAAGATTCTTCCTTCAGGAATGGAAGGGGATGCACAGAGTGAAGCCACCCAACAAAAACAAGACTTGTATAGCTACAGATGGAAGGGAAATCAACCAGGAAATTATTTTGGAAATCCCAGTGTAGTTACAAGACTAGGAAGTAATGGTTAGAATGAAGAGGTTGGATTTACTGAGCACTAATATTCTTATAATCATGCTAGGAAATATCACTTGATAAAGAGAGAAAGATGAGTCGTTTTAGAAGGAATACATCTCTCTTTTCAGAGGCAGTACCCACAGACAGTTCTCAAACCTAGTATCTGCCTCATCAGTCTCAGTTCAGGTTACTTCGTTTTGGGGAAGGCATTCCAGCTTCTTGCACTAGGCATTTCAAGAAAGAAAACCATTCCTGGAAATCCCCAACCTGTCACAGGCATGTTTCTTCAACCAATAGGAATAGAGAATGAGGCAGCATCACTTGTCTCCAGCAGATATGTCTGCTAAGAAGGTCTGATCTGATCTCACGTCTTGGGGAGGAGGCAGGGAAGGAGCAGGATTACTCATAAGTGGTGAGAAGAATGGCTACGATGTAGTTTCACGGAAAGAAATAAGATACTCCATGTGGAGAGACAAGATACCATATTTTGTAGTTGTGAAGCAGAGTAAAGACTGAGACTCTTAGTATTTAGTGTTGGTGGGGGAGAAGAGGTTACCTGATATTTTTCATGCCTCTGTGGGAAGTCCCTGGTGAGTTTTAAAAGAGAAGGGCATGACTATGACGCTGGATTCTCCCTGCTAGTGATGCATGAACACCTGTGGTGAACGAGATGGAAATGGTGAAGAAGCCCATGATCCCACCTGCTGATTGTCATAGGACAATTTGAGGGAAAGTCACATTATTATGTACTGATTATTTTGTTCTAGCAAAGTAGTACTTCCGGGTGTATTATCTCAATTAATCATTATTTTTGTTAACTGCTGAATGTTCAGTTCCCAGCACTCAATAGATATTTGTAAAATTAATAAATACATGAGTAAGTTACTAAGAATTAGCAATTTTAAGAGATCACTAAGAATTCGTGATTTTAAAGAGTGATTTTAAGAAATTGTAGTGATTTAAGAGATAATTATGAGGATTAAAATCCCGTTCTGCCTAAACTCAAAGCCCAGGAATTAAAATTATTAGTTTACTTGAGATCAGCAGGGTATCTAAAGTAAAATTCCAATACCCCTCTCATAAAAAGTCATATTTTACTTTATCAGAGCTCCTTGGGGCTCAGTTAGTGAATATAGTTACATAGTAGAATGGGAATAAAAACACGGTATTCATGGTCATGAGGTCGGAATTCTGGCACCCAACCCACACCTTGGTCAAGTAATTTTCTCTTTTGAGTGTCTGTTTCTTCATCACTAAAATTAAAGGGTTGAATTGCATAATCTCTCAGGTTAATACTTAACTCATTCCTGGACCATGATAAATACTAAAAAACATTTCATTTTTATTTCACTGTCATTAGTCATTTCAGTAACTGAAAATACAGTTCACCCTGTAAACCAAAAATAAAATTTAAGCCCTTCAACCAACTAAATGGGCCCTTCTGCTTGGCCAAGGACATTTTAAAGTAAACTTGAAACACTAGTTCAGGTCACAATGGGAAGGGGAGGTTAGACTTGCATCATTATACCTTCCTCCCTCTAGAATCGAGGCACATTTGACCCTCATTAACACTAGAACAAAGACCTTAAGACTGACCAGACTCTTTGTAGCAATAAGATACCAACGTGACAGATAGCATGCCCTGAAAGAAATCAAAGTATTTTATCACAAAATATATTTATTTGACATATTTTGAAATGGCCCTGCAAAGCTGTCTCTTGTGGGGAAAATCTACATTCTGTAGAAAATCTTCTTTCCTTTCCAGGTCTTTCCCTTGATCCAGGAGAGAATTATCTAAGCATCTGGCACTTTCTTTTTTTTTTTTTTTTTGAGACAGAGTCTCACCCTGTCTCCCAGGCTGGAGTGCAGTGGCTCAATCTCGGCTCACTGCAACCTCTGCTGCCTCCTGTGTTCTAAACGATTCTCCTGCCTCAGCCTCCCTAGTAGCTGGAATTACAGGCGCTCAACACCATGCCCGGCTAATTTTTTAATTTTAGTAGAGATGGGGTTTCACCTTGTTGGCCAGGCTGGTCTTGAACTCCTGACCTCAGGTGATCCACTGCCTCGGCCTCCCAAAGTGTTGGGATTACAGGCGTAAGCCACCACGCCTGGCCCATCTGGCACCTTTTTAAGTTTGATAAGAAACATTTACAATCTAGTCTGTCTGAAGTCTACTACTTGGAGGCTTCATCTGCATGATGAATAACAACCTTAGTCTTCACAACCTCTTATCTTAACCTAGACACTTCCTTCTACTGAATCCACATCTTTAGATAAATTCTCAAACAATAGCCAACCAGAAAATCTTTGAATCCACCTGTGTCCTGGAAGCCCCTACTTCAAGTTGTCTCCTTTCTGGACCAAACCAATGTACATCTTACATGTATTGATTGATGTCTTATGTCTCCCTAAAATTTATAAAACCAAGCTGTAGCCCAACCACCTTGGGCACATGTTCTCAGGATCTTCTAGAACTGTGCCAGAGGCCACTGGTCACTCATATTTGGCTCAAAATAAATCTCTTCAAATATTTTACAGAGTTTGACTCTTTTTGTCGACAACTTAATGCGGGGGTTAGGGACACCAATGCCCAACACAGTCAAAAATCTTCATATAACTTTTGACTCCCTAAAGACTACCAATAGCCTACTGTTGACCAGAGGTTTTACCAATAACATAAACAGTTTAGTCATACATATTTGTATGTTATATTTATTATATACTATATTCTTATAATAAAATGAGCTAGCAAAAAGGAAATATTAAGAAAATAATAAATAAAATAAATTTACAGTACTGTACTGTGTTTATCGATACTGTAAGTTTACATGAGCTGGTTTACAAGACAAACCATGTGTCTAAAATCATGAAGAACTGCAGCTGCAGACCTCACTCTATGGTATATATCAAATAATTCAACTTTTTCCTGTAATGCCAGGACTTTTCTCTGCTCCTTGGGAGCACTTCAGCATCACTAGTGGCACTTTGTATAGATCCCATGATGTTATTCAAGGTTTACAACATAACGCTAAACATGAAAAATATACGAGAACCATAAGAGATCACTTTTTACTGCAATACACAATTTATGATGATTAGCATCAGGAGGCATTTTACGCACATACCTGCAACACTCGGACTCACCACAGCAGCAACAGAAGGTGGCTATGAAGTTATTACAGTAATGTCCTATGTATTATAGTTATTCAATGCAGTTGTGACTCAATACTGTATCTTTATGTTTGTTTCCATGTCTCTCCACTGTGAATGGCATTATGTATGGTCTGTAAGTGCATAACTTTTCATAAGTTTTAATTTTTTATAACAGATTTGTGTATATTTTATGGTAGTAAATTATAAAAACATACTAGTATCTACATATGTTTTATGAGTTCATGACATACCTAACTTTAACAAAGTTTTCAATATTTCTAGGCTACATGATTCATCTGTGGGTTTTTTTGCAAACTGTCATGTATCTCCAAAAAATTTCAAATATATTTATTTTTAAAAATCAACCCATAAGAGGACCCATGCAATTCAAACTTGTGTTGTTCAAAAGTGAGCTGTAATTACAAAAAGGAGAAAATAATTTTCTGAAACTGATTTCAACAAAAATAAAGATAAAATATTTTAATTATCCTAAAGAAAAATAATTCCCCAATATGACTAAACAATGTTAACTAATAAAAACAGTCCTTTGTGGATTCTTTTTCAAGTACTCCTTAGAGGCAAGACAAGAACATTATTTGTTGAAACCATTTTGGGAGTAATTATGCTCAGTGAAATTCAATTAGCCAGTACATTGATAGTACCATTTGCACTTAACATAGAATTATGGAATGGGATCTTTACTCTTTGACTAAGAAATATAAGTCTCACAAATTAGGCAAGAAACATTGTAGCTTAGTTTTTCATCATTATATACTCATGAACTTTCCAACTCACTTCCTGAAAAACTGGCCACATAGCTACAATTATTTGTCACCCCCTTGGTAACTTCATGTGGATACTCTGCTGAAAGCCTGGCATGGTCCCTGTGCTTCCAGTGCACAACTTCCTAATATTCTGTGCTTGCCAATTCCTAAGTAAGGGTGAAAAAGTTGAAACTCCTTGTCTTTTGTATGAAGCAGTAGTTGGAAAAGTGTGTCACACCTCATGCAGGAAGCTATAGACCTAAGTAGGGTTTATTGAGATGTCCTATAGATCTCCCTAGAATATAGAAATTCCTGTCAAGGGAGAAGAGGAATAACCAAGTGATCTGCCATTTTCATTGTTGGAAAAAAATATCAGTATTCATGTAAAAGAGGTCTACTTTATGAGTTAAGTCTTGGTCCAAAAGGAAACCTCCATATACATGCAATGTAAGTAGGGATTGGTCAATACTTTCTCGGGTGAATTCTCAAGTACAAGAGAATATTTTAACTGCAACACTGCCTCATTGGTGTCAATACCCAGCTATCTTTCAGTGGGGCTACTGGTTGTTGGAGCAGGTACAGACTTCCAAAATCCAAGTGAAGAAAAAGTACAGTGAGTCATATTCTTTTTTATTTAAAAAAATAAAAATTAACACACTACTTTTCTTATAATACTAGTAACACCTGCCCAATAAGGAAAGATTGGAAGTCTACAAAATTAATAGAGACAAATTAATCTGTCATTTCTTCATTGTGAGATAATCACTATGGGATCCACTCTCCAATGCAACTGATTTTTAAAAAATTAAAGCCTCTGAAAAGCCTCTTAAGGACAAACAGCAATAATGAGACATCTGTTCAAGAAAATCTCTGAAAATTGGCAAGAAAAGCAAGAGTCTGTGGTATTTGAACCAAGACTATACCCTCCCTCTCTCCTGCATGCCAGCTCAGTGAGGTCAGTAAGGCATAGACTCCACTCTAGATTGCTACAGCCCAGAGCACAGGCCTCCCTCTCCCCACAGCTCCATATCAGAGCGCTTTATTTCTAGGAAGGGCAGGAATTCAGAATCCCTCATCCTGCCCCCAGCTACCTGTTGCTGAGACTATGTCCGAGACAAGTGCAGTTGAGAAGTGAGAGGACCGTTCTTCTGCCCAACTCCCACTTGTGGAATGGAGAGTCTGCCTTGGGTGTGGTATGCTAAGACTACTGGGGCCCTAATAACCCTTTACCTTGCTCATGAGGGAATGGCTCCACTGCAGGAGAGGCAAGCCAATAGGACAGCAGGCTGCTGGCCACACCCTCCACTCAGTGCTCAGCTCCTAGAATTGAGGAGTCACTCAGAGAGAAGCTTGCCACAGTTACACCCAGCTCCAGAGCCCTGACTTAGAGAGTTTGCCTGGGAGGAAAGGCAATATATTAGGAATGTATTTTAGGAACATAGAATATATTTTATATCTATTCTATATAAAATAGAATAGATATCCTAATGTATTCCCAAAGGAAGTAACTTCATGTGGAACAGAGCATGGAGAAGTTTAAACCTAAGGGCACTCTCAATTACAGTAGAGGTTGTGGTGAAAAGCAGTTGGGAGATTTGTGCATCTAATGCAGGTACAGCTTAGACTGTAGGCTGGTTAGTTTACAGAAGAGAACTGGAGAATAAAATAGGTGGGAAGAGCCCTCCCGAAGTAAAACAAATATCAAACACTGACCTCAGAAACTATTTCATAGAAGGACTCACTATTTTATTGGATTACTTTGTAGAGGAATTTTGCCCCAGGGCATTATTGAAAAGAGTGGTAATTAATGGACTTCAGTGGCTGGGTTGGTGAGGGAAAGAGTGAAAAAGAGTCCTACAGGACCACTGTCATTCCAGGGTAACCTTGGATATACTCAAAGCTGTGCCTCCTTGAGGTAACATCAAAAGCTTAACACTGTGGGATGAGGAGATGAAGATAGACTTTATTAAAATAATCCAGACAATCATTGTTAATCACATAAACAAACAAGCAAATAAGAATAACAAGCACAATATGGGGGTAGTACCCAGAGTTTCTATAATATAGTTCCTAAAATGTTCATTTTTCCACAAAAATTATGAGCTATGCAAAGAAACAAAAAAGTGTGACCAATACACCAGAAAAATAGAAGGCAGAAGAAATTGCTTGAGAGAACAAATTTAACACAAAAATATTTAAAGTAGCCACTATACATATGTTTAAATATATTCAATATTTTCGTCAGGATTCTCCAGAGAAACAGAGACAAAAAGATATGTATGGTGATTGACTCGCTCAATTATGGATGCCAAGAAGTGCCACAATATGCCATCTGCAAGTAGGAGACCCAGGAAAGCAGGTGGTGTAATTCGGTGAGAGTCAGAAGGGTTGAGGATCAAGGGAGCCAATGGTACAACTCCCAGTCTGAGGCCAAAGGCCTGAGAACCAGGACACGGGCTGGAGTCATGGCAGGAGGAGGGGAAGAAGGAGCTCTGGTGTCCAGGGGTAGAAGTAGATGTATGTCCCAGCTCAGAGAGAAAGAGAATTCACCCTTCCTCCACCTTTTTGTTCTATTTGGGTCCTCAATGGACTGAATGATGCCCACCCATATTAGTAAGGGATATCTACTTTATTCAGTCTTCTGATTCAAATACTAAGATATTCTGGAAACACCCTCACAGTCACACTCAGAAACAATGTTTTACCAGCTATCTGGGCATCCCTCAGCCAACTCAAGTTGATACATAACATTATCCATTACATTCATAGACCTAAAGGAAAGGATGACTAAAGAAGTGAAGGAAGGTGTGATGGCACCGTTGCATCAAAGAGAGAATAACAAGAGGAGGTGCAGCTGGGCTTCCTGGGTCGAGTAGGGGCTCAGAAAGCTGTGAAACTCACTCATTTCCTGCATCAGGACTTACTTCAGTCCTGGATGAATAACACTGAAGATATATGCTTAAATATTCCTAACACCCGGATTTGTATATGTGTTTTCTTCCCCAAGAAAGCTATAAACAGCGAAAATTTTGCTGTAAGTTGCCCTGTGTCTCTCTCCCTCTCTCCCTTCCCCCTCCCCCAAAACTAAAGATAAAAGGAATGTTAACTGCCCATTTTTCTGTGACCAGCAAACCTTATCTAACTTCCCAATTCCAATTCCTTGTGAACATACTTTATAAAGTCCTGTAAGATCCTGTCTCTTTTGCTATGCCACTACGAGGTCATAAAGTAAATAAAACCTAGGTTGCAATTCCGGTTTTCCTCAAGATCTAAGACATGGAACAAAATAATTTACTGCCTTTGTTTCTCACTCTGGTAACATCTTCCCACCGCACGTATTTCCCCCCTTAAAGAGTTTAAAAGGCAATCACCCAAAACCAGCAGTGGCTACCCGTTTAGGATCCCTTCCACACTGTGGAAGCTTTGTACTTTCACTCTGCTCAATAAAGCCTACAGCTTTTTCTCTCTATTGGTCCGTGTCTCTATCACTCACGGCACGCAGCCGCCACACCAATTCTTTGGCGTGGCTAAGGCAAGAACCTTTGGCGTTACAACAATAGCGATAATAGTTAGTTGTCTTAGTCCGTTCAGCTGCTATAACAAAATGCCTTAGACTAGGTAATTTATAAACAACAGAAATTTATTGCTTACAGTTCTGGAGGCTTGGAAATCCAAGATCGAAGAACCAGCAAATTCAGTGTCTGGCAAGGGCTTACTGTCTGTTTCCCAGACAGTGCGTTCCACCTGTGTTTTCATACAGTGGAAGTGGTAAATAAGCTCCTTCAGCTTCTTTTACAAGAGTACTATTTCCATTAATGAGGACTCTACCCTCATAACCTAATCACCTCTCAAAGATCCCACCTCTTAATATCACACACTAGAAAATGGGAATTGAGCTTCAAAATATAAATCTGGGGGCCGGAGACACAAATATTTAGACAATAGTATAATAAAAACGAACTAAATAGAAATTATGGAGTTGTTAAGTACAATAATTGAAATAAAAATTCACTAGAGGGGGCTCAACCATAGGTTTGACCTAGCAGAAGAAAGAATTGTAGAATAAAGTTTAAACTATATTTCAAAAAAAGATTTTGGTAGGTCTATGCCATGCTTCTTCCTCATTATCTCTGCCTTTTAAAATCCAAAGACATTTTCAAAGTATATTTAATTGTAACATTTCTCTTATGCATTATTCTCTAAATGTACATAATTTATTTTTTTCTAAGAAACCACCTACTACTTAACATTATAAATGGGTACTTCTTTTGTGTCCCATTAGACCATAAGCCCCTTAAGTTTAGGCCTGTTGTTTCCACAAGTCTGCATCTCCCACCATGCCTAGAAAATGGCCTTGATTCAAAAAATATTTCTTGTGTCTTTAAACAAATTGAGTTGAATTCAACACAGAGGGGTGTTTCTCTACAACTCTACACTGACCCTACATTCTCTAGTGTTTTCATATTACACTTACCTCCAACACATTTAATTGTTCCTGGTCTTGCTCTTCTTCAGTCATAAGTTACAGCTAACAAATGAATTATATAAAAACAATAACTGGCGGGGCGTGGTGGCTCACAATTGTAATCCCAGCACTTTTGAAGGCCGAGGTGGGTGGATCATGAGGTCAGGAGATTGAGACCATCCTGGCTAACATGGTGAAATCCCGTCTTTACTAAAAATACAAAAAAATAGCCGGGCATGGTGGCGGGCGCCTGTAGTCCCAGCTACTCAGGAGGCTGAGGCAGGAGAATGGTGTGAACCTGGGAGGAGGAGCTTGCAGTGAGCCGAGATCACGCCACTGCACTCCAGCCTGGGCGACAGAGCAAGACTCCATCTCAAAAAAAACCCAAAAAACAAAAAAACAATAACCACTGCTTCCTATATTACCTTATTCTCATGTGTGCTTTTTTAGGTACAGATTTCTAGGGATTAATTCAAACACAAGGAATTGCATCTGGAAATTTAGAAGCTGGAATTCTCTAATGATAGAGACTGCCTTGTAATTCTTGTCTGGCCATGACTAGCATTGTCTTTAGTCAAGATGCAAATGTATACTTCCTTTCCCATTTGTCTATAAGCTCAATCACATGTAGATAAGTCAACTTATCATGTAATATAAATGGTTGCAAAAGAAGGGTACCAGGGCTTTGGAATTAGGCAGAACTTAGTTTAAATTTTACTCTGCTATATCCTGGATGTCTGACTTTGAGCAATTTTAATGGTCTCTCTGAATCTCAACATTTTAACCTACACAATATGTTAAGCAAGTCGTACATCAACAAATAATTGTACAACATTAAAATTAAAGTTAGGTATGCTATCTATAAATCTAACAAGTTATAGAGGTCTGTTACATCAGGGTTTTACATTGAACTAAATGAAATTGATCAAAATTGTTTTTGATCAAAAACAGATGATTGTTGGTAATTTTAGGTAGTTTAATTTAATTTAACACTTCATTAAAAGACATTAGAGACTGGGCATGGTGGCTCATGCCTGTAATCCCAGCACTTCGGGAGGCCAAGGCGGTGGATCACTTGAGGCCAGGAGTTCAAGACCGGCCTGGCCAACATAGTGAGACCTTGTCTCTACTAAAATTACAAAAATTAGCCGGGCATGATGGTGTGAGCCTGTAATCCCAGCTACTCAGGTGAGTGAGACACAAGACTTGCTGGAACCTGGGAGTCGGAGGTTGCAGTGAGTCCAGATCGTGCCACTGTACTCCAGCCTCCAGACAGTGAGATTCTGTCAAAAAATAATAATAATAATTAGAGATACCTACGTAAATGGAAATATATACTATATTCATGAATAAAATATCCAAAAAATAAACACAATTTTTCTCTGAGTTAATCTATAGAGCCAATGCAGTTCTACTCAAAATCCTAACATAATATTGTGCAATCACTATGCTGATTATAAATAATTATAGAAAAGCAATTGTTTAAGACTAGCCTACAAGTTAGTTACACATGCAAATAAACAGTTTGGTTTCTTTACTAGTTATACATAGAAAGAAACAGGTTGGTAAGATTTTGCCCAGCTAGTCCTCAATTTATTATCAGACTTAAGTATAAATAGGAGAATTGTATTGATGCATGGATAGACCTATAGACAAATGAACAGAAACAGCAGGCCCAGAACCAACTCACTCATATGTAAAATCATATTTATGTTGGAGTTGGCATTGGAATTTACTTATGAAATAGTGCAGTAAGTCATCCTGAGAGAATTTGTTATCCAGACAGAAAACTCAACGTTGGATTCATACAACACAGTATCCACAAAAATCAATTCAATTCAGACTAATCAAATGTGAACAGGAACCATGATGAACTATCATCTTATCCCAGTTGGAATGCCTACTATCAAAAAGGCAAAAAAAAAAAAAAAATGCTGGTAAGGAGGAGGGTAAAAGGGAACTTTTATACACCATTAGTAGGAATGTAAATTAGTACAGCCATTATGGGAAACTGTATGGAGGTTTCTCAAAAAACTAAAAATAGAGCTATCATATCATCCAGCAATCCCATTACAGAATATTTAGCCAAAGGAAAGGTAATTTTTAAATTTTTTAAATAGAAAATTTAGATTATTTTATGAACTGAAGTAGGGAAGTATTTCTTAACAAGGATGAAATAACAAAAAAAGTAAAAATTTTAATAAATATACTTTAATACATATTTTTAAAAATGTAATCAAAATATACTTTAAAAATATGACAAAAATTGGAAGAAGTTATTTTTAATACATATAATATAGGAAAATTAAATTGTAAAAACTAAAATTTAAGTCTTATAAGCTTATATCTATCTTTACATATGATATTTTTATATTTATAAAAATAATAAGAAATTCAGTGCCACTCCAGGGATGAGAGCTAGCTTATGAAAAGGAAGCACAGCAGGTCAATACATAATGTGAAAAGATTTCTACCCTTATTAGTAATCAGATAAACACATTTCAAATCATTAGGAAATATCATTTAATTCTCAAGAGATGGGCAAAATGAAGTCTGACAATAATTTATTGGCAAGAAAATTCATTAGTGTGAACAATTAAACACTTCTAGTGGGGGTTGAAATTTATACAGCTAGTTATAATAAAGTTGTAAACACAAATATAGTGCATAGAACTTCTAGTCTTAGGCATTTGTTCTAAAGAAACATTAGGTATGTGGACAAGGAAGCATGCACAGGGATGTTAACAGAGGTGTAGGTCATAGTAGCAAACAGAAAGAAAAACAGAAATAACTAGAATTCTATCATGGGAAAGTTTCTCAGAAGCAAAATTCCTGCACCCTTGGTTATGGATCCACAGAGGCTTCATGTGAAGGGGGCATTCAGATCAAATGCTCAAAGTGGAGTAAGATATCATTGTCTTTCACAGAATCACTTAATAGACTGCAGCAGATCTCCCTTGACCAACCCCCCGAAACCAGTCAAATTCTTCATTTTCCCCAAAGTGAGGACTCCCACATTAAGAAGCCCTCAGTACTGAGATAACTAGCAGATAAATTTTTCCATTGCAAGGGTGGTCTTGATGCAGGGCCAGCAAACCTCAAAATTGGGGCTTTGCCCAAGAGTGTTCTTGGCTTCACTAGGGAAAGATTCCAAGGATGAGACAGTGGTGTTAGACAGCAAATTTTATGGAACTAAGCTACTCCTTGAAGAGCAGGGTTACCCCATAGGCAGTGTGCCCAGAATAGTAGCTCAGAGGCAGTTCTGCAGTCATATTTATACCCACTTTTAATTATATACAAATTAAGAGGTGGACTATGCAGAAGTTTCTAGAAATAGGGTAGAAATTTCTGCATAATCCACCCCTTAATTTATAGATGGTACGGAGCCAAGATGGCCGAATAGGAACAGCTCCGGTCTACAGCTCCCAGCGTGAGCGACGCAGAAGACGGGTGACTTCTGCATTTCCATCTGAGGTACCGGGTTCATCTCACTAGGGAGTGCCAGACAGTGGGCGCAGGCCAGTGTGTGTGCGCACCGTGCGCGAGCCGAAGCAGGGCGAGGCATTGCCTCACCTGGGAAGCGCAAGGGGTCAGGGAGTTCCCTTTCCGAGTCAAAGAAAGGGGTGACGGACGCACCTGGAAAATCGGGTCACTCCCACCCGAATATTGCGCTTTTCAGACCGGCTTAAGAAACGGCGCACCACGAGACTATATCCCACACCTGGCTCAGAGGGTCCTACGCCCACGGAATCTCACTGATTGCTAGCACAGCAGTCTGAGATCAAACTGCAAGGCGGCAGCGAGGCTGGCGGAGGGGCGCCCGCCATTGCCCAGGCTTGCTTAGGTAAACAAAGCAGCCGGGAAGCTCGAACTGGGTGGAGCCCACCACAGCTCAAGGAGACCTGCCTGCCTCTGTAGGCTCCACCTCTGGGGGCAGGGCACAGACAAACAAAAAGACAGCAGTAACCTCTGCAGACTTAAGTGTCCCTGTCTGACAGCTTTGAAGAGAGCAGTGGTTCTCCCAGCATGCAGCTGGAGATCTGAGAACGGGCAGACTGCCTCCTCAAGTGGGTCCCTGACCCCTGACCCCCGAGCAGCCTAACTGGGAGGCACCCCCCAGCAGGGGCACACTGACACCTCACACGGCAGGGTATTCCAACAGACCTGCAGCTGAGGGTCCTGTCTGTTAGAAGGAAAACTAACAAACAGAAAGGACATCTACACCGAAAACCCATACGTACATCACCATCATCAAAGACCAAAAGTAGATAAAACCACAAAGATGGGGAAAAAACAGAACAGAAAAACTGGAAACTCTAAAACGCAGAGCGCCTCTCCTCCTCCAAAGGAACGCAGTTCCTCACCAGCAACAGAACAAAGCTGGATGGAGAATGATTTTGATGAGCTGAGAGAAGAAGGCTTCAGACGATCAAATTACTCTGAGCTACGGGAGGACATTCAAACCAAAGGCAAAGAAGTTGAAAACTTTGAAAAAAATTTAGAAGAATGTATAACTAGAATAACCAATACAGAGAAGTGCTTAAAGGAGCTGATGGAGCTGAAAACCAAGGCTCGAGAACTACGTGAAGAATGCAGAAGCCTCAGGAGCCGATGCGATCAACTGGAAGAAAGGGTATCAGCAATGGAAGATGAAATGAATGAAATGAAGCGAGAAGGGAAGTTTAGAGAAAAAAGAATAAAAACAAATGAGCAAAGCCTCCAAGAAATATGGGACTATGTGAAAAGACCAAATCTACGTCTGATTGGTGTACCTGAAAGTGATGTGGAGAATGGAACCAAGTTGGAAAACACTCTGCAGGATATTATCCAGGAGAACTTCCCCAATATAGCAAGGCAGGCCAACGTTCAGATTCAGGAAATACAGAGAACGCCACAAAGATACTCCTCGAGAAGAGCAACTCCAAGACACATAATTGTCAGATTCACCAAAGTTGAAATGAAGGAAAAAATGTTAAGGGCAGCCAGAGAGAAAGGTCGGGTTACCCTCAAAGGAAAGCCCATCAGACTAACAGCGGATCTCTCGGCAGAAACCCTACAAGCCAGAAGAGAGTGGGGGCCAATATTCAACATTCTTAAAGAAAAGAATTTTCAACCCAGAATTTCATATCCAGCCAAACTAAGCTTCATAAGTGAAGGAGAAATAAAATACTTTATAGACAAGCAAATGCTGAGAGATTTTGTCACCACCAGGCCTGCCCTAAAAGAGCTCCTGAAGGAAGCGCTAAACATGGAAAGGAACAACCGGTACCAGCCGCTGCAAAATCATGCCAAAATGTAAAGACCATCGAGACTAGGAAGAAACTGCATCAACTAATGAGCAAAATCACCAGCTAACATCATAATGACAGGATCAAATTCACACATAACAATATTAACTTTAAATATAAATGGACTAAATTCTGCAATTAAAAGACACAGACTGGCAAGTTGGATAAAGAGTCAAGACCCATCAGTGTGCTGTATTCAGGAAACCCATCTCACATGCAGAGACACACATAGGCTCAAAATAAAAGGATGGAGGAAGATCTACCAAGCCAATGGAAAACAAAAAAAGGCAGGGGTTGCAATCCTAGTCTCTGATAAAACAGACTTTAAACCAACAAAGATCAAAAGAGACAAAGAAGGCCATTACATAATGGTAAAGGGATCAATTCAACAAGAGGAGCTAACTATCCTAAATATTTATGCACCCAATACAGGAGCACCCAGATTCATAAAGCAAGTCCTCAGTGACCTACAAAGAGACTTAGACTCCCACACATTAATAATGGGAGACTTTAACACCCCACTGTCAACATTAGACAGATCAACGAGACAGAAAGTCAACAAGGATACCCAGGAATTGAACTCAGCTCTGCACCAAGCAGACCTAATAGACATCTACAGAACTCTCCACCCCAAATCAACAGAATATACATTTTTTTCAGCACCACACCACACCTATTCCAAAATTGACCACATAGTTGGAAGTAAAGCTCTCCTCAGCAAATGTAAAAGAACAGAAATTATAACAAACTATCTCTCAGACCACAGTGCAATCAAACTAGAACTCAGGATTAAGAATCTCACTCAAAGCCGCTCAACTACATGGAAACTGAACAACCTGCTCCTGAATGACTACTGGGTACATAACGAAATGAAGGCAGAAATAAAGATGTTCTTTGAAACCAACGAGAACAAAGACACCACATACCAGAATCTCTGGGACGCATTCAAAGCAGTGTGTAGAGGGAAATTTCTAGCACTAAATACCTACAAGAGAAAGCAGGAAAGATCCAAAATTGACACCCTAACATCACAATTAAAAGAACTAGAAAAGCAAGAGCAAACACATTCAAAAGCTAGCAGAAGGCAAGAAATAACTAAAATCAGAGCAGAACTGAAGGAAATAGAGACACAAAAAACCCTTCAAAAAATCAATGAATCCAGGAGCTGGTTTTTTGAAAGGATCAACAAAATTGATAGACTGCTAGCAAGACTAATAAAGAAAAAAAGAGAGAAGAATCAAATAGACACAATAAAAAATGATAAAGGGGATATCACCACCAATCCCACAGAAATACAAACTACCATCAGAGAATACTACAAACACCTCTACGCAAATAAACTAGAAAATCTAGAAGAAATGGATACATTCCTCGGCACATACACTCTCCCAAGACTAAACCAGGAAGAAGTTGAATCTCTGAATAGACCAATAACAGGCTCTGAAATTGTGGCAATAATCAATAGTTTACCAACCAAAAAGAGTCCAGGACCAGATGGATTCACAGCCGAATTCTACCAGAGGTACAAGGAGGAACTGGTACCATTCCTTCTGAAACTATTCCAATCAATAGAAAAAGAGGGAATCCTCCCTAACTCATTTTATGAGGCCAGCATCATTCTGATACCAAAGCCGGGCAGAGACACAACCAAAAAAGAGAATTTTAGACCAATATCCTTGATGAACATTGATGCAAAAATCCTCAATAAAATACTGGCAAACCGAGTCCAGCAGCACATCAAAAAGCTTATCCACCATGATCAAGTGGGCTTCATCCCTGGGATGCAAGGCTGGTTCAATATACGCAAATCAATAAATGTAATCCAGCATATAAACAGAGCCAAAGACAAAAACCACATGATTATCTCAATAGATGCAGAAAAAGCCTTTGACAAAATTCAACAACCCTTCATGCTAAAAACTCTCAATAAATTAGGTATTGATGGGACGTATTTCAAAATAATAAGAGCTATCTATGACAAACCCACAGCTAATATCATACTGAATGGGCAAAAACTGGAAGCATTCCCTTTGAAAACTGGCACAAGACAGGGATGCCCTCTCTCACCGCTCCTATTCAACATAGTGTTGGAAGTTCTGGCCAGGGCAATCAGGCAGGAGAAGGAAATAAAGGGTATTCAATTAGGAAAAGAGGAAGTCAAATTGTCCCTGTTTGCAGACGACATGATTGTTTATCTAGAAAACCCCATCGTCTCAGCCCAAAATCTCCTTAAGCTGATAAGCAACTTCAGCAAAGTCTCAGGATACAAAATCAATGTACAAAAATCACAAGCATTCTTATACACCAACAACAGACAAACAGAGAGCCAAATCATGGGTGAACTCCCATTCACAATTGCTTCAAAGAGAATAAAATACCTAGGAATCCAACTTACAAGGGATGTGAAGGACCTCTTCAAGGAGAACTACAAACCACTGCTCAAGGAAATAAAAGAGGACACAAACCAATGGAAGAACATTCCATGCTCATGGGTAGGAAGAATCAATATCGTGAAAATGGCCATACTGCCCAAGGTAATTTACAGATTCAATGCCATCCCCATCAAGCTACCAATGACTTTCTTCACAGAATTGGAAAAAACTACTTTAAAGTTCATATGGAACCAAAAAAGAGCCCGCATTGCCAAGTCAATCCTAAGCCAAAAGAACAAAGCTGGAGGCATCACACTACCTGACTTCAAACTATACTACAAGGCTACAGTAACCAAAACAGCATGGTACTGGTACCAAAACAGAGATATAGATCAATGGAACAGAACAGAGCCCTCAGAAATAATGCCGCATATCTACAACTATCTGATCTTTGACAAACCTGAGAAAAACAAGCAATGGGGAAAGGATTCCCTATTTAATAAATGGTGCTGGGAAAACTGGCTAGCCATATGTAGAAAGCTGAAACTGGATCCCTTCCTTACACCTTATACAAAAATCAATTCAAGATGGATTAAAGATTTAAACGTTAAACCTAAAACCATAAAAACCCTAGAAGAAAACCTAGGCATTACCATTCAGGACATAGGCATGGGCAAGGACTTCATGTCCAAAACACCAAAAGCAATGGCAACAAAAGACAAAATTGACAAATGGGATCTAATTAAACTAAAGAGCTTCTGCACAGCAAAAGAAACTACCATCAGAGTGAACAGGCAACCTACAACATGGGAGAAAATTTTCGCAACCTACTCATCTGACAAAGGGCTAATATCCAGAATCTACAATGAACTCAAACAAATTTACAAGAAAAAAACAAACAACCCCATCAAAAAGTGGGCGAAGGACATGAACAGACACTTCTCAAAAGAAGACATTTATGCAGCCAAAAAACACATGAAGAAATGCTCATCATCACTGGCCATCAGAGAAATGCAAATCAAAACCACTATGAGATATCATCTCACACCAGTTAGAATGGCAATCATTAAAAAGTCAGGAAACAACAGGTGCTGGAGAGGATGCGGAGAAATAGGAACACTTTTACACTGTTGGTGGGACTGTAAACTAGTTCAACCATTGTGGAAGTCAGTGTGGCGATTCCTCAGGGATCTAGAACTAGAAATACCATTTGACCCAGCCATCCCATTACTGGGTATATACCCAAATGAGTATAAATCATGCTGCTATAAAGACACATGCACACGAATGTTTATTGCGGCACTATTCACAATAGCAAAGTCTTGGAACCAACCCAAATGTCCAACAATGATAGACTGGATTAAGAAAATGTGGCACATATACACCATGGAATACTATGCAGCCATAAAAAATGATGAGTTCATATCCTTTGTAGGGACATGGATGAAATTGGAAACCATCATTCTCAGTAAACTATCGCAAGAACAAAAAACCAAACACCGCATATTCTCACTCATAGGTGGGAATTGAACAATGAGATCACATGGACACAGGAAGGGGAATATCACACTCTGGGGACTGTGGTGGGGTCGGGGGAGGGGGGAGGGATAGCATTGGGAGATATACCTAATGCTAGACGACACATTAGTGGGTGCAGCGCACCAGCATGGCACATGTATACATATGTAACTAACCTGCACAATGTGCACATGTACCCTAAAACTTAGAGTATAATAATAAAAAAAAAAAAATTTATAGATGGTAACTCCAATTACCACTTCAATGACCCCAGTGGGTCATTATTGCCATGGAAAGAAGTGGTAACCTCTGGGTGTTGCCATGGCAATGGTAAACTGACATGGCAAACTGGTAGGCATGTCTTACGGAGAGGTGCTTCTGCCCCATCCCTGTTTTAGTTAATTTGATCTGGTGTCTGAGCCCCACCTACTACTTCAGTCTTGTGACCCCCAGATTCCCCAGTTGATAAGAAGATGCGTGAGTAAAGGAGGAAATTGAGAGATGCTTCCTTTCAGTGTCCAAGTGTCAAAAAGGATTCCTAGTCTTAATTAAAATTTAGATATAAGAAATCTACTGAAAGAAAGTGATTACAGAATTTACAAGTTGACTTGGTGATGCCTCAGCAAGAGCGAGAAAGATACAACAAACTACAAGACAGAAAATCCACGAGAGCTAAAAATGAGCATTTTGTGGTACCAATCTTGCTGTAAAAGCCTTAATATTTTGTGTATCTTTCTCAGCACTAGACTAGAACATATATGCCAATGGGTAGGAGACACATCTGTCACTGGTAAAGTTGCATAACAATTCACAATCCTATTCTCATACCCAAGTTACCACTAAACATTGCTCTTGAGTCAGTAGCTGCATTTGCCACCCTGGCTCAAAATATCAGCCATCACATTTAGTAAATTCTATCATACAAAGCAAACTAGCACTGATTTATCAGATTTACCATTGGGTGAGGTGAGGAGGAGGGCGCTGGCTGACTTAGCCCGGGCCCTGAAGAGCCCTGTTCCAGAGAATATACTTTTGCTCTTCCTCATGGCCCAGCATATGCTCAGGGCTCCAGGCATTTGCCTCCAGCAGGGGGCTCTTCCACACTCACTCACAGTTGGCTGGGTTCCAATCTCTGTTCAAGTATGAGCAATGCAGATCCAGCTCCCTGGTTAATGTAGTCCTCACTGTTCAAGCCCAGTCTCTTTCAGATGTTGAGACAGTGGCCCTAACTCTGTGTGGCTGGCCCAGAGCTGTGCACCTACCCTCACTGTCATACCACACAATTTCAGACCCTTATTGTCATGGGTTTCCCATCTACTTTTTTTTCTTCAGGGGAAACCTCCACAATGTAGTTTCTAATATGTTGAATTCATACTCCAGAAAGTGTCCTGTAGAATAATGTCTTACTGAAAACGGCCATCACAGCCAGGAGTCCTTAACTATGTTCTTTGACACCCTCAGTTACAGAGAGTTTGTTGTCATGTTCTTCACATCTTGTGTGAAGATTGTTCAAGTGTTGGCCAAAGGATATGTCACTATCTAAAATTCACATCGAGAACCTAAGAGTAACTAATAATAAGTTTGATGCTTGTAGGAAAGGAAGAGCTGTTTGGTCACAGGATGTGGTTATTAGAACAGGGTTGTGGTTGAAGGGGAAGGATGATGACATAAATCTTTGCATAAACCACATTAACATGAAACCTTGATATTATCATTACATGCTTTTCTTTTTATCTAATAAGGCAAAGTAGAGAAGTCAGCATCATTTGTCTCTGGCAGACTAAACTGTCAAGAAGGCATACCCAAGGTTAGTGGCAGGGAGAACTTCATTAGCATTAGGAATAATAGAAAATATTAAAGAATAAGTTTTGTAAGAAATATATAGACTCAACAGAAAGTAAAAAATGTACTTTACTGGAGAGAAAACAAACTATAAATGAATCATGAAGTTGGATGGAGATATAATCTATAGAATTAAAACTATTTTTATTCAAAATCTTCATGAGATTTTAAAAAAGAATATATGTTCTGAAAGTCTAGGATAAGTATACTGCCCTGTATTGTTGATGTTTTAAAGAGTAGTAGAGTGTATTATACAGCATATTATATAAAGGCGTGGGCCTGAGTTAGGCAATCTTTTTGTTTGTTGAGGTAAAATTCACATAACAAAATTAACCCATTTTAAGGTGCACAACTCAGTAGCATTTAGTGCATTCACCATGTTGTACAACCATCACTTCTATGTAGTTCCGTAACATTTTCATCACCTCCAAAGGAGACCTCGTACCCATTAAACAGTCACTCCCCATTCCCACTTCCTCCTCAGCAACCACAATCTGATTTTAGACAGGCCTTGTTTTGCATCTATGGTAGTGTAATTTCTACATCAATCTATGCAGAAGGAGCTTAGGCCCAGAATTCTGCATGGTGGGTAGGGGCTGTGGCTTGTCTTGAAGCTGGATTTGCTTGCATAGCAAATGCTTTATCTTTATTTATGTGTGTTTGGGTTATTTAAAAAAGAATGTCATAAATATTATGGCTATATTGTTAATTTTCAAAGTGTTTTTGTTGTTTTACCTATGGAGAAAAGATTAATAGCAATTTTATTTGTTTTACAAAGGGACTACCTTCTCCAATGTTTGTGAAAATAATAAGTAAAATTTTGTTTGGCTTTGTTTTGTGTATATATTTAAAGCTGTCTTGAATTTCTAATCTGTTTTAAGTTTTTCTTTTTGTTTATCCTTATTGCTCTCTTAAAATGTTTTCTGTTTCTTCATATTATTTTACATGTAAGAGCGACTGAAAAATGGTCATGAGTTTGAAGAAATCAGATGGAATTTGGGGCTAATGTTTCAGGGTCTGATTCCTTCACTGGGGGACCATGAGGGCCATAGCATGGAATTATTTTCTCTGGGCCCATTCAATTTCTTCTGAGAGGAAACTTCATGTATTTTGTTTGAGGGATAGATGCCAGCCACCTATGTGGCAGAGGTCAGAGTGGAAAAGAGGTGGGGTTAACTATTCCCCATATAATCTTTCAATTAATCTCCTGAAGTGTCCCCAAGTTTTTTTAAGAAAATGTTTAAATAAATACTATTTCAAGTGTATGGTGATGTTTTTATAGCCACTAAAGATAAGATTGTAAGAAACTGTTTAGTGATGTAGAAGATTGTCTGATCTGTGGGAAATTATCCACAGATTAAGTAAAAAAAAAAAACTACAAAGACTAATATTACAATTCTGTAAATGTATCTATACTGTGATATTTATATTTATAAAAACAGGAAGGATCTTAATGACACTCAGAAGACTAGGATTAGATGATAGAAGAACTATTACATTTTTCTCCTCCCAACAGTCTTAATAGGGCCTGCAGGTCTAAGGCGAGTGGCCTTGAAAAACCTCTGCTCAGGGAAATTTGTATGGAACATTTTAATATGGAGCATTGTGTAGAACTTCGCCTGTACTGTCCCTGTAGTGTCTTTTTTCCTCTCCTGCAGGTCTTCATGGCCCCCTGGGATCATAGCCACAAAGTTTCTGTTCTCAATTGCGCTCTCAGGTCTACTTTTCAATTCTTTTACATAACTTTACTCATCTCTACCTCTCCCTTCCCTCCAAAGGGTTCTTTTTTATCCACTGTCCTCATGGAAGTAAAACAATGACCTCACCATACCTCACAAATAAACAGAAGAAGAAAGATGTGAATCTTCCCTAAATCTAATGTCTTAAACTTGAAACCCATGAACCCTGTGGTACTCAGGTGAGCAGAGATAGAAGAGCACTACGCAGGTTCACACTCTTTTCCCTGAAGAAGGAAAAACTCAGAAAAAAACTCCAGTCTGTAGTTTTAGAGCAACTTTTGTGTGGGACCCTCCCAGACTGGAAATTTCTGGTCCCCCTCTTCTGGGGTTGGGAGCAAGCCCTGACTCTTCGGTGCCATGTAGCCTGGTCTAAGCTCAGGAACATTTCTATGGTTTTTGACAAAGCTGCAAAATTTTATTAGCCTTAACATGTTTGAATCTGTAAGATTTCTAAGTAAGTCTGACAGTAAAATTTCAGATTGTTCAGCTGACCATGAAGACTTCAAAGTGCATTCACTATTTAAATCACCTGTAGATGAATTATGCTGGACTTGACCAAGAGTGTTTATCTGTGCATAAATCAAATACAGTCGACTTTACCTATCCAAAGTTCCACATCTGTGGATTCAACCTACCATGGATTTAAAACCACGGATATGGGTTATTACAGCATTTTTTTTTTTTTTTTTGAGATGGAGTCTCACTCTGTCGCCCAGGCTGGAGTGCAGTGGCGTGATCTCGGCTCGCTGCAAGCTCTGCCTCCCGGGTTCACGCCATTCTCCTGCCTCAGCCTCCTGAGTAGCTGGGACTACAGGCACCCACCACCACGCCTGGCTAATTTTTTGTATTTTTAGTAGAGACGGGGTTTCACCGTGTTAGTCAGGACGGTCTCGGTCTCGATCTCCTGACCTCGTGATCCGCCCGCCTCAGCCTCCCAAAGTGCTGGGATTACAGGCATGAGCCACAGCGCCTGGCCTATTAAAGCATGTTATAGAAGAAACTGAGCATCCACAGATTTTGGTATCAGCTGGGGTCCTGGAACCAATCTCCTGGGGGTGCAGAGCCACAGTCAAGTATGAGAAACAAAGAGAAGAGGAAGGGCCCATTTCTGTCCATAAAGCATCTGCAGAGGAGGTCTTAATCAGCTTCATTAATGCAAATTTCCACCTCTGGGCTTGCCCTGGAGAAACACCTCTAGATGAAGACAATTGGATGTGTAAGTGGCCAGATCCACATGCAATTACTTCTTTAGAAGAATTAAGTCGTGGCTTGACAAATGGTCCCTTGTCTGTGATAGGAGCTGTGGCATAAATTCCCTTCTGGGCTACAGTGTAGCACAATTGCCCTCTCTCTATGGTATCATTCTGAAGTTAGACTGCATGGGTTTGAATTCTGGCTCCGTTTCTTACTATTGGTATAGCTTTAGTCAGGTATCCAACCCTTCCATGCTACAATTTCCTAATTGGTAAAATGGGGGAGGGAGATATAATAATATACCTACTTAATGGTATCATTCTAAAAGTTAAGTCAGTTAATACGAGTATGGTAAAAGCAATTAGAAGAACATCTGGCATGTGGTAAGTACTCAATACATATCAGGCACTATTATCATCATTACTATCAATTATTATCATCATCATGACTGGGAGGTAACATGGCAATTTGTCGACATTTTCTTACCAGCCTGGCTGATAAACATCCAGTATATCTGAAGAGAAAGTTTCAGAGTCAAAAGCAAAAAGAGGCCTGGCTTTCTTTATATTGGGTGGGAATAAGGATGAGGGAAGGAATATGAGAGGAACAGGCAATTTGTCCTTTTGGTTTTATTTTAACTACCTCCAGGAAATTAACCTATTCTCACACATCTGGGGAAACAACCAAGTCCATTCCTTCACTTTAATTCTGATTTTTTTCCCACAATGTACACATCCCAGGATTTTTGGCTGACTTTAAAACTACAAACATCAGGTTCATACCAGTAAGCCAAACTCATAGTTGATTTGGAGGTTCATTGTCAATTTAGTAAACAGTGCCTAGATCATAAGATTCAACTGGCACATCATGAAACTCACTGGAGACTGTGTGGACTAAAGAAATGAAGCATCCTCTACCTTTTCACAAGTGCAAACACATTAAGATGCTGCTATTTACAGTTACTCTTTCCCTGTAGACCTGTGGGCATGAGCCATCCTTGGTTTAAGTCACTTGATAGTGACTCAAAGCACAAAGCACAGGGTAATGCCTGTTCTTTCCTTTTTCTTTTTTTTTCTTTTTTCTTTTTTCTTTTTTTTCCTTTTTGAGACAGAGTTTCGCTCTTGTTGCCCAGGCTGGAGCACAGTGGTGCGATCTTGGCTCACTGCAACCTCCACCTCCCAGGTTCAAGCAATTCTCCTGCCTCAGCCTCCCAAGTAGCTAGGATTACAGGCATGTGCCACTACACTCAGCTCATTTTGTACTTTTAGTAGAGATGGGGTTTCACCATGTTGGTCAGGCTGGTCTTGAACTCCTGACCTCAGGTGATCCACCCACCTTGGCCTCCCAAAGTGCTGGGATTACAGGCATGAGCCACCGCGCCCGGCCTACCTGTTCTTTAATCTGACTGTTGAACCCTTCACTTCTCTGGTTAGTTAATTTTCCAGACAGAGGGCGCTGAAAGGACACCCATGTATCATGTGTTATTTACAATTCCTCACCCCAATCCCCAATCTCCACAGCCTCACTCCCTTCTAGTCAGGTTTTGGTGACCATTGGCCCTTGCAGAAGCTGGGTTTAAGTGAAAGCAAAATAAGACATTAAATATTTTCCTCTTCAGCAAATCAGAACCCGGTGGGAAGCAGCATCATCTGTCTCTGGCAGACTAAGCCATGAAGACTGTAAGAAAAAATATTTAGTGATGGAGGAAGGAAAAAAGTATCCATTAGCAAGAGCAAAATAATATGAAAAGTATTTAACAAGGAATATAAAGAATCATCAAAGAAAATGTTATAAAACTTCTTTGAGACCACAAGAGATGAGTAAGTGGAGAAGAACATGGTGTTCACAGAGAGAGAAATATAGTAGATAGAATTAATACAGTTTCAAATTATGTACTTTCCTGCTGTTGGGTGGAGTGTTCTGTAAATGTAACTTAGTCAAGTTACTTGATAGCATTGTTCAGTTATTCTATATCCTTACTGACTTTCTGCTTATTTTTTCTATGAAATATTAAGAAATGAGTATAAAATCTCCAATGATAATTTTGGATTTTTCTATTTCTCCTTTCTTTTATGTCAACTTCGTCTCCTGTATTTTGAAGCTCTGTTTTTAGGTGCATATGCACTTAAGATTGTTATGTCTCTTTAGAGAAATAACCCTTTATCATTAAGTGATGTCTGTCTTTATCCCTATTAACATTTCTCGCTCCAATTTCTGCTTTGTCTAGTATTGACATAATCATTCTGAATTTCTTTTGATTTCTTTTGCATGGTATATATTTCCCTTCTTTTTACTTTTAATGAAGGTATGTCTTTATATTTAAAATGGGTTGCTGATAGGTTATAGTTCAATATTCCATTTTTATTCAATCTGTTCTTCTCTATCATTTAATTGGTCTGTCTGGACCAATTATATTTAATGTACTTATTAATATGGTTGAATTATTTTTACTAGATATTTCTATTAATTCTATGAAATATTTATTTTTATAATCATTTTTTGCTTTCTTTTGGATTAGTTGTTGCCCTAGAATTTTACATATATGAATAATCTATCTTCAAATCTACCTTAGATTAGCATACTCCAGATTTCTCTCTTATTCATTGTGCAATTGTCATATAATTTCTTTCTCATATTCCATAAACACACAATACATTGCTACTATTTTTATTTTAGAGAGTCTGTTACCTTATAAAGCAATGATTCTTAAATGGGGGCAATTTTCCCCTCAAGTGACATTTGACAATGTCTGGAGATAGTTTTTGTTGTCACTAATGGGGAGGCTGCTACCGGCATGTATTGGGTAGAGGCCAGGGGTGCTGTTAAAAGTCCTATAACACACATGACAGCCTCCCACAAAAAAAAACATTATCCTCTGGCTCAAAATATTAATAGTTCTCAGGTTGAGAAACCTCATTTTAGAGCATTTTTTAAACTTTTGAGTTCAAGGGTACATGTTCAGGTCTGTTACATAAACATGTAAATATGTGTCATAGGGGTTTGTTTTATAGATTATTTCATCACCCAGGTATTAAGCTTAGTAACCAATGGTAATTTTTCCTGATCCTCTCCCTCCTCCCACCCTCCACTCTTCAATAGGTCCTAGTGTGTGTGGTTCCCCTCTATGTGTCCATGTATGTGTTATTATAATTTCGCTCCCACTCATAAGTGAGAACATGCGGTATTTGGTTTTCTGTTCCTGTATTAGTCTGCTAAGGATAGTGGTCTCTAGTTCCATCCATGTCCCTGCAAAGAACATGATCTCATTCTTTTTTCTTTTTTTTGAGACAGAGTCTCTCTCTGTCGGCCAGGCTGGAGTGCAGTGGCACGATCTCGGCTCACTGCAAGCTCCGCCTCCTGGGTTCACACCATTCTCCTGCCTCAGTCTCCCGAGTAGCCATCATGCCTGGCTAATGTTTTGTATTTTTAGTAGAGACAGGGTTTCACCGTGTTAGCCAGGATGGTCTTGATCTCCTGACCTCATAATCTGCCCGCCTCGGCCTCCCAAAGTGCTGCGATTACAGGCGTGAGCCACCGTGCCGGCCGATCTCATTCTTTTTTATGGCTGCGTAGTATTCCATGGTGTATATGTACCAAATTTTCTTTATCCAGTCTATCATTGATGGGTATTTAGGTTGATTCCATGTCTTTGCTATTGTGAATAGTGCTACAATGAGCATACGTGTACACGTATCTTTATAATAGAACAATTTACATTCCTTTGGGTATATAGCCAGTAATTGGATTGCTGGGTCAAATGACATGTCTGCCTTTGGGTCTTTGAGGTATTGCCACACTGTCTTCCACAATGGTTGAACTAATTTACACTCCCGCCAACAGTGTATAAACGTTCCTTTTTCTCCACAACCTCATCAGCATCTGTTAGTTTTTGACTTTTTAATAATAGCTATTCTGACTGGTGTGGGATGGTCATTGTGGTCTTGATTTGCATTTCTCTAATGATCAGTGATGTTGAGCTGTTTTTCATATGACTGTTGGCTACATGTATGTCTTCTTTTGAGAAGTGTCCGTTCATGCCCTTTGCCCACTTTTTTATGGAGTTGTTCGTTTTTTTCTTGTACATTTGTTTAAGTTTCTTATAGATGCTGGATATCAGACCTTTGTTGGATGCATAGTTTACAAAACTTTTCTCCCATTCTGTATGTTGTCTGTCCACTCTGCTGATAGTTTCTTTTGCTGTGCAGAAGCTCTTTAGTTTAATTAGATCCCATTTGTCAATTTTTGCTTTTGTTGCAATTACTTTTGCCGATGCCTATGTCCTGAGTAGTATTGCCTAAGTTGTCTTCCAGGGTTTTTATAGTTTTGCGTTTTACATTTAAGTCTTTAATACATCTTAAGTTAATTTTTGTATATGGTGTAAGGAAGAGTTCCAGTTTCAACCTTCTGCATATGGCTAGCCAGTTCTCCCAGCACCATTTCTTGAATAGGAAATCCTTTCCCCATTGCTTGTTTTCCTCAGGCTTGTTGAAGATCAGATAGTTGTAGGTATGAGGTCTTATTTCTGGTGGGTTCTCTATTCTGCTCCATTGCTCTATGTGTCTGTTCTTGTACCAGTACCATGCTGTTCTGGTTACTGTAGCCCTGTAGTGTAGTTTGAAGTCGGGTAGTGTGATGCCTCCAGCTTTGTTCTTTTTGGTTAGGATTGCCTTGACTGTTCAGGCTCTATCTAGTTCTGTGAAGAATCTCAATGGTATTTTTTAATAGGAATAGCATTGAATCTATAAATTGCTTTGGGCAGCACTTGCTTTTAAAGCTTTTATTAAAAATTATTTGTCATTTGTTTAATGATTAATGCTAAGGAAAGGTATCTGTATAGCCAGGTGGCGTGGTGTGCCCCTGTAGTCCCAGCTACTTGGAAGACTGAGGTGGGGCCTGGGAGTTTGAGGCCAGCCTGAGCAACACAGTGAGACCCCATCTCTAAAATTAAGTAAGTAAATTAAAAGATCTATACAAAGAATGTTTACAATATGTACATTAGGACTGGGGAGTTCCTGGGAGGAGAATCAATCACTGCTGGACATGAGGAATATCAGTCTCCAGACAGTCAGCTCTGTAAACTGATTCAGATGATTAAGAATTTCAGTCCAAGTCAACAAGTATTTATTGATTACATACCATAGTCTCTGCAAAGTCTTCATGAAATAACCTCTTAGGTTTAGCTGTAGAATACTCTGGAGCTATGGAGAAGGTAGATCTGGACATGGAGGTAATTTTGCATGTTTTTCAGTAGAATAGCATTACAAAGCAATCTTTCCTTATATTATTATTATTATTATTATTATTATTATTTTGAGATGAAGTCTCACTCTGTCACCCAGGCTGGAGTGCAGTGGCACGATTTCGGCTCACTGCAAGCTCTGTCTCCCAGGTTTACACCATTCTCCTGTCTCAGCCTCTTGAGTAGCTGGGACTACAGGCGCCCGCCATCACGCCTGGCTAATTTTGTTTTTGTATTTTTAGTAGAGATGGGGTTTCACTGTGTTAGCGAGGATGGTCTTGATCTCCTGACCTCGTGATCCGCCTGCTTCTGCCTCCCAAAGTGCTGGGATTACAGTCGTGAGCCACCGCGCCTGGCCTCCTCATATTATTTTTTATTGTGCAGTTTATTCAAGTGAGTTATTTAAAACAACTAGTTCACACACATAGGAGTTGTTGCTGATAAAGAATTGGTGGAAATGATATTAAATAACAATTGTTTTTATAAGTTTCCTCTGCTTCATTAATTTTATGATTGTGAGAGGCCACGTGACTGGATATCAGCATACAGGACTTTGTATCAGAATATGAGCTTGGCAGTCATAAGAGATTACTTACAATTCTTCACAATTCTGTATTTTCATTTGTAAAACTCCATAAAGTTTTTTATAAGAATAAATTGTAGCACCTTATTCATACTGGAATTCAACAGTTCTTAGTTCAAGTCTCCCTTGAGAAAGCTTCACTGTGTTTTTAGTGCAGATTAGTAAAGATAAGATCTTGACTGGTAGGTGAGTGGGTGGAATTTATTTCAAATATGGGGGCTCTCCAATGCTTGCACACCAAATTCATTTACATATTGTCAAAAGCCAGAGGATATTTATGGTAAGTTGCAAAAATAGCTACAAATTCTTTGTAGCCCATTCTGTCAAGAAATGCAATCTATTAATCCACCTCTTGATGTGAGCTAGTACTATGACTTGCTTTGAATAACAGAATGTAATGGAAGTGATGTTGTGAGTTTTAAGTTTCAGCTCAAGACACCTACTGTTTCTATCTTGCACAGGAGAGCTTTCCAGCACCTGTGATAAGCCTCAGCCCGCCTGCTGGATAATGAGCCCACATGGATTGAGAGAGGCCTCCTATCCCTGCCAAACCTATTGATGCTACAGAGATGTGAGGGAGCCCACCTGAGAAAAGCTGAACCTGCCCAGTACATAAAAACCACTCAGGTGGGTTGAGCACAATTTCCTGTCTTACAGAATCATGAGGAGACACTAAACAATTATTTGAAGTCATTAAGTTTTGGAGTACTTTATTACATAAAAAAATCTGACAGATACAAGAGTCTTCAAAAAAATTTTGTTTTTCAGCAATGTCTTAGTGCTTCTGTGGCTCACAGGCTCCCACATGCCTGGAGTGCTACAGGGAGAAGGTTAAATGAATGAGGAAAAATTGATAGGCTTTCCCAGCCCAAAGCATGATGTTATTATCATTATCATTATTAATATTTGTCTTTATATAGGAGCTACCACTTGGGAATAGTTGCTATGTGTCAGACACTGGATTGTATTTAACTTTATAATTGTACTTATCTATCATTTCATTTTACCATATTAACTATCATCTAATAATTTTCCTTCTGTTTTATAGAAAATAACCTTAAGGCTCAGATGTTTTGAGTAGCTTGCCCAAGGTGATGCAGCTGATAAAATGAAAAGCAGCATGGAATACATATTTATCTTATTACAAAATCTGTATCTTTTTACTTTGCTACTCTAGACTCTCTTATTATTGTGAAGCAGCTTTAACTACTGCAAGACAGAAGTCTTGGCCTTCAGAGTAAAACTTCACCAGTGCATAAAGTCAGACTAAAACAATTTGAAAATATACAGTCTTAGAGAATGTTATAACTGTTTATTAGAACTAACATAAATTCTACCTAATTTCTTAGAGGGCTCTTAATGATGTCAATTATAATGGCACATCCCATTGTTATTTTAGTCGTGGAATCAATGGCATGTCAATAAGTGCTTTCTGAGAAAATTGTTGGACAAAGTACTATTTTGAACTCCAAATTTTATTCCCACTATTAATTTATGAAGAGGGCCTTTTCTCTTTCTACTAGACAAAGGTAACAAATTAGCTCTTGTTAAAATGGTATGCTGTTCTTCTGAGTCTCATTTACTTACTACTTTACCTTACATTAAAATTATGACCTGAAGACAGAAGCAACTGGAACAACGTTCACTGTGTTATGGCCGGATGAAGCAGGAAGAGGAAAGAGACAAAACTAGGTTAAAGATAGAAATGGCATCTATTGGGCCAGTAGTGGCCTCACGCCTGTAATTCCAGCACTTTGGGAGGCCAAGGCAGGCAGATCACGAGGTCAGGAGATCGAGACCATCCTGGTTAACACAGTGAAACCCCATCTCTACTAAAAATACAAAAAATTAGCCGGGCGTGGTGGCAGGTGCCTGTAGTCCCAGCTACTTGCAGTGAGCCGAGATTACACCACTGCACTCCAGCCTGGGCGACAGAGCAAGACTCTGTCTCAAAAAAAGAAAAAAAGAAATGGCGTCTATTATCTCTTCAATGACTTTGCCTTGCTTGGACTTTCCCTTCACCCCACAGGATGTGAGGTCTGAAACGGCACCCTCAACTTCCCATCCAAGATACAATTCTAATCCTACATTTAACACCCTAACTTCTTAACTGGAGTTGAGTTATTTAAACTGTAATTTTAATAGGTGAAATTCTGGACTACCATCCCAAAACATTTTGCTCATTTGCCAAAGTCCTAAGGAATTTCCATGAGATACAAAGCAGGTGAGTCTGGATACAGGAAAAAAGATAAAAACATGTTATTTGCTACACAGCCAGAAGGATATTGAGTGGCAAAGGGAGCACATCTCAAAGGGGACCTCAAAAACCCTCTTCATTCACAATGGCAGGAGCTAGAAAGAATAAAGCCACCTATAGGGTCAAATATCTCTCCTAATCATGTTAAGGCACTGGATTCTGAATTCGCACAGAAGGAGACTCTCACCCATCACTCCTCACAAGGACTCATGGCTTGCCCCATAGCATCACATCTGTGCTGCTTACCAGCTGCGTGACCCTGGGAAAAGTCCTTCAACTCTCTGGGCTTTAATGTCCTCCTCGGAAAATGAGAACGATATTAAAATATGACAAGTATATGTAAAGAGTCCAGGAATTTTTCATTCCAAGTGCAGTGTATGTACATTTCTCACAACTGCCTAATGAGGTACCTCAATGCCTCCAGCCAAAGACCAGCAGGAGCATACAAGCAATGAACAAGTCAGCTTTATTGTTTATTGCAATGATGGATAAAACTCACCATGAGAATCATGCAGCCCCTCAGTAAGAGATTGTTGGAACCAAAGAAGTAGAACCAGGAGAATACATATATTAAGATAATGATGCAAGGAATTAATTTTTGCATCTGTGGGGGTGGGCTAGGCAAGTCAGAGATCCTCTGGGAGGTAGTTATCAGGAAGGGCAGGCTGGAACTCTCAGCACAGGCTGACACACTGTCCAGAGTGGAATTTCTGTTTCCTCAGAGAAACCTCAGCTCTGCTCTTAAGGCTTTTCAACAGCTTAGATTAAGCTCACCCAGTTTTCCTAGGATAAATTCTTAAAGTCAACTGATTATGAACTTCAATGACATCTACAAAATATCTTCACAGCAACATCTAGATTGTTAGTGTTTGACTGAATAACTGGGGATCACAGTCTAGCTGACACATAAAATTGACCATTAATCAGTTGTAAGGTTTGTGCTTGTTTTAGGTGATTTTGGGGAGGATTTAAGAAAGAGGGATTTTGCTTTTAATTGGATTCTGACAGAAAGTGGAGGGTTGGGGTGGCAATGTTATGATTGGGTAGCTTCATAAATCCTACCTAGAGGGACAGAAGACTATCCTGAGGCTACAGACGTGGTTGGTAAAGAAGCAGTAATCACTCCCGAGAGAGATGTGCCTGGTCATTTTTGTGGTTTGGACAATATTCATGTTTTGTCTGGGTTCAGACATGATGACTGAGCATTCAGGTGTTCTGTCTCAATCCACTGTGCTCACAGAGTACCTGTCTGATTCTGATGTTCTATGAAATCCTTTATCTCCAACAGGAGAACCAAAACCACCTGGGAGTGCCAGGCTAGCTGCTAGCAACCCCAAGCCTTTGTTAATTACATCCAGACAGTCTCAGGTGTCAGGACATTTTTTTTTTGTTTCACTTTTTTTTTTACGGTGTCTGCCAGTGGGAGGTAAAACATAGTGCTGAGAATCTCAGAAGGCCATTTATCAAGGACAGAGTGATTCTAAATAGAAGCTCCATTAACTTATGGTTTCTATCACATACAGAAAATAGATGCATCTGAAAAAATATAATAAGTTTCCCTCTAAGGACTAACTTTGGCTCAATCTCTAGTCCCTTGCAAATATTTGGAATTTTAGTGTGGTAGGATAACAAGTTTTAAAAGATCTGGTAGTTTAAGAAAAGAAAACCATTTTTCTAAGTCAGTGCAATTCTTCTTATTCTACCCTCAACTTTTGACTTCATATTCTTAATTTTTTTAAAAAAAGTTCTTAGAGTAATTGAGCCAGCCAAATTTTAAATGTAATCAATGTCCCCAAATTTCCTTTAAACATACTCAAGAAGCACCAAAACACAGAATATAAGGATTACTCAATGCAAAGAAAAACTGTATAAAGTCTCATACAGTTACTATAGACAGCACCATCTGACATTATAACCCCTTTTTATTGCCCTGGCCAAAACCACTTGGATCTTTTGAGTGCTTGAGAAGAACTTACCCAGCTGGATTTATACAAGTAGAAAAGGCAAAGGTATTGCTTGGCTACCACCAGCAGAGATCCCTAGGTAGGTGGGGTCAACTTAACATTTGGAGAATTCCACGCGCACTATGGAAGCAAAAAGAAAAACAGCTAACCCTCATACAGAAGCCAGAGAAAGGGCAGGGGATGGGGACTGCCAGGGAGGGAAATCAACTCAGGGAAAAATTCCTGGAGGTTGTAACCCAGAAAATCCTGAAGGATGCCATATAATTGATGACCTCATCTATCCATGAGGCTGCTCAGAAATGCCCACCCCTGGCCAGGCGCGGTGGCTCATGCCTGTAATCCAAGCACTTTGGGAGGCTGAGGCAGGCAGATCACGAGGTCAGGAGTTCAAGACCAGCGTGGCCAACATAGTGAAACTCTGTCTCTACTAAAAATACAGAAATTAGCCGGGCATGGTGGCAGGCACCTGCAGTCCCAGCTACTTGGGAGGGTGAGGCAGGAGAATCGCTTGAACCCGGGAGGCAAAGGTTGCAGTGAGCCGAGACCATGCCATTGTACCTCAGCCTGGGTGACAGAGTGAGACTACGTCTCGAAAAATAAAGAAAAAGAAAAGAAAAAGAAAAAAAAAGAAAAATTCCCATCCCTTTTGCGAATGGCAGACATGCACACACCAGAGAAGATTCCAATTTAGTGTCTTCCCTCTCTTCATAGAACAATTCCTCAAGTCCACTCTGAGTAGAGGCTGCATCACAACAAGGGGATTGCCCTGTCTCCTTCCAGGGCTCTTAATAGAAACTCTTCAACTAGTAACTGAGATGTCACCATGGGGGATTTTTCTAATTGGCCAAAACCTGACTTGGCAGGGTTTGGTTTGGGTGTCTTCAGATTTCCTTGTCTTGAGGTCCTCACAATTACTCTACAGCTCAGAACAGCAACTGCTGAGGCTGCCTTGGGAAGAAGATGATCCTAAACAAAGCTCTGATGCTGGGGGCCCTCGCCCTGACCACCGTGATGAGCCCTTGTGGAGGTGAAGACATTGTGGGTGAGTGCGTGAGTGAGGAATGTTCTCTGGAGCTGAAAAACAGTAAATTGAAGGAAAAGAGAGAAAGCGATTTGCAGAGAAATTGTAGAGATTTCCTAAGACCCCTTTCAGTATTAAGAGAATTAAAAATTATAGCTGTTCCTCCTTCAGGAAACCAGAGCCCCAACCTACTCTTTTTGTTATGTATGCTTTTGTGTTCACTAAGGATGCTATTCTGTTTATATTATATTCAGTGACTACAGCCTGGAGGTCTCTATGTCATTCCATCATGATTGCCTCAAAAATTAGTGAGGTTTCCATCAGTGGATAATTTTTTATTATTAAAAATGTATGAAGTGTCATTCTCAAATTTCCCTGAACAACTTTTGAAGATTTTCGGATGTCTCCTGTAGTAGATCTTGGGGTCGTTCCATCAATTATATACTCTATAGATATTAAAAAAGTTGCCCGTTTCTTTCTCTCAGACTTACTCACATTTCCACATGGGAACTGGCACAGGTGGGGAGTAGGTAAAGGAGTCCAGCAGGCTGAATGCCTTCAACAATCATTTTACCACATGGTCCTCACTTACTCTCAGCTGCCTCATATGTGTCACCTCACAAATAATCAAATAAAATGGGCATGTAGCTAAGCTTTGTAAATAGTGAAAACATGGATGTCAATTGTTTTTACATATTTCTATTACAGGTATAGCTTCACATTTCTTTTCTTTAGCAAAATAAGGGATCCTTTTAGTTTAAAATTGAGAAGTAGAAAAAATTGGTAAATTAAATCATTTTATTCTCAAATTATCAACCCAAATTACCTGTTCTTCACCTCATCTAATAAAGTCCTATAAAAAGAAAAGTGGGCCAGACATGGTGGCTCATGCCTGTAATCCCAGCACTTTGGGAGGCCGAAGCAGGAGGATCATTTGAGCCTGGGAGTTTGAGACCAGCCTGGGCAACACAGCAAGACCTCATCTCTACCAAAAAATAAAATAAAAATTAGCCAGGCATGGTAGTGCATGCCTGTGGTGCCAGCTACTCAGAAGGCTGCAGTGGGAGGAGCACTTGAGTCCAGGAGGTGGAAGCTGCAGTGAGCCATGATGGCACCACTACACTCCAGCCAGGGCAACAGAGAGAGACCCTGTCTCAAAAAGAAAGCGGAAAGAAAGAGAGAAAGGAAGGAAAGAAGGAAAGAAGGAAGCAAGGAAGGAGAAAGGGAAGGGAAGAAAGAAGAAAGAAAGAAAGAAAACAGAAGGAAGGAAGCACAGATTAATTATTTGGTCTCTTAGTCTCCTCTGCCTTTGTCGTCCATCTCTTCCCACCTCTCTTCATGCATTCCTTTCTCCCTCTTCCCTTTCAGGATCCATCTCTGACTCCCTGCTCCTTTATAGAGATGGACATGAGTTTGTAAAACAAAAGTTGAAAAGTCAGATAGTTAAAAGGGGAAGTAAACTGGAAGGTACTCTAAACTTTCACAACCTTATTAACCGTGGCAGCTCCCATTCTGATTTTGTTCAGCAGTGGAAGTTTCACCCTCTCCTCCAGAGCGCTTGGCTTCTTTGTTCCAAATTTCCTTTCTTCAGCCTCACACCAGAGTGCCCTGGTCAGGCTCAGCTCATCCATTAGGCACAATGTGGGCAGTGCAGGGGAACCTCCATACTGTAAAGCCACATGAGAATGTTTTAACTCCTTTTAAAATTATAAAAAAATGAAATTGTAGAGCCTAAGAAAATGTTTTAACTTTTAATTCAGCCTATATTATATTGTCTTTATACCAATTCAGTCATAAAATATAATTTTCCATATTTTTATGGAGGAAGGCGTCCACACAAGCAAGAGTGCTTGGGGCTCACATGTCAGAACGCATCCCTGATCATGGCTGATCCTGACCTTCGTGTGGTTCTGCTAACTATGTGCCTGTCAGTCTTCCCCAAAATCTATGTGGTCCTCAAATATAACAACTGTCATTCAATACACATGTTTGAGCACCCAGTGAGCTAAGTTTTAAGGATTCAAAGATGAAAAGTCATGCTGTCTCCCCTGCAGAGGGTGCTCAGACTAGTGATGGAAACAGTATGGGATGAAAGAAAGCAGAAGGCCATTGCTGAGCAGGCAGTGGACTCAGCAGAGGCTGAAACTATACAAGTGACTTGGTTCCAGCTGGGCCAGCAGGATAACCAGACGAAAAGAAGGATTGCATATATTCCATATATATTTATGTTTGAACAAAGAGTCAAGGTTTATTGCAAGGATAAGGAGGCTTTGTTGGTGGCCTGTTAAGACCATCCAGCGTGGTCATACTGGATAGGGAAGAAGGTGAGCTGGAAGAGGGATAGACAAACTTGGATGGCCAGATGTTGAGATGGAGGAGCTGGAGGTCATAACGTGGTCAAAAACATGTTGATGAGAGGACTTAGCTACAAAGTTGTTAACTTAAGCAGAAACCTCAAGGATTGATTTTATGATTTCTCCAGGAAGTCCTAAAAGATAATTTCATTTCAGGGAGGAAAACAACAGACCACTGCAAAGACCAGGAACATGAAAGGATAATGTAGTTTGGTTTGCTTGGCAGATACTTGTGAAAGATGTTGGACTGTAAGGCTGTCAATATCCTCCTCGCAGAACTTACTACAGTACATTGTATCTGCTCCCTTACCTACCTGACTCTCCCACTATTCAGTTTGTTCCTTAATGGTAGACCATGCCTGATTGGTGTTTTACACTTCCCCTGCTATGTCTGATACTTGTGGATGCTCAGAAAGTGGGGAAGGAAGGAAAGATACGATGGTAAAAGGCTTACACATGTCTTGACCAGAATGTTCAGTTTGGCTCATTTGGCTGGAGTCATACTGCATGGCTGCCATTCTGCTCTGGCATCCTCAGAGAAGCACACTGCCCATTAGAGGAAAAAGGGTGAATATAAATGTTGAGTCAGAACACTGCAGACATTTAGTAACCTCCTTCAGAGGAAAAAAAGGGTGGGGGGAATGACAGAAATCCAAAAACTAGTAGAGCTTCCACTTTTTCATTTCAGAAGAAATCAGTTACTCTCCTCTAAGGACCATTACTATTAACAAAACAGAGACCTTAGAAGGAAGCATTATTTATTTATCATATATTTTGTAATGTTATTACCGTTCTTGTTATACTCTTTCTTATACCCTACCATTGTTAGCAGAAATTATTTTAAATTAATAAGATCCTGCATGCTTTTCCTTTTTCTAAAAAAAGAAAGATCTCTGTGTAGAATGTCCTGTTCTGAGCCAGTCCTGAGAGGAAAGGAAGTATAATCAATTTGTTATTAACTGATGAAAGAATTAAGTGAAAGATAAACCTTAGGAAGCAGAGGGAAGTTAATCTATGACTAAGAAAGTTAAGTACTCTGATAACTCATTCATTCCTTCTTCTGTTCATTTACATTATTTAATCACAAGTCCATGATGTGCCAGGCACTCAGGAAATAGTGAAAATCGGACACGCGATATTCTGCCCTTGTGTAGCACACACTGTAGTGGGAAAGAAAGTGCACTTTTAACTGGACAACTATCAACACGAAGAGGGGAGGAAGCAGGGGCTGGAAATGTCCACAGACTTTGCCAAAGACAAAGCCCATAATATTTGAAAGTCAGTTTCTTCCATCATTTTGTGTATTAAGGTTTTTTATTCTCCTGTTCTCTGCCTTCCTGCTTGTCATCTTCACTCATCAGCTGACCACGTTGCCTCTTACGGTGTAAACTTGTACCAGTCTTACGGTCCCTCTGGCCAGTTCACCCATGAATTTGATGGAGACGAGGAGTTCTATGTGGACCTGGAGAGGAAGGAGACTGTCTGGAAGTTGCCTCTGTTCCACAGACTTAGATTTGACCCGCAATTTGCACTGACAAACATCGCTGTGCTAAAACATAACTTGAACATCCTGATTAAACGCTCCAACTCTACCGCTGCTACCAATGGTATGTGTCCACCATTCTGCCTTTCTTTACTGATCTATCCCTTTATACCAAGTTTCATTATTTTCTTTCCAAGAGGTCCCCAGATCTTCTCATGGCAATTGCTGAAATTTTATCATTTCTCATCTCTAAAATCACATATCCCCATGTAATACAAGGGTCTTTCCATTATGCATTCATTAAATCATTCTAGGAGAGGTCTCATCAACCTCCTACTTTATTAAACATGCCCACAGAGAGAAGGGCACAGGAGTAAAGCAGAGGCAATGTGTCATTGCTCCCAAGTAGAAGGTAAATAAGGCCTCTTTGACCAGCAGGAGAGGAAATGCTGGTAGGAAGACTCTTCCAGGATGTAATGCAGAAGCTCAGGGCAGAGCTATTCACACTTCACACCAGTGCTGTTTCCTCACCATAGAGGTTCCTGAGGTCACAGTGTTTTCCAAGTCTCCCGTGACACTGGGTCAGCCCAACACCCTCATCTGTCTTGTGGACAACATCTTTCCTCCTGTGGTCAACATCACCTGGCTGAGCAATGGGCACTCAGTCACAGAAGGTGTTTCTGAGACCAGCTTCCTCTCCAAGAGTGATCATTCCTTCTTCAAGATCAGTTACCTCACCTTCCTCCCTTCTGCTGATGAGATTTATGACTGCAAGGTGGAGCACTGGGGCCTGGATGAGCCTCTTCTGAAACACTGGGGTAAGGATGAGTTTCACCATTTTTTGATGCTTTCTTGTCTGTCAAGTTCAGAACTTCCTGCCTTTTACTCTATGTCCCAAAACTTGTTTTCCACACTTCATGAGTTTCTTTTATCTTTTTTTTTTTTTGAAAGAATTAAGCAACAAAAGCACAGATTTATTAAAAAAGAAAGTACACTCCACAGGGTGGGAGCAGGCCTGCCACTTCATGGGTTTCTAATAACAGACTTCACTCTCCTCCCTGAGCCAGGGGCCTTGAGTCTTTGCAGAGCCAACCCTCCACCCCATCCCATCCCTCACACATGCACATGAGCACACTCTGCATTCTGACCTCAACAACTTCACTTCCACAGAGCCTGAGATTCCAGCACCTATGTCAGAGCTCACAGAGACTGTGGTCTGTGCCCTGGGGTTGTCTGTGGGCCTCGTGGGCATTGTGGTGGGGACCGTCTTGATCATCCGAGGCCTGCGTTCAGTTGGTGCTTCCAGACACCAAGGGCCCTTGTGAATCCCATCCTGAAAAAGAAGGTAAGTTTGAGATTTGTTAGAGCTGAAGCTGCAGGAAGGAAAGTGGGAGGAGGCTGTGGACATGAATGTGGTTGAAAGTTGTAGGGGAATTGGGAAGTGGCATGATGATGACACAGGAGCCCCCTTGGACCCATCGATCTCATGTCTGTCCTGTTGCAGGTGCATCACCATCTACAGCAGCGGAAGAGTGGACTTGCTACATGACCTAGCACTATTCTCTGGCCCGATTTATCATACCCTTTTTCTCCTGCAAATGTTTCTCCTCTTACCTTTTCTCTGCTTTTTTTTCCTTAAGCTTCTGTATCCCCTCAGAGCTCACAAATGCCTTTGAATTCTTTCCCTGACCTCCTGATTTTTTTTTCTTTTCTCAGGTGTTACCTACTAAGAGATGCCTGGGGTAAGCCGCCCAGCTACCTAATTCCTCAGTAACATCGATCTAAAATCTCCATGGAAGCAATAAATTCCCTTTAAGAGATCTATGTCAAATTTTTCCATCTTTCATCCGGGGCTGACTGAACCTATGGCTAAGAATTGGGACACTCTCATGTTTCAAGCCAATTTCATCTCATTTCCCAGATCATATTTCATATCCAGTAACACAGAAGCAACCAAGTACAATATAGCCTGATAATATGTTGATTTCTTAGCTGACATTAATATTTCTTTCTTCTTTGTGTTCTCACCCTTGGCACTGCCGCCCATCCCTCAATTCAGGCAACAATGAAGTTAATGGATACTCTCTGCCCTTTGCTCAGAATTGTTATAGCAAAAATTTTAAAACCAAAAAATAAGTTTGTACTAATTTCAATATGGCTTTTAAAAGTATGATGGAGAAATAAATTAGGATAAAGGAACTTTGAATCACAAAAATATCAAAAGTAAAAATTTATTCTCAAAACTTTGAATTTGTAAAGAATGATGACAGTAGAAGCCTTCCTCTCCCCTCCTCGCCTTTAGGGAATAAAAATTCTTTAGGTAGGAAAAGAAATGGAAGTCAGAAAAACATTAGAAAAAGACAGTAATGTGGGTATCTGAAAAGGAACAAATACTTATTCCTCACATAGGGTTAGTGACAATGGGAAAAGGGATAGGAGTAGAAGCCACAGACATATCTAGGAGCCCTGAATAGAGGCGCAGTCTGCCTCACCTCCTGAATGAAGCTTTGCTAGATAACCACGTAGCTTTCCCTGTGCCACCCTTGCATGAAGCAGACAGTATAGTGGATATGGCAGGATGTTTCTAGGAAACATGCCGATACAAAACAATGCCAGTATCTTCAGAAATCCCCAGCCCTTTCCCCTCACCCCTCCTGGCTAAGGAAAGCACTAGCTTATGAGAGAAACCCTAGGAGGAACAACACAGTTGAGACAATGTAGCAGCAGCTGTGGGTGCTGTGTCCTCCACTGGATTGGCCATTTCCTAGCAGAAACTCTCCCAGAGGAAATGGTCAGCAGTGACCCCATGGCTCTAAACAGCTATGAAATCTGTGAGGGTATTTCTATCCATGCAACCTGCATCAGTGAGTTTAAATTTTAATTGGAGAAAAAAGACAAAATATTAACACATTAATTGATACAGTATAGTTTGGTGCAAAGAACCCTAAATCCAAATCAAGGATTCAGTACTTTGAAGCTAGTATTTTAAACTTTATAAATGGGTAAAGTATCTAACATTTCTGGCCTTATTTTTCTCTTCCACAATGGAGGAGTAATAATACTTTCCTTGCAGAGCTATTGATGGAATTTGAATAATCTTGATATATAGTCAATGCCTTACATATAGTACATAAATACACAAGAAAACATTGTGGTTATATTTATAATTAATTTATTTAAAAGAATGGATCACGTTATATGAAAAGTACTTTTGTTTTTCTCAGCCCCTTAATGATTTAGGAGATTCAAATGTATGTAGAACTATGGGTGAATTTCTTTTCATATGATCATTGCAGGATATTGTTTTCTCCAAAATGAGAGATGCTGAGATCAATTGCTGAGAGAACTCTTAGGATGAGAAATCGTAATATTTCACTTTGGTTTTCAACTCTTTAAGAAGGGATATATTCCCTCCTTGTGGCCTATAAGTCTTTATTCAAAGTATTTCATATGCAACAGATGTTTATGCATGTTTACTTTGGGGAGGAGGTGAAGAAAGTTCAAGGAGAAAATAATTTAAAATGCAGACTAGGAATCAGTAAGCAAGGGAGTCTGAACAAGTGATCATCAAAAAAATGTCCATCACAGAGCACAGAGCATTTTTAGGGCAATGAAACTACTCTATTTGATACCACGATGTTGAAAAATGTCATTATGCATTTGCCCAAATCCACAGAATGTACAACACCAAGAGTGAGACAATGTAAACCATGGACTTTGGGTGATAATGATGTGCCAATGTAAGTTCATAAATTATAGCAAATGTACCACTCTGGAGGGAAATTTTGCTAATGGGGGAGGCTATGCATGTGTGGGAGCAGAATGTATCTGGCAGCCGTCCCCAACGTTTTTGGCACCAGGGACCAGTTTTATGGAAGACAATTTTTTCACAGATAGTGGGGGGAATGTGGGTATGATTTGGGGATGAAACTGTGAAACTGTTCCACCTCAGATCAAAAAGCATTAGCAAGGTTCTCATAAGGAACATGCAACCTAGATCTTTTGCATGCACAGTTAACAATAGGGTTCGCGCTCCTATGAGAATCTAATGCCACCACTGATCTGACGGAAGGCGGGGCTCAGTTGGTAATGCTACCTCGTCCACTGCATGGTCCAGTTTCTAACAGGCCACCAGCTGGTACTGGTCCATGGCCCAGGGGGTTGGGAACCTTTGGGATATCTCTGCAGCTTCTGCTCAGTTTTTCTGTGAACCAGCAACTGCTTTAAAATAAAGTCTATTTTTTTATTATACTTTAAGTTTTCGGGTACATGTGCACAACGTGCAGGTTTGTTACACATGTATACATGTGCCATGTTGGTGTGCTGCACCCATTAACTCGTCATTTACAGTAGGTATATCTCCTAATGCTATCCCTCTCCCCTCCCCCCACCCCACAACAGACCCCGGTGTGTGATGTTCCCCTTCCTGTGTCCACGTGTTCTCATTGTTCAATTCCCACCTATGAATGGGAACATGTGGTGTTTGGTTTTTTGTCCTTGGGATAGTTTGCTGTGAATGATGGTTTCCAGCTTCATCCATGTCCCTACAAAGGACATGAACTCATCATTTTTTATGGCTGCATAGTATTCCATGGTGTGTATGTGCCACATTTTCTTCATCCAGTCTATCATTGTTGGACATTTGGGTTGGTTCCAAGTCTTTGCATTTGTGAATAGTGCCAAAATAAACATACATGTGCATGTGTCTTTATAGCAGCATGATTTATAATCCTTTGGGTATATACCCAGTAATGGGATGGCTGGGTCAAATGGTATTTCTAGTTCTAGATCCCTGAGGAATCGCCACACTGACTTCCACAATGGTTGAACTAGTTTACAGTCCAATCAACAGTGTAAAAGTGTTCCTATTTCTCCACATCCTCTCCAGCACCTGTTGTTTCCTGACTTTTTAATGATTGCCATTCTAACTGGTGTGAGATGGTATCTCATTGTGCTTTTGATTTGCATTTCTCTGATGGCCAGTGGTGATGAGCATTTTTTCATGTGTTTTTTGGCTGCATAAATGTCTTCTTTTGAGAAGTGTCTGTTCATATCCTTTGCCCACTTTTTGATGGGGTTGTTTGCTTTTTTCTTGTAAATTTGTTTGAGTTCATTGTAGATTCTGGATATTAGCCCTTTGTCAGATGAGTAGATTGCAAAAATTTTCTCCCATTCTGTAGGTTGTCTGTTCACTTTGATGGTAGTTTCTTTTGCTGTGCAGAAGCTCTTTAGTTTAATTAGATCCCATTTGTCCATTTTGGCTTTTGTTGCCATTGCTTTTGGTGTTTTAGACATGAAGTCCTTGCCCATGCCTATGTCCTGAATGGTATTGCCTAGGTTTTCTTCTAGGGTTTTTATGGTTTTAGGTCTAACATTTAAGTCTTTAATCCATCTTGAATTAATTTTTGTATAAGGTGTAAGGAAGGGATCCAGTTTCAGCTTTCTACATATGGCTAGCCAGTTTTCCCAGCACCATTTATTAAATAGGGAATCCTTTCCCCATTTCGTGTTTTTGTCAGGTTTGTCAAAGATCAGATAGTTGTAGATATGCAGCATTATTTCTGAGGGCTCTGTTCTGTTCCATTGGTCTATATCTCTGTTTTGGTACCAGTACCATGCTGTTTTGGTTACTGTAGCCTTGTAATATAGTTTGAAGTCAGGTAGCATGATGCCTCCAGCTTTGTTCTTTTGGCTTAGGACTGACTTGGCAATGCAGGCTCTTTTTTGGTTCCATGTGAACTTTAAAGTAGTTTTTTCCAATTTTGTGAAGAAAGTCATTGGTAGCTTGCTGATAAGCAACTTCAGCAAAGTCTCAGGATACAAAATCAATGTACAAAAATCACAAGCATTCTTATACACCAATAACAGACAAACAGGGGAGCCCGTCCGGCCATGGTGGCCGCGGCTGGTGGTTGGCGCGGCTGCGCTGCGGCCCGGGGCAGTGCGGAGCCGGGACAGTCGCGGCGCTGACGCCCGCGGGCCCCAGCTGCAGATATGAAGCGGAGCCGCTGCCGCGACCGATCGCAGCCGCCGCCGCCCGACCGCCGGGAGGATGGAGTTCAGCGGGCAGCGGAGCTGTCTCAGTCTTTGCCGCCGCGCCGGCGAGCGCCGCCCGGGAGGCAGCGGCTGGAGGAGCGGACGGGCCCCGCGGGGCCCGAGGGCAAGGAGCAGCCGCCTGCCTTGGCCTCCCAAAGTGCCGAGATTGCAGCCTCTGCCCGGCTGCCACCCCGTCTGGGAAGTGAGGAGTGTCTCTGCCTGGCCGCCCATCGTCTGGGATGTGAGGAGCCCCTCTGCCTGGCTGCCCAGTCTGGAAAGTGAGGAGCGTCTCCGCCCGGCCGCCATCCCATCTAGGAAGTGAGGAGCGCCTCTTCCCAGCCGCGATCACATCTAGGAAGTGAGGAGCGTCTCTGCCCGGCCGCCCACCGTCTGAGATGTGGGGAGCGCCTCTGCCCCGCCGCCCCATCTGGGATGTGAGGAGCGCCTCTGCCCGGCCGAGACCCCGTCTGGGAGGTGAGGAGCGTCTCTGCCCGGCCGCCCCGTCTGAGAAGTGAGGAGACCCTCTGCCTGGCAACCACCCCGTCTGAGAAGTGAGGAGCCCCTCCGCCCGGCAGCTGCCCCGTCTGAGAAGTGAGGAGCCTCTCCGCCCGGCAGCCACCCCATCTGGGAAGTGAGGAGCGTCTCCGCCCGGCAGCCACCCAGTCCGGGAGGGAGGTGGGGGGGGGTCAGCCCCCTGCCCGGCCAGCCGCCCCATCCGGGAGGGAGGTGGGGGGGTCAGCCCCCCGCCCGGCCAGCCGCCCACTCCGGGAGGGAGGTGGGGGGGTCAGCCCCCCTGCCCGGCCAGCCGCCCCGTCCGGGAGGTGAGGGGCGCCTCTGCCCGGCCGCCCCTACTGGGAAGTGAGGAGCCCCTCTGCCCGGCCACCGCCCCGTCTGGGAGGTGTGCCCAACAGCTCATTGAGAACGGGCCAGGATGACAATGGCGGCTTTGCGGAATAGAAAGGCGGGAAAGGTGGGGAAAAGATTGAGAAATCGGATGGTTGCCGTGTCTGTGTAGAAAGAAATAGACATGGGAGACTTTTCATTTTGTTCTGCACTAAGAAAAATTCCTCTGCCTTGGGATCCTGTTGATCTGTGACCTTACCCCCAACCCTGTGCTCTCTGAAACATGTGCTGTGTCCACTCAGGGTTAAATGGATTAAGGGCGGTGCAAGATGTGCTTTGTTAAACAGATGCTTGAAGGCAGCATGCTCGTTAAGAGTCATCACCAATCCCTAATCTCAAGTAATCAGGGACACAAACACTGCGGAAGGCCGCAGGGTCCTCTGCCTAGGAAAACCAGAGACCTTTGTTCACTTGTTTATCTGCTGACCTTCCCTCCACTATTGTCCCATGACCCTGCCAAATCCCCCTCTGTGAGAAACACCCAAGAATTATCAATAAAAAAATAAATTAAAAAAAAAAAAAAAAAAAAAAAAAAAAAAAAAAAAAAAACAGACAAACAGAGAGCCAAATCATGAGTGAACTCCCATTCACAATTGCTTCAAAGAGAATAAAATACCTAGGAATCCAACTTACAAGGGATGTGAAGGACCTCTTCAAGGAAAACTACAAACCACTCCTCAATGAAATAAAAGAGGATACAAACCAATGGAAGAACATTCCATCCTCATGGGTAGGAAGAATCAATATCGTGAAAATGGCCATACTGCCCAAGGTAATTTATAGATTCAATAAAGTCTGTTTTTAAAAAGGAGAAGAAAAGGTAACCAATTATGATCCCAAATATATAAAATAAAACTTTTAGTATGAAAAAGTCACATTAAAATGCGCAAATGTGCTAAGAAATTTTTAGCAATAGGGTTTCAAATAAATTTCATATAAATTTCAATGATTCATAAGGCAAGAATCCAGCATATTGGAGTTGTGTGCATTTGTGTGCTTGTGTGTGTGTGTGTGTGTGTGTGTGTGTGTGTGTGTGTGTGTGTGTAATATAAGGGGTATACTGAATGGCAAAATGACTAGTCATACAGAAATCTACAAATGCTGCCCAACTCAGACTCATTCCTCAAGAAGTACTGTGGAAAGCAAATTTAATGATAGTGCATTTTATTAAAAGGTTGTATTCAAAAAGTATTTATGTAATGTTAAAATAGCAGAATTAAAACTAATTCTAAAAAATAAGAGTAAATTTTTTTAATCAGCTAAAAAAGTAGGGTCATTATTGACATTACTATAAATGGGGTTACAGATCAACCTGCATGATTTTAAATCATGCGATACTTAAAAATTATTTCAGTTATTTGAATTATTTCAGATTATATACATAAAGTGTGACTTCATTAATATTTAATATCACATTATTTAAAATTTACAAAATTAGTGGGTCACAGAGGCTCGTGCCTGTGATCTTAACAGTTTGGAGGCCAATGGAGGAGGATTGCTTGAAGCCAGGAGTTCAACAGCTGCCTGGGCAACAAAGCAAGACCCCATCTCTACAACATAAAAATAAATTAGCGCATGGTGGCGCGCCTGTAATCCCAGCTACTCTGGAGGCTGAGGCGAGAGGAGCGAACCCAGGAGTTCAGGGCTTCAGAAGGCTAGGATTGTGCCACTGTGCTCGCTCCAGCCTAGGCAACAGAGCAAGACCCCACCTCTAAAAATAAATAAATAAATAAATAAATTTTACAAAATTTTAAAAATCACATGAAATATTTCAGGTTTGTACTTGCCACAGACAAACTAGGGATTTGAAGAATTAAACATTTTATTTTACTTACAGTCTGTACTGGCACATAGTAAGTAGTCAGTAGGTGTTAACAATTAGTGTTATTGTTATTTTCTGGAGTCCAACTAACAAATCCCATAGCGAATGACACCACAGGGATGAAACCAACAAGATCCAGCATATGGGAACTTCCACTAGATAACTCAATTTTTTCAGCAACAATTCAAAGACAGACAGAGAGAGAGAGAGAGAGAAAGAAGAGAAGAGAAGAGAAGGGAAGGGAAGAGAAGAGAAGCTATACATTTTTAAAAGGCTGAAGAAATGTATGAACCATATTGATATGAGGCAATCAGAAAAATTGACACCGACTGTATTAAGGAAATAGCTAATTTTAGTGTGGTAATAGCATTGCTGTTATGTTTCTAAAAAGTCATTATACTTTAGATTTTCATAATAAAATAATTATGAATGAAGTATGGTATCTGAAAGTATCTTCAGAATAACCCAGTGTGCATGTATGATTAATTGGGTGGGTTTACAAAATTGCCCATGAATTGATCATTGTTAAAGCTTGGCTGTTAAAACATGGCACTCTTCTCTCTAACACTGTTGAAGTTTTCTGTAATACAAAGTTTTTTAAAAAATGCATTCCAGGAAAGTCCCATAAACATAGGCAGAGAAACATTCTGTTTGAAGTTATGTTAGTTTTTAGGCTTTTCTCATTTTTATCACAGTTGGGAAATCCTAAGTATCCAAATCCTGCCTAAGACTATAGGAACCTCTCAAAAATGCAACTCTAAAGAATGTGTATGCAAGAACTAATAATAGCAAAGGAAAGCAAAGTACTTTTTCCTTTATTATTGGCTGTACTAAGCCCCCAGACTTGTTTATATATTCCTTAATTCATCAAAACTGCAAAAATGGTCTTTGAGTACCATTATAGCAATAAGTACCATACTTTGTTATACGTATCATTAAAATAATGTGAAAAGAGATACATTCATTGTCTTCATAGAACTTACACTCTAGTGGGAAGAAATATACATATATTACATAATTCCACAAACATATAATTACAAACTCTGAATAATTTATAAAGGAAAAGAGAACAAGGTAAAGTGAGAGAGTGTTGCACAGGAACCAGGTATAATTTGGGGGAGATTAGAGGTGGCTCGAAGAAGTTTATCTTGAGATGAAATAAGATGGTATACAGTAGGTAAAAGACAAGGTTGAGGCAGTCAGAGCAAATGTTTGAGAAACTCTTACAACACGAAAGAGAAGATGAGAATAAAATAACATGAAAATTATCACAGATTTAATATGGAAAGCTCATGTAACAGCAAACAAGTTTAAAGTCTTTCTAATTAGAATTCTTAATCTGTAAAAGTAATAATAGAATGCTATAAACAATCGGAAAATTTAATAGGAAGGTTGGAAACCTAAATCAAGAAATATGAAGGGGCAAAAACTGTACCTACCACACATAGTTTTATTAGAAGTTGACTAAGGATATTACTTAGTAAAGTGGAATTGTTAATCAGGAAATGGGAAGATAAGGAATCCAGAAAACTGAATTTAACCCAGGACCTCACTGAAAAGGGATCCTATTACAGCAGTTCCTTGGCAAGCAAAGAACGTCTGATACATGAGTGATATTTAGAAAATGATAAACTATTTTTTTCAATTTTTAGAATTAAGCTACGAGCAAAGCCCAAGTATGCTTATTGTTACAGCAGAATGTCAAAATTGTCAGCTTTGACAATATTGAAAAAAGGGTGCCTGTATCTCATTTTGGCAAGTGGAAGCATAAAGGGGAGGGGAAAGGAAGGGTATCAATGCCAATAACTTCATCTCCCAAGAAGCAGAAAAGAGACATTGCCCATAGTTAAGGAAGAAATCACAAAGATCACTACATTTAAATTACATTTGTACCAAAAGAATTATGTAAGATGGCTCATGAATTAAAGCAGGGTTTTAGAAATTGGACTATCATTCAGTCAAAAAGTCTTCATCCTAACCCCCAGGGAGTTCTGAAGCTGTAGGATCCCTTCAGATTTGGCTTAATTTAGGGAAAGCGTTTAGGACATTTATACCCCAACACTGACCAGTCATTATAGGTGGGTTCTTCCTGGGAAGTGGAGTAAAATCTGATGAGGCTGCTTTCATCACCTAAAGCAATTCTGGGGGATGACTGACAGCTAAGGGCTGTCAGCCAGCAACATTCCCAGCAGTGAGAGAATAAATCCTTCAGTCCCAAAGGGAGGAGTTTAGGTAGAACAGAACAGCATCCACAACAGAAACGGTGTTCTAGTTCCTGGGAATACGTATATATTCATGTAGAAGAAAACAAACAAACAAACAAAATATATATATAGTTTTATTTTGCAGTCTCACTCTGTCACCCAGGCTGGAGTGAAATGGTGTGGTCTCGGCTCACTGCAACCTCCGCCTCCTGGGTTCGAGCAATTCTCCCACCTCAGCCTCCCAAATAGCTGGGACTACAGGAGAATGCCACCATGCCCGGCTAATTTTTGTATTTTTAGTAGAGACGGGGTTTCACTATGTTGGCTAGGTTTGTCTTGAACTCCTGACCTAGTGATCCGCCCACCTCGGCCTTCCAAAGTACTGGGATTACAGGCGTGAGCCACGGCGCCCCACCCAAATAAATGTTTTTTTTTTAATTCATCATCTATTTAAAAAATAAAAATAGAACTACCACATCATCCAGCAATTCCACTGCTGGGTACATCTGCAAAGAAAATGAAATCAGTGTATCAAAGAGGTATCTGTACTCCCATGTTCATCGCAGCACTACTCACAATGGCCAGGAGATGTTAACAACCTAAGTCTCAATCAGCAGATGAGTGTATAAGGAAACTGTGGTCCATATACACAATGGAATACTATTCAGCCTTGTAAAAGAAGGAAATCTTTTACATTTTTTACAACATGGATGAACCTGGAAGACATTATGTTAAGTGAAATAAGCCAGGCACAGAAAGACAAATACTGCATGACCTCACTTACCTGTGGAATCTAAAAAAGTCAAAATCATGGCAGGTCGGGGAGTGGGGGTAGCAGGGAGGGGGACAAGGAGGAATGAGAAGATGTTGGTCAAAAGTTACAAAGAAGGGCAGGGTGTGGTGGCTCATGCCTATAATCCCACCACTTTGGGAGGCTGAGGCAGGTAGATTGGTTGAGCGCAGGAGTTCAAGACCAGCTGGGCAGCATGGTGAAACCCTATCTTTACAAAAAATACAAAAACTAGCCAGGCATGGTCACACATGCCAGTAGTCCCGGCTACTCCAGAGACTGAGGTGGGAGGATGGATTGAGCCCGGGAAGTGAAGGCTGCAGTGAGCTGTGATCGTACCACTGCACCCCAGCCAGACCTAGACCCCGTTTCAGAAAAAAAGTACAAAGTTTCAGTTAGGCAGGAGGAATAAGTACTGGAGATCGATCATACAGCATGGTGACTACGGTTAATAATAATGTACAGTCGTCCCTCGGCATCCACGAGGGATTTGTTCCAGTATCCTCTCTGTATACCAAAATCTGAGAATGCTCAGGTCCCTTATTAAAAATGTCTTAGTTTTTGCATATAACCTAAGCCTATCCTCCTGTATGCTTTAAATCATCTCCAGATTATACTTAGAATACCCAATGTAATGTAAATGCTATGAAAATAGTTGTTATGCTTTATTGTTTTTGAATCGGAATTATTTTTATAGTTATATTGTTAGCTTTCATTTTTTTCTAAATATTTTCAACCCACAGTTGAATGAATGAGAGGATGTGAAACCCACAGATATAGAGGGCCAACTGTATTGTATATTTGAAAATTGCAGAGAGAGATTTTAAATATTCATACCACCAAAAAGTGAAGTGATGGATATGTTAATTAGCCTGGTTTAATCACATGTATCAAAAAAATCACACAGTACCCTGTAAATCCACAGTGATTTATCAATTAAAAATAATTAATGAGTTCAAAATTCTTTTGAAGTGTAACATCCTTAACTTTTTCTTGTTCAAATAAAGTTTTCTGTTTTTTTATTTTTTTAATTTGTTTTAAAAAGTCATCTCTTAACTTCCATTAACTCAGTTGATTCACCCTATTAACTTAAGGACTCTCTTCTTCCTTAAGTTAAACATTTCATGATAATCAGGAAGGGCAAGGTTATGTTGCAATAAGATCTTAACCCACAGTAAAAAGTAGATCTTAACCCACAGTAAAAAGTAGATCTCAGTGGCTTAACTCAATAAGGAGACTTAATTCCACAGTTATTCAAATGACTCAGATTATGGAGTTTCCAGCATCTCATACACCACCATGCACCTACTTGCAAGTTCCATTGGTTACTGTTAGTCAAATGTCCCCAACCTAACAGCAGAAAAGACTGAGAAATGTACAGGAGCTTTGGAATACAATACCAGCGAGCATCACTGTCTCCAAAAGTTATACTGTTATTATCTAAGGTAAGGACAAATGCTCAAGACTGGTAGGTTGTCCTCTAGAACACCCACACGCTTTCCTCCAAGTTATATGCTGAGTAAGACTCAGTTCTTTGTGTTAGCAAACTTATTTATAGACGATGTACTTATTATTTTAATTAATTATCCATTAAAGATTATACTATCCAATGAAATCTGGGTGCAAAACATAGTTGTTTCTATGAAACTGTCAATGGAAGAAAGAGAAGACGATTTTGACCCTCTCGTTAATAAAGAATCTTCCAGCATGTGTGCTCAGTGTGACAATGTTGAACTGTAAGAATGTCCTAGAATATAATCTATCACCCACCCCGATTATAGGGCTTATGCTTCAACTAGAAAAATCAGATCTCGATGTTCCCCTAAACTTTGAGTCTTGTTCAATCCCTAGCCCTGCCTCTTCCCTTTGCAGGGTCAAAAGCCAGGAGCTACACACAGAGACTGAGGACACGCTGGACAACCCAGCACATGCCTTCCCCATTTCCCCAAAAGTGTTACTCCCTTTTGATCCCTATGGTGAATGACAGTGCCCAACCTGAGGAAGAGGACAAAATTGGCACAAAACTTTTGACTCCATTCAGAATTTTGCTTGGGGAAAATTCATACCATAACCCTGGGGAGCAGAATCTCAAGTGTTGGTGCCTCTTTGTGCACCAGTGTCCCTGTCTGAGGACCTGCATGACAGCCTGGAGTACAAGAGATGAAGGTCCCAAGGAGACCTAGTTCTCCACTCTGACCTCATCCACAAGAAGGAAGAGCCTGCCAAAGACTCCTCAGGCCCAGTGTGTGGGTGAGGGAGAAAGGAAGATGGGATGCCTGCTTTCAGGGTCATGGCCTTCCATAACCTCGCAGAAGCTCCCAGACTCTGTCTTCATGACGAAACTCAGAGACTGAGATGTAGACCAGCTTCAGAGCTGGGCCCACATCAAAGGGGCCACAGTGTGTAGTGACCTCCCTCATAACCGGGAAAAGAGTGTCATCAGGAATCAACAGGTTACAACGTCAATGACAAAGGGAGCTCAGACAAGGAGTGGAATGACTGTGAACAGGTACCCCCAATGAGGGACCCTAGAATCAGAGGGAGCTCTGCCATTTGTCCTGTGGGCTCCACAAGAAACAAACTGCCCCTTATACCCCTCCACTGTGAGGAGGCTGTGGAGGCTGAGGTGCTCCACATGGCTGGTGTAGACATCTGCACACTGGAAGTCATTTCCAGGACCACAAGGATATGGAAAATCCAGTCCTCCTTCCTAATAAGAGAGATGGGCACAATGCTGGCTGTCAGCATCCCGTGTACAGGACAGTGTGTTTGAGAGGTGTGCATGTTACCCAGGCTTGGCCAATCAGAATCTTTCCTAAAGTTGTTAAAACTCTGGTAGACATTCTAGAAACATATATAAACAGAGACAGACAAACACACACACACACACACACACACACACACACACACACACACACAGCAAGAGAGAGAGATGAGATAATATATGAAGTGATAAGGAAGAGAAATGCAGAAAAATAGACGCAAAAAGAAACACGGAGATAGAAAAAATGCAGATAAGCTCTCCCCTCTCCCCTCTCCCCTCTCCCCTCTCCCCTCTCCCCTCTCCCCTCTCCCCTCTCCCCTCTCCCCTCTCCCCTCTCCCCTCTCCCCTCTCCCCTCTCCCCTCTCCCCTCTCCCCTCTCCCCTCGGTCTCCTTCCAGGGTCTCCCTCTGATGCCGAGCCGAAGCTGGACTGTACTGCTGCGATCTCGGCTCACTGCAACCTCCCTGCCTGATTCTCCTGCCTCAGCCTGCCTAGTGCCTGCGATTGCAGGCGCGCGTCGCCACGCCTGACTGGTTTTCGTTTTTTTTTTGGTGGAGACGGGGTTTTGCTGTGTTGGCCGGGCTGGTCTCCAGCTCCTAACCGCGAGTGATCCGCCAGCCTCGGCCTCCCGAGGTGCCGGGATTGCAGACAGAGTCTCGTTCACTCAGTGCTCAATGGTGCCAAGGCTGGAGTGCAGTGGCGTGATCTCGGCTCGCTACAACCACCTCCCAGCCGCCTGCCTTGGCCTCCCAAAGAGCCGAGATTGCAGCCTCTGCCCGGCCGCCACCCCGTCTGGGAAGTGAGGAGCGTCTCTGCCTGGCCGCCCATCGTCTGAGAGGTGGGGAGCACCTCTGCCCCGCTGCCCTGTCTGGGATGTGAGGAGCGCCTCTGCCCGGACGCCCCGTCTGAGAAGTGAGGAAACCCTCCGTCCAGCAGCCACCCCGTCTGGGAAGTGAGGAGCATCTCCGCCCGGCAGCCACCCCGTCCGGGAGGGAGGTGGGGTGGGGGGGTCAGCCCCCCGCCCGGCCAGCCGCCCCGTCCGGGAGGTGAGGGGCTCCTCTGCCCGGCCGCCCCTACTGGGAAGTGAGGAGCCCCTCTGCCCGGCCAGTCGCCCCGTCCAGGAGGGAGGTGGGGGGGTCAGCCCCCCGCCCGGCCAGCCGCTCAGTCCGGGAGGGGGGAGGGGGGGTCAGCCCCCTGCCCGGCCAGCCGCCCCGTCCGGGAGGGAGGTGGGGGGATCAGCCCCCCGCCCGGCCAGCCGCCCAGTCCGGGAGGGAGGTGGGGGGTCAGCCCCCCGCCCGGCCAGCCGCCCCGTCTGGGAGGGAGGTGGGGGGATCAGCCCCCCGCCTGGCCAGCTGCCCCGTCCGGGAGGTGAGGGGCGCCTCTGCCCGGCCGCCCCTACTGGGAGGTGAGGAGCCCCTCTGCCCGGCCAGCCGCCCCGTCCGGGAGGGAGGTGGGGGGCTCAGCCCCCCGCCTGGCCAGCCGCCCCGTCCGGGAGGGAGGTGGGGGGATCAGCCCCCCGCCTGGCCAGCCGCCCCATCCGGGAAGTGAGGGGCGCCTCTGCCCGGCCGCCCCTACTGGGAAGTGAGGAGCCCCTCTGCCCAGCCAGCCGCCCCGTCCGGGAGGGAGGCGGGGGGGGGGGGGGGGGGGGCGGTCGGCCAGCCGCCCCGTCCGGGAGGGAGGGGGGGGGTCAGCCCCCCGCCCGGCCAGCCGCCCTATCCAGGAGGTGAGGGGCGCCTCTGCCCAGCCGCCCCTACTGGGAAGTGAGGAGCCCCTCTGCCCGGCCACGACCCCGTCTGGGAGGTGTGCCCAACGGCTCATTGGGGATGGGCCATGATGACAATGGCGGTTTTGTGGAATAGAAAGGCGGGAAGGGTGGGGAAAAAATTGAGAAATCGGATGGTTGCCCGGTCTGTGTGGATAGAAGTAGACATGGGAGACTTTTCATTTTGTTCTGTACTAAGAAAAATTCTTCTGCCTTGGGATCCTGTTGATCTGTGACCTTACCCCCAACCCTGTGCTCTCTGAAACATGTGCTGTGTCCACTCAGGGTTAAATGGATTAAGGGCGGTGCAAGATGTGCTTTGTTAAACAGATGCTTGAAGGCAGCATGCTCGTTAAGAGTCATCACCACTCCCTAATCTCAAGTAATCAGGGACACAAACACTGCGGAAAGCCGCAGGGTCCTCTGCCTAGGAAAACCAGAGACCTTTGTTCACTTGTTTATCTGCTGACCTTCCCTCCACTATTGTCCTATGACCCTGCCAAATCCCCTTCTGCGAGAAACACCCAAGAATGATCAATAAAAAAAAAAAAAAAAAAAACAAAAAACAATGAGGGAAACGGGGTAAGGATTATATGGAAACTGTTCTAGCTTTACAACTTTTCTGTAAATCTAAAATTATTCCAAAATAAAAAAGCATATGAGAAAAAAAAAAAAAAGAAAAAATGCAGATAAACAGTGACAATGGATTAGAAAAATAGAAAGAAAGGCAACAATGTAGTGAAAGACACAACAAGGGAGCACAGAAAAAAATGCAGAGAGACACGCAGAAAGAACTATACAGGTACAAAGAGACACAGAAAGAGAGGCAGATTCACAGATAGAGATATAACAGAAAGAGAGAGGTGAAGATCTCATTGTGTATCTGGAACTAGTCACTTCTGAAATCAACTTGACTCTAGGCTTCCTTTGCACCATGAACAAAATATATTTGGGTTTCTATCATTTAGAATCAAAAATAATACTTTTATTGCTGGTTATGCTTTCTTAAAAGTAAAAATTATTCTTGATTGATGTGACTTGCCAGAATGTTTGAAACACCAGTGACCAAGGGTCACTATATCTGCCCCCAAACAATTCCACCATGTTTACTTATATAGCACTCACCAAACCAGAAGAGAGGCTGGGATATTCTCAGGCCACTGCACTGAACATCAATATGAAAGAACCATGAATGATGCGACAACTGAGTTGATTTTCTACCTCCTCTGCCCACCCTGACTTTGCACCCCAAATTCTTTCAGTGTCTTTTCAAGGTACAACCCTCCTTCTGGGCACAGGTTGGCTGGGTCACCTCAAGGTATGTTCCTTCATTCTGCAGTGATTTCCTGCCTCTGCTCAATTAAGGAAGTTCAGAATACAGATAACTCAGGATCATGTTTAATTATGTAAAAAAGCTCTAAAGTCAGGTAATAGTTTTCATGTGCTTCTCTTGAGCAGTCTGAGGAGAGAATAGAAACAGAAACCCCTTGGGGCCTGAGTAGATGCAGCTGGCTGTGCACAGGCAGGGGCTGTGGGTCAGTGCAGGAAGTAGGGTCACAGCCATCCGCCTCAAGGTGGGGATGAAAGGAGATGACCTGGTGGCTGCGTGACAGCCACTGTAGGACTCTGATCTCAGGGGGACAGGCTGACACAGACAGCTGGGAATTCTGGGCAGGGACAAGCAGGCGTTACAGAAAAGTGATAACCAATCCCAGTTAAAATAGTCTCAGGAGTCAGTGCAGGAGCCCTGAAGAAGAGAGAAGAGGGATGATCAGCACAGGGTACGCTGGTGGGCCTGCCATCTCCCCCACCCCTCAGGGGCCTCCTGCAGCTTCAGACAGACAAAGCTGAGGTCCAGAGTGTATTATCATCACCTCCCCCAAGATCTGTGCAAAGGTGAAATCAGCTCATGAAGACACAGAACTTCAGCTTGATGCAGATGTGTGGGAGGTGGGGGAACAGCTGTTACTCTTCTGGTGAATATGAAGGGTTCAATCTTTTTAGGAAATTGGATGATACCTCATCCCTACCACTAGCAGCCTCTTTCAGTCACTGGAAAATGCCTACAGGCAGTAGCCACCATCATGTGGCACAAAGTGGGCATCATCCTAGTGTCTAACATTTAAGCCGTGGTTCTGGCTCCACATTTCACAGGAAGATACCACCAAAGTTAAGGCTTGGTTCTGGGGAACAACCTCTGGAGATTCCTAGAAACTGGCAAACTTCACCCCTAAGTCTTGATCCTCATAGCAGCAAATATACCATGAACAGAGACCACTACTGTCAGGTACACTCAGCTCATGCTCTTCCCTCTTACACCTGTGCCCTCCCCACACTGGATCACGGCTGAAATATTACCTGCTGGTGGAGGCCCTTGAGGTCTTACAAAAGGAAGTTATGCAGAGAAAGGTCTCATTACATGAACAGCCACTCTCTCACCCCAAAGGAAAATGACACATGTGACTTAATTAGAGTTATATTCTCTTCCCATTCATGTTCTTCAAGTCCTTAAGCACCCTAATTTAAAATCCCCTAAAATAAAGGAAATTGTCACTAGAAGGCAAGGAGGCCGAGGCTCTGACCCTCTTAATGGAGGAAGTTTTTGGAAAGGAGCCAGTGAGACAATGATGAATGGTAAGGATGCCCTGGAATAAGCTCTATCAGTCAGCTCTGTGACAGGGCTACCCTTCAGCTAGTAAAATCAGATTCCAATGCCTCCTCCAACCTTGTCCTGTCTCCTTCCACTTCCAGCTCAGCTTTCTTCCTCTCAGGGTCAGGAGGAAAGAGCTACATCTAGAGACAGGACCTCTCTGAACAGAGGGTCTGGGTCACAGGCCATCTTCCCCTTTTCCCCTGGGGTTCCTCACCTTTCTGACTCCTGTGATGGATGATAAGGCCCAGCCCGAGGAAGATCAGCCCCAGCACGAAGCCTCCAATGCCACTCAGCATCTTGCTCTGGGCAGATTCAGATTGAGCCCCTGAGAAGCAGAGCCTGAGTGTCAGTGTTTGTCCCCATACCCCATAGTTTCCCTGATGAGGAGCTGAAGTCCAGTCTGAGATGCAGGAGGTGAAGGCATCAAAGGAACCTAGTTCTCCATTCAGACCACCCCTAAGGGAGGGAAAGGCCAGCCAATAGGTACTTGGATACAGTGAGTAGGTGACAGAGTGGGGAAGCAGATCTCCACTCCTCAGGAACTCATCCATAAACTTAGACCCTAAGATCCCAGTCACCAGCCCTAATAATCAGTTCCTCAGAGCAATCAGGACTGGGATCCAGAGCAACAGTATGTAGAGTAATTTCCCTAGCATCTGGAAAGGTGATGAGATCAGGATTCTTCTGATGCACTCGCCATGGAACTAGAGGTGCTCTAGTCTCCTGTGATTCCCAGCTCAGCAGTGACATCAGGGATAAGAGATGGGAAGGGATGGGTCAGAAGGAGCTCTGTCCTTTGTCTTGTGGGGCCCACAGTAACAGAAACTCAATATCCCCTTACGCCACTCCACGGTGATGGGGCTCTGGAGGCTGGGGTGCTCCACGTGGCAGGTGTAGACGTCTCCACGCTGGGGAGTCATTTCCAGCATCACCAGGATCTGGAAGGTCCAGTCACCATTCCTAATAAGGGGGGTGGACACAACGCCAGCTGTCTCCTCCTGGCCATTCCGAAACCACCGGACTTTGATCTGGGCTGGATAGAAATCTGTCACCGAGCAGACCAGCAGGTTGTGGTGGTTGAGGGCCTCTGTCCTGGATGGGGAGATGGTCACTGTGGGCTCCACTGAGGGCAGTAACAGACAGGGAAAGATATAGGAGTGAGATGTGAGACCACACAGCATGCCTGCTGTGAGGAAGGTCCCTCCTTGGAACCAGAGTGGAAAGATACTTGGAGTCCAAGTCTTGGATTAAGGTTCCTTCAACAAATATAAATATAACAATCACTGAGAATCCAAAGACAAACAACATACCATGGTCCCTGCCTTTATAAAATGTGCAACCTAGTAACAGACAGCAAAAAACAAAAAGAATGTTATTTCAAAAGTTTGTAATATTTGAAAAAAATTTAGGCAGGCCTTGAAAACAAATAACACTGATCAAACATCATGTTTGCCCGTAACTCGATTCCTTTATCTTCTCAGATTGCTGCTCATAGTAAAAATACTACACCCCTTTACACATCTCATCCTTTACCTTTCAGGCCACTTTATTGCATTTCCTTTATTCTCTTAGTGTGAAACTATAGTAAATATTTAATGTATGCTTTCTTTATTTAGTAATATGTTCTCTCATTTTCTTTTTTCCTTAATTTCTTTTTATCACACAAGTGAGTTTAATTACAGCTGTCTACCCTACTCCATCCCCTTGCTATTGAGAATTACTTTCTTCTTCTGAAATCAGGCATTATTATGTATGTTCTCCATAGAAAATATTCTGAGATCTGTGCAGTGGTCGGTCTGGGTTAATGATCCTGTAATGTGAACACATAAATATAGCTGGGATTTGCTGAGGTCACCAGGTGGCACCCCAATTAAATGGCACTCATGAGCCATCATCTGGAAGAAATCACGGTTTCTGCTTGGACTTGAACTTTTCTTTAGGTTCTCCTTCCTGGAGTCCAACAGAAATAACAGTCAGCTATGTGGCCTTATAAGATTTGTTCATCTTAAACAGATTGGGAGTAAAAATAGAGGGCATAAATTTATGAGAAAAGATGATAAAATAAATTTTATGGAAATGGAACTGAAATAGCAAAAACATAAGTATTTGCTGGCATTAGGATGTGAATCAAAAGAAGGCAAGGGAGTATTAAGTAAACTAAAGGTTTTGCAAACCTGCATAGATAACACTGGGGTCAGACTAGCGATTGATTAATCATGAATTTTCAATGCCTTGAAAGTATCATTTTGTCCCATTAACATGGAAAACACACAGGAATAGACTCATTGCTGCTTCTGGTCAAAACTGGCTTTAACGAGGCTTTACGTCCCTTAGACTCTATGGATGTGTAGTGAAGAACACAAAGAATGTTGTGTACTTTGGGAGGCTTAAGGTCTTGGTGAGCAATTATGGGCTGATTACTTAAAGTGTTTATCATGTACCAATATTAGCCTACAGTGACCATCTCCCCATCCATGACCAATAAAGTGTTTATCATGTACCAATATATAAAGTGGTGATGCTAATCTCTGATGCACAAGTAACTGTGAGATTAAATGACGTAACATAGATGGTATTTGATAAGGCAACTGTCTAGAAATAAATGCTCACTAAATGGGTAAAATTGACTTTCAGAATGTTTATTCCTGAAGTGGATAGTCATGGGGGGAGGGGAGAACCTAGGCCAAAAGCAACCCGAAACTATTTTTATCCAATAATTTAATGGCTTCAATCTATTTATTCCAAAACTTTTGCTCTTTGCATTGTGCCATTTGTTCAGCTTTTCTAAGAAATTAAAAGTGCCGGCCGGGCACTGTGGCTCACACCTGTAATCCCAGCACTTTGGGAGGCCGAGGCGGGCGGATCATGAGGTCAGGAGATCCAGACCATCCTGGCTAACACGGTGAAACCCCGCCTCTACTAAAAATACAAAAAAATTAGCCGGGCGTGGTGGCACGCGCCTGTAATCCCACCTACTCAGGAGGCTGAGGCAGGAGAATGGCGTGAACCCGGGAGGCGGAGCTTGCAGTGAGCCGAGATCGCGCCACTGCACTCCGGCCTGGGCGACAGAGTGAGAATCCGTCTCAAAAAAAAAAAAAAAAAAGAAAAGAAATTTAAACTGCATTACAATATCTTTCAAGCGTTGTTTTTATTTTTAGCAAAAACTTTTTTCCTCAGATTTTGTATTCACAAACTCTATTAAGATCCAAGTCAATAAGAGTTTACTTTAAAGCATTAAGCAAAATTATAGAAAATAATTAATAAAGTCCATTTTTAAGGCTCTGTTTACCTCTTTTTTTTTCTTGAGCCTAAGTGGATGGGCAGCTGAGTACATTTATTCATTAATTTAACAGAAGATCATTGAGCTCACACCACATACCAGTCAATGTGTCAGGTACTAGGCATGCAATGATTAAAACACCCTCACCTCAAAGATCTCTGCCATGAATGAGAGCCATTTAAGAAAACAGAATTACGATGAATAATGATTTGAAGCCAAAAGTTAAAATATCTTATTTCACAACTGTAATTGCTGGATGTCCTGCGCGCAGTTGTGGAACAGCCCTAACTCCACCAGGCTAAGCCTGAAGCTTCCTGCTGCAAGAGCTGTGCACGTGGGCCTTGCTGGGTGGGGCAGTGCTAGCGGGGCGGGCGGGCGGGCAGGGGAAGAGGGCGGGCATTCTGAGCAGAGAGAGCTGCTTAGCAAAGGTAAGGCAAAAGGAGGCAAATGCATAAGGCACGAGGCAAGAACATGCAGAGCAGAGGACAAGGCCGACGAACGGGTAGGCTGGGGCGACACTAGGCAGCCTGGCCAACTCTGCCTGTCCCCCTGCTCTGCCCTAGGTCCCCGCACCTCCGATGCACCTGCCCCCACCACTCTCGCCGCTGCCTCCTGTCCTCTGGGGTGGAACAAACGGGGCTCAGGTTCCAGAGGCAACGACCCTTCGCCCCTCCTGGCGCAGAGACTTGGGGCCAAGGGTGGGCCTCGCAGAGGGGCGACGCCGCTCACCTCGCCGCTGCAAGGTCGTGCGGAGCTCCAACTGGTAGTTGTGTCTGCACACCCTGTCCACCGCCGCCCGTTTCCTCTCCAGGATGTCCTTCTGGCTGTTCCAGTACTCGGCGGCAGGCAGCCCCAGCAGCGTCACCGCCCGGAACTCCCCCACGTCGCTGTCGAAGCGCACGATCTCTTCTCGGTTATAGATGCTTCTGCTCACAAGACGCACGCGCTCTGTCCCGTTGGTGAAGTAGCACATGCCCTTAAACTGGTACACGAAATCCTCTGCGAGGAATCACCGGCCAGTCAGTGCGGCCCAGCCCGTCCGCCCCCGCAGCCGCCACCCTGACCCGGCCCGGAGCTGTGGAACAGCCCGCGCGACCACAAGTTCCCGCCGGCCCGTGCCTCGCGCTGCAGACCTGGGATCCTCCCGGCGGCTCTGCCCAGCCCTGCCCGCCCTCTCGGGGGTCTTCGGGAATCCGCCTTCCTAAAGGCAGGAAAGGGAGGAAAGCCCTGTCCCTGTCTCGGCCTGTGAACCAAGTGAAGAGGCAGTCGGGCTGATTTTACATGGACCTCTGCACTTAGAGGGATCAGGGCGTTCTCGCATGAAATCTCATTTTCCATGGAGCTCCTGGGTACCTCAGAGATAAAGTTATCCACATAAACCTGACAGTTCAAGGGAATGACGAGACAGGTCCAGGAATTAAACCTGTCCTCTTCCGATACGCCTATTCTCTTGGTCCCTGGGTAAAATACCTTCCTTCCCATGCCTGGATTTACCCTCCCAAGTGCCCTGTGAGGTTCACTCACTTCTGTGTTAGAAAGAAGGGAGTCCTAGATCTCTGAGTCCTAGAAAGAAACATTTATTCACCGAAAGAGCACAAGCTTTTGAATTTGATAAACTAGATTCCCATTAAACTGTGGCAGTCACCAGCCCGGGCAGGTTATGTAACAGAATATCCATATCACAAGTATAATTGTGTAAAAGAAAATCATGATATCTACACACAGGATGTTAGAAGGAGTGAGAGAGAATTTATGTAAAGTATTGTTCTGTGTCTGAAATGAGTGGTTTCACAGTATGTGTTATTTCCCTTCTTTACATCCTCCTTTCTACTAAATTTAGTCCATCATCAACTCGGGTATCTGAATCCCACTCAGGTCACCATTTGCCCATAAATCAGTGAAACCTGAAGGCTCTCTTTCTGTGGTCAGCCAGTCAGCTTCCCTCAGTACCAAGATTTTGCCTCCACAAACGCTCCACTGGGTCAGGAATACAGACAACTTTTCCCCAAATACGGAGACTACAGACACCATTGCTGCCTTGCATTTCCCAATGCAGGAAATCATAATATTTAGTCCAGGCAAGTCTTGGGACACGCCTAAATGGCAAATCCTGCTGTGTCTTTGGAGAAATTCATATCTTCAAAAATAACCCCATGCTCACTTTGTCCTATCACTGGTAGTAAATGAACACTTTGTCTCCTCTTTTCTCTCCTCTCTCCTCCTCTTCCAGGCTTAAGCCTGTAGGATGGGATTGGATTGTCCTCACTTCATCATTAAAAGATAAATGGAAATGCAACATAGCTCTCTTTCCCAAAACAGAGGAAATGTTGATAAAAGATTGTGTCCGAGATTATGGAGATCACCATCCCCGTACCCCAGCCCAAGGAGAGCCTGTTCCCAGAGTAGCGGCTCTGGAGAGCAGCTGCCCTGCACTTACCGGGAGAGTCTCTGCCCTCAGCCACTGGGGTGCTCAGCATCGACAGCATCAAGGTCACAGTTGCTGCCCGAAGGCCTCCGGGGATCCGCAAAGCCTTTTTCCAAGACATAATTGAGACGAAGGGAAAAGTGGTAGTCAACACAGCTCGGACCTGATGGATCTGATGTACCTGGCAGAAAGAATAAAAATCTGTGGATGTTTCCATGCGTGGTAGGATTGGATGGTCCCTTGGAAAGGAACCAATCAGCACTGGAGCTGAAGGACCTCATCTGTCTCTGGGCAGATTTTTTTTGTGTGAAGGTTCTGAATCCAGTGCCTGGCACTGTGACGTCTTTCAATTGCACTGGATGAACATTTGAGGTGAAAATTTCCTCTCAATTATGGAAGAGCTGAAGATTGAATGCCTAAGGGATTTTAAGAAGCCAAAGAAAAATGCGATTCAACAGTAAACATCTTTGTAATATTGATTAAAAACCAGTTGTTCTTATACTTGGGATTCTTTCAATAGGGCAAATTAAGTGGGGATCATATTTCAGGGGAGAGAAAATTGCTGTCATAGACATTTTTACTGCTGTTGTCTTAGACACACCCTGAGGAGCCTTAAGTTTTGGTGAAAAGAGCAAAGTTCTTAGAAGGAAATAATGGTGAGTTGCAGTTCCACCACTAATGTGCTTTATGAGAGTCAACAAATTACTGAATTTATTTTTGCCCCAGGCTTCTCTTTGTAAAATGTGGAACATGTTTCATGCATTTTACATCTAGATCTTCACATATACAAATTTAAGATTAATATGACTTGTTTAATGTTACAAAAGGATCCTCAACTGTTATGTGTAACTATCAGGTTAATATGTGGAACAAGAAAACAAGCCAAAAAAAATTGACACCCATCCCTGCTGGTAAATGATTCTTCATTACGCAAGAATATATTGTATTTATACTCTTCGAGTGAAAGTATTTGAAAAGTTAATTAAGTTGACATTCCTTTTCTAAGTTCTTCAGCTGTTTAAATCCTCTCTGAACCATGAAATAGGTGCATCTGATATCAGCAAAGGCACAATACACAAACCTTTACAGTATTCAGACATAGTCATGTCTAGATTTGAGGAGAGAGAGCAAAAGCTGTGGAGAAGCATTTCCTAGGTCCTGAATAGTATTAATGATGGAGAAAATGTTTAGAGTCACAGATTGTACTGTGCCAGCCCTAAACATCAAATCCCAAGTGGCAGAGGTATCAATGTGGTTTTTTTCAATTCTATGTATTTTTTATTTAACAGTTCCTCATGGACATATCTACATCAATGTGTTTTTATAAATAAGCATAACTTATCAGGCTCCTCTTGGCAGTGACTAGGGACAGTACTAATGGTTATAAAGCAATTAGAACAATGCCTGGCAAACATTACTTCTGACCCCAACCAAGACAATAAATTTCTCCACCTCTCTTCTTCTCTCCCTTTCTCTCTTTCTTTTCCCAAAATTTTAGGTTCTGCTTTTAAAGTAGAGAATACAATCTAAAATCAGAATATAAGTTTACCAGGTAAAAAGAAGCAGGGAAGAGGCAACAGCAAGAGGTTTGCAATAGTGGCACATGAAAGCGTTGAGCCACTCCAATATTCTGTATTATTCACAGCATAATTCTAGAGCACCTGAGACTGGGAAAGTTGCCACTGGGCATCCAGCAGCAGTGGTTTACTCAGGATCAGGGTAAACCCAGCCTAAGGATGGTCTCCACTGCTGTGATGGACACATAAAGGAGGAACCATACTCACACCTGGAATGGAGTTGGGGCAAGGAAGAGTAGGCAGAGAGACCTGAAGCTGCCCTCAATGTCCTTCCTCAGCCCCCACCTCAGTGTCCCTCAGAATAGAGGCCTCTAATCCATCCTTTCCTTCCTGTCTAAGGGAAAAAGTTCCCACAGGTTTATTCTGAGGCAACTGCTACGCCAGACCTGGGGATTCCTCAGTCTCACAGGCCTCTTCGCACAGACTTTTCAGCTAGCAACAAGTGTCACTTTAGAGCCTTTTTCTGATTGGCTAAAACCTCACTGGAAAGGTTTTGCTTTGGGCTTCTGCCAGTTGTGTCTGCCTGGCCCAGCCTTCTCTACAGTTGACTACCCTGGCCCTATCCCTGCTGCATTATTCAGGGCATTCAGGCAGAAGAAGGCCAGAGAAGAAAGAAACTAGGTCAAGCATCCTTATTCCGAGTGTCTCACCTGAATCACCTGCCCAGCCTCTGTGGGGGCCGAGCAATTAGAGCATTTACCCCATGTGGGTAAATGGGCTAAAAAGCCACTGCCATTAGTAGGGATGGTCAGGGTTACACTAGGGAGACTCACTTCAAGGGACATTCTCTCTTCCTTCAGGGCAGAAGAAAAAGTCGTGGACTCCTTCTTTGTGAAAATCAAGGGAGAAATCATCTTCCCTAGTCAGCATCTCTTGGAATCTGTGCTTGGTCAGTGGAATTGAATGTGAACATAGGAGCCACCCTGTCACCAGAAGGACCATCCAAGACCTTACCCTGCATTTACTTCAGGAATCAAGAATCACTGTATATTCTGAAAGGTTCTGTGGCCTCCTTAATGCCAATGGTAATATAACTAGAAATGCTGCTCCCAGAATATTGTTTTCTTTTAATTAAAATTTATCAAGCAATTATCCCTAAATTTTTCAAAATCTTTGTGAAGCCACTTACATATTTCTTTTATATCAACTTCTAGGTAACCAGCTATATATAACAATTTTTTGTGGCACATATAAACTAGGTCCTTTCTCTTGGCACAAAGTTATCTCTTTAAAATCTCAGTCTAGAGAATCTGAAGAAAGCACCAAATCAGTAGCATTCAGGGGCTGTGTTCAGACAGTGCCTCCCACAAGCAAGTGGCCATGGTGAAACTCCAGGGTGGAAGTCGGGTAAGAATTGGAGGATGATGGAGAGTGAAGGGGTAGGAGTATGGGAAAAGCTTTAGCAGGAAGATAGAAAATCAGGTGATACAGGACATTTGGGACATTTGAGGGGATATGAGGAATGTGGGTGATCTTGGCACAGAAGCCCAGACCTCACCAGTCCCATGGCTCCTCATGCTCTATGAAAATAGCCCTTGAAGACAGAAGACTGCAACAAAAACCAAACTGCCTGCAGTGGATATGCTGTACAATGAAGCTTTGTTTCCTGATCTATATTTTCAGGTTCCTTCCTTCTGTCAATCTCCTCATCCACACATCGCCTCAGTTGGACCACTGGTGATTAAACTACCAGGAGCTAACCTACACATGTCACTCTTTCCAACACACCTCTGCTTGTCTCTACTTCTGGTTCCGTAGTGATGCCTGGGATATTTCCAGAGACAGCTCTTCCCCCAGCCTCTAGATTAGTAGTCACCATGCTCCTTCATTCCCAGAAAAAACTTAAATATTTCTCTGGGAGATCTTTATAATGTCTCCTTTTTCTGTAAGTTCTTACCAGTAAATAGAGGCCCTAATGTTCAGCCACATAAAAGTATATATAGTTCTTGAGTACTTAAAACCATATCCAAGTACTCAAAAACTCGTATGTCCAAGAACTCAGCTCAAGGCCATGGTTCATGCAAAACAGCAACATTAGCAGTAATATTCTGGGGAGAATACTCTTACACCCTCAAATAGGAAAACTTAAGATATTCCATTTTAACCACAATGACATATCACCTCACATCTGTCAGAATGGCTATTATCAAAAAGACAAAAGATAACAAGTGTTAAGGATGTAGACAAAAGGAAACATTCGTACGCTGTTGGTGGGAATGTAAATTAGTACAACCATTATGGAAAACAATATGGAAATTCCTCAAAAAGTTAAAAACAGAACTATCATATGATGTAGTAACCCCATTTGCAGGATGTAGACAAAGAATTTAAAATTAGTATGTTGAAAATATACCTATACTCCTATGTTCCTTGCAGCATTATTCACAATAGTCAAGGTATAGAATCAACCTGTGTCATTCAGCAGATGAATAGATAAAGAACATGTGGTATGTATACACAATTAAATCCTATTCAGACTTTAAAAAGAAGGAAATCCTGTTGTAAGTCAGAAAGTGACTGAGGTAGGTCTCAGTCAATTAAAGGTTTATTTTGCCAAGGTTGAGGAATACACGTGGGAAAAACACAAATCACAGGAGCATCTGTGATCCATGTTTTGCCAAAGAGGGTTTTGAGAACTTCAGTATTTAAAGGAGAAAGAGCAAGCAGGAGTGAAAGGAGAAAAAAAGGAGGAAGAGTAGGGCACGACACAATTGGTTACATTCCTGAGTCTTTGATTAGCCTCAGTAAATCTACATTTTACCTGTGAAAAGAGAGTAGAGGAAAAAGTTGATTATAAATTATGTTATGCTCAGTAAATCTACATTTTACATAAAATTAAGGAAACGTGAAAAGAGGGAAGGAGTAGAGGAAACGAGGTTATGACAAGGGGTTGTGAAATTGCCGTTATCTGTTTGGGAACAAAAGGAAGACAGTATTGGTGCCTCAGTCCTCAACATTAACTTTCCCTTGGCATAGTGAGTTTGGGGTCCCAAGATTCTATTTTTCTTTCACACTGTTATTTATGACAACATGCATGGACCTAGAGGACATTAAGCTAAGTGAAATCAGCCAGACACGGAAAGACAAGTAATGCATGATCTTACTTATATGAGGAATCTAAAAAATCCCATTTTTGAATTGAATTTATTTTATTTTATTTTGTTTTATGTTCTAGCGTACATGTATAGGACACGCAGGTTTGTTACATGGGTAAACGTGTGGCATGGCGGTTTGCTGCAGCTATCAACCCATCACCTAGGTATTAAGCCCAGCATGCATGAGCTATTTATCCTGATGCTCTCCCTGCCCCTGCCCCTCATAGGCCCCAGTGTGTGTTGTTCCCCTCCCTGTGTCCATGTGTTCTCATTGTTCAGCTCCCACTTATTAGTGAGAACATGCAGTACTTGGTTTTCTGTTCCTGCATTAGTTTGCTGAGGACAATGGCTTCCAGCTCCATCCATGTCCCTGCAAAGGACATAATCTCATTATTTTTTATGGCTTCATAGTATTCCATGGTGTGTATGTACCATATTTTCTTTATCCGGTATATCACTGATGGACATTTGGGTTGATTCCATGCCTTTGTTATTGTGAATAGTGCTTCAATAAACACACGCATGCATGTATCTTTATAATAGAATGATTTATATTCCTTTGGGTATATACCTAATGATATGGTTTGGCTGTGTCCCCACCCAAATCTCAACTTGAATTGTATCTCCCAGAATTTCCACGTGTTGTGGGAGGGACCCAGGGGGAGGTAATTCGATCATGGGGACTGGTCTTTCCCATGCTATTCTCACAATGGTGAATAAGCCTCACAATAGCTGATGGGTTTATTAGGGGTTTCTTCTTTTGTTTCTTCCCCATTTCTCTTGCCATAGCCATGTAAGAAGTGCCTTTCACCTCCCACCATGATTCTGAGGCCTCCCCAGTCATGTGGAACTGTAAGTCCAATTAAACCTCTTATTCTTCCCAGTCTCCAGTATGTCTTTATCAGCAGTGTGAAAAAGAACTCATATAGTAAATTTGTTCCAGGATTGGGGTGTTGTTGAAAAGATACCTAAAAATGTGGAAGCAACTTTGGACTGGGTAACAGACAGAGGTTGGAACAGTTTGGAGGGCTCCGAAGAAGACAGGAAAATGTGGGAAAGTTTGGAACCTCCTAGAGATTTGTTGAATAGCTTTGATAAAAAAGCTGATAGTGATATGAAAAATAAGGTCCAGGCCAAGGTGGTCTCAGATGGAGAAGAGAAACTTGTTGGGAACGGGAGCAAAGGTGACTCTTGTTATGTTTTGGCAAAGAGACTGGTGGCATTTTGCCCATGCCCTAGAGATTCGTGGAACTTTGAACTTGAGAGAGATGATTTAGGGTATCTGGCAGAAGAAATTTCTAAGCAGCAAAACATTCAAGAGGTGACTTGGGTACTGTTAAAAGCATTCCATTTTAAAAGGGAAACAGAGCATAACAGTTCAGAAAAACTGCAGTCTGGTGATGCAGTAGAAAAGAAAAACCCATTTTTTAGGAAAAATTCAAGCCAGCTGCAGAAATCTGCATAAGTAGCAAGGAGCCTAATATTAATCCCCAAGACCATGGGAAAATGTCTCCAGGCCATGTCAGAGACCTTTACAGCAGCCCCTCCCATCACAGAACCAGAGGCCCAGGAGGAAAAAGTGGTTTTGTGGACCAGGCCTAGGGTCACCGTGCTGTATGCAGCCTAGGGACTTGGTGCCCTGTGTTCCAGCTGCTTCAGCCATGGCTGAAACAGGCCAATGTACAGCTCAGGCTGTGGCTTCAGAGGGTGGAAGCCCCAAGCCTTGGCAGCTTCCATGTGGTGTTGAGCCTGCAGGTGCACAGAAGTCAAGAATTGAGGTTTGGAAACCTCCACCTAGATTTCAGAAGATGTGGGGAAATGCCCAAATGCCCAGGCAAAAGTTTGCTTCAGGGGCAGGGACCTCATGGAGAACCTCTGCTAGGGCAGTGTGGAAGGGAAATGTGGGGTCTTAGCCCCCAAATAGGGTCCCTACTGAGGCACTGCCTAGTGGAGCTGTGAGAAGAGAGCCACCATCCTCGAGACCCCAGAATGGTAGATCCACTGACAGCTTGCACTGTGGGCCTGGAAAAGCCACAGACACTCAAAGCCAGCCCTTGAAAGCAGTCAGGAGGGAGGCTGTTCCCTGCACAGCCACAGAGGCAGAGCTGCCCAAGACCATGGGAACCTACCTCTTGTATCGGTGTGACCTGGATGTGAGACCTGGAGTCAAAGGAGATCATTTTGGAGCTTTAAAATTTGACTGAGGCTGAGTGCGGTGGCTCGTGCTTGTAATCCCAGCACGTTGGGAGACCAAGGCGGGTGGATCACAAGGTCAGGAGATCAAGACCATCCTGGCTAACACAGTGAATCCCCATCTCTACTAAAAATACAAAAAAGTTAGCAGGGTGTGGTGGCGGGTGCCTGTAGTCCCACCTACTCAGGAGGCTGAAGCAGGAGAATGGTGTGAACCCGGGAGGCAGAGCTTGCAGTGAGCAGAGATTGTGCCACTGCACTCCAGCCTGGATGACAGAGTAAGACTCCGTCTCAAAAAAATAAATAAATAAAAATAAAAATAAATAAAATAATAAAATAAAAAAATTTGACTGTCCCGCTGGATTTCAGACTGGCATGGGCCCTGTAACCCCTTTGTTTTGGCCAATTTCTCCTATTTGGAATGGCTGTATTTACCCAATACCTGTACCCCCATTGTATCTAAAAAGTAACTAGCTTGCTTTTGATTTTACAGGTTCATAAGTGGAAGGGACTTGCCTTGTCTCAGATGAGACTTTGGACTACGGACTTTTGGGTTAATGCTGAAATGAGTTAAGACTTTGGGGAACCGTTGGGAAGGCATGATTGGTTTTGAAATGTGAAGAAGTGAGATTTGGAGGGGCCAGGGGAAGAATAATATGGTTTGCCTGTGTCCCCACCCAAATCTCAACTTGAATTGTATATCCCAGAAATCCCATGTGTTGTGGGAGGGACTCAGGGGGAGGTAATTGAATCATGGGGGCCAGTCTTTCCTGTGCTATTCTCGCAATAGTGGATAAGTCTCACAAGATCCGATGGGTTTATCAGGGGTTTCTGCTTTTGTTTCTTCCTCATATTCTCCTGCCACTGCCATGTAAGAAGTGACTTTCACCTCCCGCCACGATTCTGAGGCCTCCCCAGTCATGTGGAACTGTAAGTCCAATTACACCTCTTTTTCTTCCCAGTTTCGGATATGTCTTTATCAGCAGCATGAAAATGAACTAATACACTCAGTAATGGAATTGTTGGGTCAAATGGTATTTCTGGTTCTAGGTCTGGGAAGAATTGCCACACTGTCTTCCACAATGGTTAAACTAATTTACATTCCCGCCAACAGTGTAAAAGTGTTTCTTTTTCTCTGAAGCCTCGATAGCATCTGTTGTTTCTTGAGTTTTTAGTAATCGCCATACTGACTGGCATGAGATAGCATCTCATTGTGATTTTAATTTGCATTTCTCTAATGATCAGCAATGTTAAGCTTTTTTCATATGTTTGTTTGCTACATAAATGTCTTATTTTGAGAAGTGTCTGTTAATGTCCTTTGCCCACTTTTTAATGTTTCTTTTCTTGCAAATTTGTTTAAGTTCCTTGTAGACTGGATATTAGACCTTTGTAAGATGGATAGGTTATAAAATTTTTCTGACATTCTGTGGGTTGTCTGCTCGCTCTAATAATAGTTTATTTTGCTGTACAGAAGCTCTTTAGTTTAATTAGATCCCATTTGTCAGTATTTGCTTTTGTTGCAATTGCTTTTGATGTTTTTGTCATGAAGCCTTTGCCCATGTCTATGTCCTGAATGGTGTTGCTTAGATTTTCTTCTAGGGTTTTTATAGTTTTGGGTTTTACGTATAAGTCTCTAATCCATCTTGAGTTAATTTTTGTATAAGGTGTAAGGAAGGGGTCCAGTTTCAACTTTATGCATATGGGTAGCCGGTTCTCTCAGCACCATTTATTAAATAGGGAATCCTTTCCCCATTGCTTGTTTTTATCAGGTTTTTTGAAGATCAGATGGTTGTAGATGTGTGGTCTTACTTCTGAGTTCTGTATTCTGTTTCATTGGTCTGTTTTTGTACCAGTACCATGCTGTTTTGGTTACTTCAGCCTTGTAGTATAGTTTGAAGTCAGGTAGCATGATGTCTCCAACTTTGTTCTTTTTGCTTAGGATGATTGTCTTGGCTATATGGGCTTTTTTTGGTTCCAGGTGAATTTTTAAATAGTTTTTTTCTAATTTTGTGAAGAATGTCAGTGGTAGTTTGATGGGAATAGCATTGAATCTACAAATTACTTTGGGCTGTATGGCCATTTTCATGAAATTGATTTTTTTGTATTCATGAGCATGGGATGTTTGTCCATATGTTTGTGTCCTCTTTGATATCCTTGAGCAGTGGTTTGTAATTCTCTTTGAAGAGGTTCTTCCTTTCCCTTGTTAGCTGTATTCCTAGGTATTTATTCTCTTTGTAGCAATTGTGAATGGGAGTTCATTCATGATTTGGCTCTCTGCTTGTCTGTTGTTGACGTATAGGAATGCTTGTGATTTCTGCACATTGATTTTGCATCCTTGTGGGGAAAAGAAAGAGAGATCAGATTGTTACTGTGTCTGTGTAGAAAGAAGTAGACATAGGAGACTCCATTTTGTTCTGTACTAAGACAAATTCTTCTGCCTTGGGATGCTGTTAATCTATAACCTTACCCCCAACCCCGTGCTCTCTGAAACATGTGCTGTGTCAACTCAGGGTTAAATGGATTAAGGGCGGTGCAAGATGTGCTTTGTTAAACAGATGCTTGAAGGCAGCATGCTCCTTAAGAGTCATCACCACTCCCTAATCTCAAGTACCCAGGGACACAAACAGAAGGCCGCAGGGACCTCTGCCTAGGAAAGCCAGGTATTGTCCAAGGTTTCTCCCCATGTGATAGTCTGAAATATGGCCTCGTGGGAAGGGAAAGACCTGACCGTCCCCCAGCCTGACACCCGTAAAGGGTCTGTGCTGAGGAGGATTAGTATAAGAGGAAGGCATGCCTCTTGCAGTTGAGACAAGAGAAAGGCATCTCTCTCCTGCCCGTCCCTGGGCAATGGAATGTCTCGGTATAAAACCCGATTGTATGTTCCATCTACTGAGATAAGGGAAAACCGCCTTAGGGCTGGAGGTGGGACATGTGGGCAACAATACTGCTCTGTAAGGCATTGAGATGTTTATGTGTATGCATATCTAAAGCACAGCACTTAATCCTTTACCTTGTCTATGATGCAGAGACCTTTGTTCACGTGTTTATCTGCTGACCTTCTCTCCACTATTATCTTATGACCCTGCCACATCCCCCTCTCTGAGAAACACCCAAAAATGATCAATAAATACTAAGGGAACTCAGAGGCTAGCGGGATCCTCCGTATGCTGAATGCTGGTCCCCTGGGCCCCCTTATTTCTTTCTCTATACTTTGTCTCTGTGTCTTTTTCTTTTCTAAGTCTCTCATTCCACCTAATGAGAAACACCCACAGGTGTGGAGGGGCAACCCACCCCTTCACATCCTGAGACTGCTGAAGTCCCTTATGAGCTTAAGAAGCTTTTGGACTGAGACAATGAGATTTTCTAGGATCTAGGATCATGTCATCTGCAAACAAAGACAATTTGACTTCTTCTCTTCCTATTCGAATATGCTTTATTTCTTTTTCTTGCCTGATTGTCCTGGCCAGAAATTCCAATACCATGTTGAATAGGAGTGGTGAGAGTGGGCATTGTTGTTTTGTGCATGTTTTTAAGGGGAATGCTTCTGGCTTTTGCCCATTCAGTATGATATTGTCTGTGGGCTTGTCATAAGAGATTCTTATTATTTTGAGGTATGTTCCTTCAATACCTAGTTTATTGAGGGTTTTTAACATGAAGGGATGTTTAATTTTATTGAAGGCCTTTTCTGTGTCTATTGAGATAATCATGTGGTTTTTGTCTTTAATTCTGTTTATGTAATGAATTATGTTTATTGATTTGCATATGTTGAAACAGCCTGGCATCCTGGGGATGATGCCAACTTGATCGTGGTGGATAAACTTTTTGATGTGCTGGTGGATTCGGCTTGCCAGTATTTTATTGAGGATTTTTTAATCAGTGTCCATCAGTGATATTGGCCTGAAGTTTTCCTTTTTTGTTGTATCTCTGTCAGGCTTTGGTATCAGGATGACGCTGGCCTCATAAAATGAGTTAGAGAGGAGTCCTCCTTTTCAATTACTTGGAATAGCTTCAGAAGAAATGGTACCAGTTCTTCTTTGTACCTCTGGTGGAATTCAGCTGTAAACCTGTCTGGTCCCAGGCTTTTATTTTTGTTGGTAGGCTCTTTATTATGCCACAATTCCATAACTTGTTATTGGCATATTAAGGGATTCAACTTCTTCCTGGTTCAGTCTTGGGAGGGTGTATGTGTACAGGAATTTCTTTTAGATTTTTTAGTTTATGTGCATAGAGTTGTTTATAGTATTCTCTGATGGTTGTTTGTATTTCCGTTAGGTCAGTGGTGATATCCCCTTTATCATTTTTCATTGTGTCTATTTGATTTTTCTCTCTATTATTCTTTATTAGTCTAGCTGGCAGTCTGTCTATATTATTAATATTTTCAAAAGACCAGATCCTGGATTCAGTGATTTTTTGAAGGGTTTTTTGGTGTCTCTATCTTCTTCAGTTCCAGTCTGATTTTGGTTATTTCTTATCTTCTGCTAGCTTTGGGGTTTGTTTTTTCTTGGTTCTCTAGTTCTTCTAGTTGTGATGTTAGGATGTCAACTTGAAATCTTTCTAGCTTTTTGATGTGTGCATTTAGTACTATAAATTTCCCGCTTAACACTGCTTTAGCTGTATCCCAGAGATTCTGATACATTGTCTCTTTGTTCTCATTGGTTTCAAAGAACTTCCTGATTTCTGCATTAATTTCATTATTTACCCAGGAGTCTTACAGGAGCAGGTTGTTCAATTTCCATGTAGTTGTGTGGTTTTGAGTGAGTTTCTTAATCCTGAGTTCTAATTTGATTTCACTTTGGTCTGAGAGACTGTGATGATTTCAGTTCTTTTGCATTTGCTGAGGAGTGTTTTACTTCCAAATATGTGATCAATTTTAGAATAAGTGCCATGTGGCACCAAGAAGAATGTATACTGCGTTTTTTTGGGTGGAGAGTTCTGTAGATATCTATCAGGTCCACTTGATCCAGTGGTGAGTTCAAGTCATGAATATCTTTGTTAATTTCCTGTCTCAATGATTTGTCTAATATTGACAGTGGGGTGTTAAAGTCTCCCAATATTATTGTGTGAGAGTCTAAGTGTCTTTATAGGTCTCTAAGAATTTGTTTCATGAATCCGGGTACTCTTGTGTTGGGTGGATGTATATTTAGGTTAGTTAGCTCTTCTCGTTGAATTGAACCCTTTACTGTTATATAATGCTCTTCTTTGTCTTTTCTGATCTTTGTTGGTTTAAAGTCTGTTTTGTCAGAAACTAGGATTGCAACCCCTCCTTTTTTTTCTGTTTTCCATTTGCTTGGTAGATTTTCCTCCATTCCTTTATTTTGAGTGTATGTGTGTCTTCGCACATGAGATGGATCTGTTGCATACAACACACTGATGAGTCTTGAATCTTTATCCAGCTTGTCATTGTGTGCCTTTTAATTGGGGCATTTAGCCTATTTATATTTAAGGTTAATATTCTTATGTGTGAATTTGATCCTGTCATCATGATGCTGGCTGGTTGTTTTGCAGACTTGTTTATGTAGTTGCTTCATAGTGTCATTGGTCTGTGTACTTTAGTGTATTTTTGTAGTGGCTGGTAATGGTTTTTCCTTTCCATATCCAGTGCTTCCTTCAGGAGCTCTTGCAAGGTAGACCTGGTGATGACGAGTTCCCTCAGCATTTGCTTGACTGGAGAGGATTTTATTTCTCCTTCACTTATGAAGCTTAGTTTGGCCAGAAAAGAAATTCTGGGTTGGAAATTATTTTCTTTAAGAATGTTGAATATTGGCCCCCAATCTCTTCTGGCTTGTAGGGTGTCTGCTGAGAGGTCTGCTGTTAGTCTTATGGACTTCCCTTTGTAGGTGACCTGGCCTTTCACTCCGGCTGCCCTTAACATTTTTTCCTTCATTTTGACCCTGGAGAATATGATTATGTGTCTTGGGGTTTGTCTTCTCATGGAGTATCTTACTGGGGTTCTCTGAATTTCCTGAATTTGAATGGTGGCCTGTCTTGGTAGTTTAGGGAAGTTGTTCTGGTTGATATCCTGAAGTATGTTTCTCAACTTAGGTCATTCTTCCCATCTCTTTCAGGCAACCCAATCAGTCATAGCTTCAGTCTTTTTTACATAATCTCATAGTTCTTGGAAGTTTTGTTCATTCCTTTTCATTCTTTTTTTCTGTAATATTGTCTGCCTGTCTTATTTTGGTAAGATAGTCTTTAAGTTCTGAAATTCTTTCTACCACTTGGTCTATTTGGCTACTAATACTTGTGATTGGATTGCAAAGTTCTTGTGTTGTGTTTTTCAGCTCCATCAAGCTATTTATGTTCCTCTCTAAACTGGTTATTCTGGTTAACTGGTTAACAGCTCCTGTAATGTCTTATCGTGGTTCTTAGCTTCTTTGCATTGGGTTGGAACATACTCACTTTGTTCAGTGAAGTTTGTTATTACCCACCGTCTGAACCCTACCTCTGTCAAGTCATCCATTTCAGACTCAGCCCAGTTCTGTGCCATTGCTGGAGAGGTGTTGCAATCATTTGGAGGAGAAGAGACACTCTGGATTTTTTTATTTTCAGCATTTTTTGTTGACTTTTTCACATCTTCCTGGGTTTATCTACCTTCAGTCTTTGAAAATGCTGACCTTTGGTTGGGGTTTTTGTGGGGTCATTTGTTGTTGTTGTTGTCGTCATTATTGTTGCTTTCTGATTATTTTTCTTTTAAAAGTCAGGACCCTCTTCTGCAGAGCTGCTGTGGCTTGCTGGGGGTCCACTCCAGACCCAACTCACCTGGGTCCCTCCTGCACCTGGAGGTGTTACCAGTGGAGGCTGCAGAACAGCAAAGATGGCTGCCTGCTCCTTCCTCTGGCAGCTCCATCCCAGGGCACTGACCTGATGCTGGTCAGAACTCTCCTGTATGAACTGTCCAGCAACCCCTGTTGGGAGGTCTCACCTAGTCAGGAGGCATGGGATCATGGGATCAGGGACCTGCTTAAGGAAGCACTCTGGCTGCACATTAGTGGAGCAGGTGCACTGTGCTGCAGGGAATCCCCCTCCTCTGGATTGCCAGGCCCTTCAGAGCCAACAGGCAGGAAAGAGTAAGTTTGCTGAACTGTGGAGACTGTAGCCACCCCTCCCCCAAGGGGATGGACAGCCACAGTTTCCACAGTTTATGAACAGAGTTCTCTCCATAAACCCCTAGCTGGAGTTGCTGAAATTCCTGCAGAGAGGCCCCACCAAGTGAAGAGGGATGGATCCAGATCCCACCTAAAGAAGCAGTCTGGCCACGATCTGCTGCAGCTGCTGTGCTGCACTGTGGGGAGTTCCTACCAGTCCAAACCATTCAGTCTCCCCAGCACCGGGACAGGAAAATGGCCAACTGGAGCCACAGTGATGGCAGCCACCCCTCACCCTAGGAACTCAGTTGTTTTAAGCAGTCCCCAACAGGCTGCCACTGGCCACAACCCCAACAGCCACTAAGAGTCTACACAGTTCTGTGCTTGGGACCCAAGGCTCTGGTGGCATGGGCTCACAAGGACATCTCCTGATCAGGAGTACAGATCAGGTTGTACAGATCCATGAAAAAAGCATGGTTTCCCTGGTGGAGTAGCACAATCATTCACCACCTCCCTTCGCTGGGGGTGGGAGTTACCCTTACCCCTTGTGACTTCTGTGGGGAAAAGCAAGAGAGATCAGATTGTTACTGTGTCTGTGTAGAAAGAAGTAGACATAGGAGACTCCATTTTGTTATGTACTAGGAGAAATTCTTCTGCCTTGAGATTCTGTTAATCTATAACCTTACCCCCAACCCCGTGCTCTCTGAAACATGTGCTGTGTCAACTCAGAGTTGAATGGATTAAGGGCGGTGCAAGATGTGCTTTGTTAAACAGATGCTTGAAGGCAGCATGCTCCTTAAGAGTCATCACCACTCCCTAATCTCAAGTACCCAGGGACACAAAAACTGCGGAAGGCCGCAGGGACCTCTGCCTAGGAAAGCCAGGTATTGTCCAAGGTTTCTCCCCATGTGAGAGTCTGAAATATGGCCTCGTGGGAAGGGAAAGACCTGACCATCCCCCAGCCCGACACCCGTAAAGGGTCTGTGCTGAGGAGGATTAGTAAAAGAGGAAGGAATGCCTCTTTCAGTTGAGACAAGAGGAAGGCATCTGTCTCCTGCCTGTCCCTGGGCAATGGAATGTCTCGGTATAAAACCCGATTGTATGCTCCATCTACTGAGATAGGGAAAAACTGCCTTAGGGCTGGAGGTGGGACCTGCGGGCAGCAATACTGCTTTGTAAAGCATTGAGATGTTTATGTGTATGCATATCTAAAAGCACAGCACTTAATCCTTTACATTGTCTATGATGCAAAGACCTTTGTTCACATGTTTGTCTGCTGACCCTCTCCCCACAATTGTCTTGTGACCCTGACACATCCCCCTCTTCGAGAAACACCCACAAATGATCAATAAATACTAAGGGAACTCAGAGGCTGGCGGGATCCTCCATATGCTGAACGCTGGTTCCCCGGGTCCCCTTATTTCTTTCTCTATACTTTGTCTCTGTGTCTTTTTCTTTCCTAAGTCTCTCGTTCCACCTTACGAGAAACACCCACAGGTGTGGAGGGGCAACCCACCCCTACAACTTCCGGGTGGGCTGTTGCTCCACCCTGCTTTTCTTCACTCTCCGTGGGTTGTGCCAACTGCCTAGTCAATACCAATGAGAAAACCTGGATACCTCAGCAGAAGGTACAGCGCTTACTCACTGTTTCCATTCTCCTCAGTGGGAGCCACAGAACAGAGCTACTTCTAATCAGCATTCTTGGCCCCTCCCTTGTTTTTTTATTTTTGGGTTTTAGAAGTTCTTTACAAATCCTGGACTTTTTTTTTAAGAGACAGTGTCTTTCTATTTTGCCTACTTGTCTAGGCTGGTCTTGAACTCCTGGGCCTAAGTAATGCTCCTGACTTAGCCTACCAAGTAGCTGGGATTATAGGTATGAGGCACCATGCCTGATCATATTTTGCATACTGATCTCTTATGAGATATGCTATTTGTCAATATCTTCTTTCATTCTGTTGATTACCATGTTTACTCTATTGACACTGTCCTTTTGTGCACAGAAGTTTTAAAGCTTTTATGTCACATTTATTAAAGAGAAAATTGAAGACATGATACAGAAGAGTAATAGGAACATGTTTGTCCATATAGTTGCCATTCAACTACATTAATTGATTTTTGTAATGTGCCATTTGGGGCAAAAACAATAACATTGTAGAATCTTTCCAAGAGATTCACTTTCTATCTTCAAAGACCAACAATTCCACCCAAGTGAATTACTGCAAAAGCATCCTGACTGGTCTCTTTGCCTCTACTTTACAATGTAGACATTGCTCATAAATCCAAGTTAATCTCTCTGAGTGTTAGTTCCTTCAACTGCAAAATGAGAATATCTATTCCATGGAGTAATGCTGGGGATTAAATGAAATGGCAAATATAAAGCACCAAAAATAGTGTTGAACACATAGTAGATAATAATAATAATTTTTAAATATTTTTAATATATTTTTATATCAATAGTTGTTGGGGTACAAATGACTTTTTGTTACATGGATAAATTGTATAGTTGTGAAACCTGAGATTTTAGTGCACCTGTCATCCAAGTAGCATAAACTGTACTCAATATGTAGTTTTTTATCCTTCACCCTCATCCCATCCTCCCCTCTTCTGAGTCTCCAATGTCCATTTTACCACTCTGCATGCCTTTGTGTACCCATAGCCTAGCTCCCACCTGTAAGTGAGAACATATGGTATTTGTTTTTTTCCTTTCCTGAGTTAGAAGTTTTAAATTTTGATGAAGTCCAATTCATCTATTTTTTTCTTTTCTTGTCTATGTCTTTGGTGTTATGTCCAGGAAATCATGGCCTAATCAAATGTCATGAAGATTTTCCTTTATGTTTTCTTCTAATAGTTTGATAGTTTTAAGTTTTACATTTAGGTCTCTGATTCATTTTGAGTTCATATTGTCTATGATCTAAGGTAAGAATCCAATTTCATTCTTTTGTATGTGGACTTCAGTTTTCCCAGCACCATTGTTGAAAAGGCTGTCCTTTCCTCAATTAGTGGCCTTTGCACCCTTGTTGAAAATCGTTTGACAGTATATGTCAGGGTAATTTCCTGGTTTTGATATTGTGCTTTAGTTATATAAGATGTGACAATTGGGAAAAACTGGATGAAGGGTATAGAGAATCTTTCTGTACTATCTTGGTAACTTCCTCTGAATCTATAATTATTTCAAAATACAACATTGAAAAATAAAGTCAACCAAAATAATATGCTTATTTAAAAATAAAACCAATTCAATAAGGTACCTAATAAAAATTATCCAAAGTGAAATACAAAGAGAAAAGAAGAGTGGGGGATAAAAGCAAAACAGAGCGTCCACGAGCTGTAGTACCATATCAAATGGTACTATATTTTTGCCTGAAAAGTGTTAAACACTTATTTATTTATCTATTTTTAAACAAGGTCTCACTCTGTTGCCCAGACTAGAGTGCAGCGGTGCAGTCACGGCTCACTGCAGTCTTGACCTCCTGGGCTTAAGTGATCCTCCCGCCTCATCCTCTCGAGTAGCTGGGACTACAGGTCTATACCACCACACTCAGTTAATTTTTGTATTTTTTGTAAAGATGGTGTCTCCCCATGTTACCCAGACTGGTCTCAAACTCCTGGGCTCAAGCAATCCTCCAGCCCTGGCCTCCCAAACTGTTGGGATTGCCACACTTGACCTATTTTTTAAATTTGCTTTTACTATTTGTTTCTCTTTGTGTTTCACTCTGAATAATTTTTATCGATCTATTTCAAATTCATTGATTCTTCCCAGGGCCGTGTCAAGTTTGCTGATGAGTTTGTCAAATGTATTTTTTATTTCTTTTAATGTATTTTTATTTTATTTCAATTTTACTCTTTCTCAGATTTTCTATCTCTGCCGAAATTACCTATCTAATCTAGCATGTTGTCTATCTTTCCATAAGAGATTTTAGTATATTAATCATAGTTTATGAAGCAGGTTTACTAATTACCAATCCCAAAGGAGGACCCCCCACTGTGTAGAGAATAACAAAGATCACTACTATGCCAACCACTAGGAAAAGAAGTCCAGATACTTCCTTCCACTGCATCCTGAGCTACTGTTTAGGTCCACCACGCACTGGTTACCTATTATCTGAGTGTGATGAAATAGAACATGCCCACACACAAGTTATGTAAAGCAGGTTTATTACTTACAGATCAGTAGCAAGGGACAGAAGAAGCCTCAGCTCCATTGTGAGTCAGTCCCCTAAAGCTCAAGAAAGCTGTCTGGGATATACAAAGTATTGACTACACCAATTATTATATCATGATCTAAAGTGTAAGTCACAAGTCAAACTCTTGATCACTTCATTCATATTACATGTTCCAGATTATAACCACTGGAAAACTTCTCTAACAGTAATTTTCCATGAACTCATGTGTTCTAAAACTACAACCAAGTGTGCATTTCTTCCTGATAGGCATTTAACACACTAAGTGACCATGTGACTTAAATTGTCCATATGATGCTGAGAGTTATAAGATTCATAGAATCTTAAGTTTGGACATACCAACCACAATCCATCATGCAATTAAAGCAGTACATTTGAAACCAGACTTCAGCAGGTTTAAAAACTAGGTGGTTGTTCTGGTTTGGTGATAGAGACTACAATCCCAGAAGGGTTTATGCTCTTGTTTATGTTCTCCTTGATGGAGTATAATTGTTTTAGTGTCTACTGTATTTTCATCTAATTTGGTCTTGAGGACTCTCTCATGAGAACAGCTATAAACTAGTTTTGCTCTGCTGGAGCTTTAGGGAATTTGGGTGTGGAGTTTACAATGTATCTTCATGGGATGCTTCTTTATTCTGGAAGATGGTCTAATGCCTAAGTGTCTGACCTGTAACCAAGTGCCCCTCTCACAGGAAACTTGTTTATACTGGAAGACACTTCTGTGGCTCTTGTCTGACCTGTGTCCAGTTTATTCCTGCCAAAATTTCACTCTCTGGGACAGCTCTGTCTGGGAAAGAAGTTAAATTTGAATGTGTCAGGTAAGATAGAAAGAAGACAATTCAACAAACCACATGACTCAAAATTCCAAAATTTGTATATTAAAACCTAACCTTGTTGTCCCCAGTGTGATCATTTTAAGAGATGATTAAGTTGTGAGGACATGAGCCTCAAAGATGGGATTAGGACCCTTATAAAAGGACTCAAGGTTGAAGGGAATGCTCCCTTGCCCCTCCACCTTCCACGATGTGATTCACTTTCCGCCATGTGAAGACACTGTAAGATGGCCCTTACTAGATGCCAGTACCTTGATCTTGGACTTTCCAGCCTCCAGGACTGTGAGAAAATAAAATTCTGGTCTTTGTAATTTATCCAGTGTGTGGTCTTTTGTTATAGCAACACAAACTGTCAAAGACAACATCCTAGAGGGCAGTGTCTTCCAGCCAGCACCATTCAATTATCCTTTGGACTGACTACATCTAGGTAATGGGTATATATCATTATCCCATTGCTACGTCTTGTTACTAAATGGGTTTTGTAGTCTTGAGCAATATTAAACATAGCATCCCATGAGTGTTTGAATGGCAATGGTTTTGGAGGCAATGTAGGTGAGAATAGCAAATCCATATCCAAAGTGTATACTAATTCCAGAAAGAATAAATCACTTCCCCTCCAAGGTGGAAGATTTTGATACAGTCAACCTGACACCAACTCGCTGGCTGATCTCCTCAAGTAATGGGGCCATATGGTGATTTCAGTGTTATCCTCTACTGCTGGCAGGGTGGAACTCAGCAATGCTATTAAGAAGATAATCCCTGTTGACTGTAGTCCTGGTTGTTGAGCCCATGCATATTACTTTTCCCTTCATTAGAGGAGGACTATAGTTGATAGCCATTCTTATGAGAGATGCCTCAGGAACAAATTAGAGGAAATACAACGATATCTTTTAGTACTTTTATGCATGGTAATGACTATCAGTAGACACTAAAACAATCAATCCAGCAAGAACAGGGTAAATAACAGCATAGACCTTTCTGGAATAGTTGTCTCTGTCACTCAAACAGAAAAACAAACTATACTAAATTCAGAAGATGAGGGGAATCAGGAGCGGCTTGTGACAGAGGGAGATGAATATTAGTTACACTCATAATGACAACGTAGTGGACACTGTTGCAAATTTCACTAACCGTCTTGCCTTAATCTTCTAGATCACAATTGGCCACTCTTCCTGACCTCCCTATTTGAAGAAAAATTAAAGTATGTTAATTTTCACAGGAAAAAAAATGAGAGGCACCATATTAGAGTATGGCAGCTTGGATCCCTGAATCACCAGCTTGAGAAGAGCTACTCACAAATCATCAGTATCTTCCTACTGTTACATTAGTGAGTTATAAAATTCTACTGTATTTCAGCCTTCATACACTTTCAAGTCTAGTTATTGTAGCAGTCTGGCCTATTCTAATTAACATAAAAAGAAGAAATAATAATTGTAGGAAAAATCAAACAGAGAATATAACAATTTTAATGGTTTCTCCTGAGCTAGACTTACTTGAAACGGTCCTCATTTTTTGTTTTAGTATTACCAGAGATGTAAGACAGAATCTCACAAAAATATTCAAGCTGGTGGATGAGGCCAAATTAGGCAACTAGGTTGTGTGTCTGGAATTCAAACCATATTAAGTACTCCCTGCCCGCCTTTCTCCTATCCTTTAGAGCAGAGCCTGATTCTCACATATTGTCCCATAAGTCTATATCAATCAAATCAATTTTTATTATCCTGAAAGCACCTATGGAAATACTACCTTTTTTGAAGTTAAATATGAGCACTCTGCTCCATGCTGTTTTACTGATATTTAGAACTGTACAAACTTATATTCTTTACATTTGTGGGAAATTATTATATTGTAGATGAGCCTAAAATAGTCTGTGAATCAAAACTTACTATAACAAGTTGTAAAGAACAGCTTTAGTCAAAAGTGTGTACATGAAACTAGCAACCCAAACACTCAAAGCAAGAAGAATAATAACTAAGTGACCACAAAGGAAATTTTTTTAATCACATGCCTGGCTCTTGCAGGTGGAGAAGGTTGTCTTGCCCAAAGGAAGTGGTTACTAGACCAGAGTGTAACCAAATACGGGATGCTGCTTTAAAAAAAAAAAAAAAAAAAAAAAAAAAAGATTCACAGAAGTTGTGCTTGAGTTAAACCACTAAGTACTTTCCTCGCCAGCCAATGAGAAGAAGTGAAGCAGCATCATTTGTCTCTGGCAGACTAAGCCAATAAGTCTGTTACAGAAAAAAAAAATCACTTAAAAGAGCAATAAACATAGAAAATATCAAAGCGTCTACTAGTCAATCCACAGAAAAGAATAGAAGAAGTTTACTGAAGAAAAGTTTGATAAATAAAAGTACCACATTCTTGAACAAGACAATTTGTGTCAATTTTCCAAACAAAATACATAGACTTTGTGATGCTTTAATCTAAATATCAATAAGATAGTTTTGTTAACGAAATGTTTCTAATTTTTTTCAAGAGTAATAAATATAAAAATAGCTATTGATAAAAATGAGGGGGAGTTGCTCTAGTAGATGCTTACAAATAATTATAAAGCTAAACAATTAAAACATGTTTCTACTGCCACCAAAAAAAAAAAGTCAACTGTGGAACAACATTGACTGCACAGAAACAGATCCAAGTTTATGTTATGATTAATGAGATCAAAATTGTATTTATAGTAGTCCCCCCTTATTCATGGGGGATACACTGCAAGATCCCACAGTAGATGCCTGAAGCCATGGATTGTACCAAACCCTGTATGTACTATGTTTTCATACACATACAACCTATGATAAAGTGTAATTTGTAAATTATTCACAGTCATAGATAAACAAAAACTAATAATAAAATAGAACAATTTTAACAATATATGGTAATAAAACTTAAGTAAATGGGGTCCCCTCTCTTTCTCAAAATGTCTTACTGTACTATACACCCCTATTTTCAAACTGTGATTAACCACAGATAACTGAAACTATGGAAAGTGAAACCATGGATAAGGTGGGGCTACCGTATTATATTTCTAGAAGTTGCTAAACTTTTGAGAAAATTTTGGGATGGGACATAAACATATTTCGAAGAAGCTTCCAGTGTTATAGTTTATATTCTTCATTTCTTTGATGCACAGAAGAACCCATTTCACTCTTTTGGAGTCAATCCAGGTTTGTGGGGTAAAGGACTGTAGCTGATGAGGATTGGAAGTCCGTGAGATATAAGGGGTTAGGAGGCAAGTTTTTGCAATATACTTGAACAACATGGCACCTATGTGGAATGGAAGAGAAAGCAGCGTAGTGGTGAGGAAACTCTGGTGGGTGAAGACATTCTCAGGTGAAATTTTTAGAAGAAAAAGCTATTTTAAGAGAATTTTAAATCATTTTCCTTGGTATTAGAAACACAATTCTAATTCAATGTTTTTCAAGAGATTGCAATAATGGTTTGGAGTGTTTTAAATGGTGCACTGGGAAGTTTACTCTTGCTTGTTAAAGAATGCCACATTAGAACTGCTTTCAAGAACAGAACAAGTTATCCTGAATTTATGTTGGATAAATTTTTTAAAATGTAGTACATAATAAAAGCGGACTTTTTATTCAGTGGAATGAGGGAAATTTACTAAAAATGATGTTGGGTCTATTGGTTATTTAGTAGGAAAATAAAAAGAGCTCATACATACACACATACAGAGATGATATTGAGTTAGAGTAAAAGTTTAAATGTAAATCAAGAAGGAACTCAAAATACAGAAAAAGATACATGTTAATATTTATTTTATTAAAAAGTGTTGGAATGATTTAAATAAAACAAAAGAAAGAAACCATATAGAAAAATATTGTTAGACTATATTTTTAAATCATCATAAATACAACCACAACTTAAATGAAAAATCAATAGTTAATATGTGAAATGTATATCAATTTTAAGCATTGCGCTATATTAAAAGAAAGTGCTTATAGTGCAGTACGTGAACCTTAAATGAGCAAAATATATTGTATTAGTTTTCTAGCCATTGTCACAGAAAATTAGTACAAATGCAGAAGCTTAGAACAAAACCCATTTATTACATCAGCTTTCTAAGTCAGAAGTCTAGGGAGAGCTCAACTGGGCTTTCTGCTTAGGATGTCACAAGACTCAAGTCACAGAGACATTGTAATTCTCATCTGAGTTTGGGGTCCTCTTCCAAGCTCACTGCCTGTTGGCAGAATTCATTTCCACGTATGACTGAGGTCCATAGCAACTATAAATATAGGTGCATCTAATAAAATATCCTCAAAGACATGAATCAAAATTGATATAATATTTAGGTAGAAAGCAAAAAATCTACCATTTATGGTATGATATTTTAATATATGTTTCTAGGTTCTTTATAAGTCAAGAAGGCAAAAGTAGGATATAAAAGATCTAAATAACACAATTAGTAAGCTTAACCTAATAGACTCAAATATATGATAAAGTTATTGTCTATGTTCTCATCTATGTGCCAGGTGGTAGATTCACCAGTGCCTATTCACCAGTGCCTATTACATTAATTACATTACATTACATTAAAAAACAAATTAAAAATAATAAACTGGCTGGGCGCGGTGGCTCACAACTGTAATCCCAGCACTTTGGGAGGCAAGGTGGGTGAATCACCTGAAGTCAGGAGTTTGAGACCAGCCTGGCCAACATGGTGAAACCCTGTCTCTACTAAAAAAATACAAAAATTACCAGGGTGTGGTGGCATGCACCTTAGTCCCAGCTACTCAGGAGACTGAGGCAGGAGAATCGCTTGAACCTGAGAGGTGGAGGTTAAAGTGAGCTGAGATCGCACCACTGCATTCCAGCCTGGGCTATTAAGCAAGACTCTGTTTCAAAAAAAATTAAAATTAAAATTAAAATTAAAATTAATGTAATAGGCACTGGTGAATCTACCACCTAGCACATAGATGAGAACATAGACAATAACTTTATAATATATTCAAGTCTATTAGGTCAAGCTTACTAATTGTGTTGTTTAGATCTTTTATATCCTACTTTTGCCTTCTTGACTTATAAAGAACCCAGAAACATATATTAAAATATCATACTATAAATGGTAGATTTATTGCTTTCTACCTAAATATTATATCAATTTTGATTCATGTCTTTGAGGATATTTTATTAGATGCACCTATATTTATAGTTGCTATGTTTTTCTTTTCTTTTCTTTCTGTTTTTAGACAAAGTCTGGCTCTATCGTCCAGGCTGGAGTGCAGTGGTGCAATCTCGGCTCACTGCAACCTACACCTCCTGGACTCAAGCCATCCTCCCACCTCTGCCTTCCAAGTAGTTGGGATTACAGACACGCACCACCATGCCCAGCTAATTTTTGTTTTTTGCAGAGGCAGGTTTTAGCCATGTTGCCCAGACTGGTCTTGAAATCATAAGCTCAAGCGGTCCACCTGCCTCAGCCTCCCAAAGTGCTGGGATTACAGGTGTGAGCCCCTGTGCCCAGCCTTTGTTTTCCTTGACTAGGTGAATGTTTATCATTATATCAGTCTTTCTGTCCTACGATATCTTTTTCCTTAAAATTTGTTTTTGACATTAATAAATAAACGCCATTTCTTAGAATTAGTTTTTGCATAATATGTCCTTTCTATGTTTTACACTTAATCTCTGAAATGACTTTTATGCTTTAGGTATGTGTCTTGTAAACAGTATAACCTGAATTTATGATTTTGCATTCAATTTGTCAGTCTCTGTCTTCTGGTCACAAGTTTAGTCTATTTGTAGTTACTAAAATTAATGAGATGTATTGACTTTATATTATAATATTTTTCACTTTAATCTTTCCCATGATTTTACTGACTTTTTTATCCTGTTGTCGCATGTCTAGAACCCATTCTAACATGTGTATCAGGCCTGGGTATGCTGCCTGGAAGGTGGATGTATTTTGCCTCCTACTTTGGGATGTGTTTTCAGTCTCTGTCAAGGTTTTGGTTGCTCATTTCTGGCATCCTCCTTCACACAGGAAATACCCAGACTCAGCCATTTGCAGATTTTGAAACATTGTTCTGGTTCTCTGCATATGGCCTGTCCCTGGACTCAACTCAACACCCCATGTCCTCGCTCAGACTATATAACTCTAGACCCAGCCTGTTAATATGGACTGCCTGTCTGCTTGTATTTTTTCAGAGAAACCTCTAAAAGAAATTATCAATTTCTTCAAAACATTAACTTGATAGGTTCTTTTTAAATCAAGTAATCTATTGGAAATTATATGGGTGCTCTAAACTATATCCCCTGGATAATCTAACCTGTAAATAGTTTGAACAGTTATCTTTTACAGCCAGAATAATGATACTAGTTAATACCAGAGGACTAACCTATGGGTAGCTCATTTCAAAATTTACTCTGAGAGCTTAAAAGAAAATATATTTTGTAGGGAAACAAAGCATATTTTTCCAAGATCCAGTCAGTAGTGAAGGCATCTTTTTTTTTTTTTTTTTTCTTTTGAGACAGAGTCTCGCTCTGTCGCCCAGGCTGGAGTGCAGTGGCGGGATCTCGGCTCACTGCAAGCTCCGCCTCCCGGGTTCACGCCATTCTCCTGCCTCAGCCTCCCAAGTAGCTGGGACTACAGGCGCCCGCCACCACGCCCGGCTAATTTTTTGTATTTTTAGTAGAGACGGGGTTTCACCGTTTTAGCCGGGATGGTCTCGATCTCCTGACCTCGTGATCCGCCCGCCTCGGCCTCCCAAAGTGCTGGGATTACAGGCGTGAGCCACCGCGCCCGGCGTGAAGGCATCTTAATAGTATCCAGGATCCTCACATGTGAAGAAAAGTGAACTAGGTAACAAATGAGAAGACTTACATACGCTTAGTTCTTGCAGGAGGAAAGGAACTATCTGGGTATGGAAAAGGTTACTAGGCAAGACTGTGATTGAAGAGAAAGGATAATGATAAAGGGGCTTTGCAGAAGCTCTGGTTAGAAGAAATAACTAATAGTAATGAATATGTATCTCTCCAACCAATGAGAAGCATATGATGAGGCAGAGTCACTTGTCTCTGGCAGTCCAAGCTACTAAGAAGCACAAATAAAATATATAGTAGCAGGGGGAGATGGGAAGGGTGAGAGAATGTAGGATAAATTACCATTCAAACTGCCAGTAGAAATATAAAATTTTAAGGAATAAATTCCACAAAAAATTACAGTGTTTTAATCACAAAAATGTACCATGCAGCATAAAGACATAAATGATTTAAGAAACATGACATGTTCAGAGACGGGAGTGTAATTTTGGGCTTGTATTTTCAAACAAAATTCATATGACAATGAGAATTCAAACAGTTTAGATTATTAAAATTAAACTTAATGAAGTTGGTAGCTATATTCTGGTTATGTACAAGAATGTATCCTTTTCTTAGGAAATACTGAAGTACTTAAGGATAAAGAGTTCTGATGAGTGCAATTTCAGAAAAAAAATATATAAGTACAAAATACTATTCTTATTGCAAGTTTTCTTTAAGTTTTACTTTTTTTTTTTTTTGAGCAGAATAGTTGCCCAGGTGCAGTAGCTGATTTATTTATTTACTTATTTTTAATATATATATTTTATTATACTTTAAGTTCTAGGGTACATGTGCACAACGTGCAGGTTTGTTACATATGTATACATGTGCCATGTTGGTGTGCTGCACCCATTAACTCATCATTTACATTAAGTATATCTCCTAATGCTATCCCTCCCTCCTTCCCCCTCCCCACAACAGGCCCCCGTGTGTGTGATGTTCCCCTTCCTGTGTCCAAGTGTTCTCATTGTTCTTTTTTACAAACTAAAATGAAAAAATCTACATGAGGCTATAAAAATATTACCTCTATAAAATAAAAACAAAATGGAATGTAAAAAGAGACTGGACACACCATAATGTGAAGATTCTCCTTTTTTGTGTACTCATATATCCAAAAAGGAAACTTTCCATTTTGTAGTTGGGAAGTAGAGCCAAGATGTAGGAGTAGGAGGGGAGTTGAGAACCAACAATTCAGTAAAAATGCTTTCAGTCAATTCCCATCTGTACTCAAAAAAAAAAAAATTTTTTTTTTTTCAGACAGTCTTGCTTTTGTCCCCCAGGCTGGAGTGCAATGGCTCGATCTCGGCTCACTGCAACCTCCGCCTCTTGGGTTCAAGCGATTCTCCTTCCTCAGCCTCCCGAGTAGCTAGGATTACAGGCACCTGCCACCATGCTTGGCTAATTTTTGCATTTTTAGTAGAGACAGGGTTTCACCATGTGGCCAGGCTGGTCTCGAACTCCTGACCTCAGGTGATCTGCCCTCCTCGGCCTCCCAAAGTGCTGGGATTATAGGTGTAAGCCACTGCACCTGGCCTCAAAATTTAAATAATTAGGTAACAAACTATGACACAATTATATACAGTCCTTCAAAACAATGTTTTAGAAAGATATTTAATGACAAAATAGAGTTGTTTACCATATGTTAAATTTAAAAGGAGTTACAAATTAGCACATTCACTGTGATCTAAAACCTCTAAATCTGTTTATGTTTTTATTTATATCTACATTTATAGCTTTGAAGCCCTCCCAATATCAACTGTCACCCAAGGTTCTAAAATACAATAAAAGTGATCTTGTTTTCTTCTGTTCTTTGTTATAATTCTAAGACGGTCTGACAAGTCTATTGTGATTGACTTTAAAAATACAGATGTTAAATGAAATCTGTATGTGGAACTATTGGTCTCAATGATATATGCAACTCTGGAAGTTGGGTACTCAGCTTTATCTAATCTCTCCCTTTGCTCACCTCCACCAGGCTTGCAACGCCCTCTACAGTCCAGGCAACAGGTACATGGTTTTCAATCCCATTTGAACTGCTTCTGGGTCTCCCTATGTTGCCTAGGCTGGTTTCATACTCCTGAGCTCAAGCAATCCTCCCACCTTGGCCTCTCAAATTGCTCAAGCATCTTCTCTGAACCCAGTTGAATAAAACTGGAAATTAATAAGAAGAGAAATTTGGGAAACTATAAAAATACATGGAAATTAAACAATATGCTCCTGAATGACCAGTGGGTCAATGAAGAAATTAAGAGGGAAATTGAAACATTTATTGAAACAAATGACAATGAAAACACAACATACCAAAACCCATGGGATACAGCAAAAGCAGTAATAAGGAGGAAGTTTATAGCTATAGGTGCCTACGTCAGAAAAGGAGAAACTTTAAATTAGCAATCTAATGATGCATCTTAAAAACTAGAAAAGCAAGAGGAAACCAAAGCAAAAATTAGTTGAAGAAAAGAAAAAGTAAAGATCAGAGTGGAAATAAATGAAATTGAAAAAAATACAAAAGATCTATGAAACAAAAATTTGCTTTTTTGAAAAGTTAAACAAAATTGACAAACCTTTAGCCAGACAAACTAAGAAAAAAAGAGAGAAGATCCAGATAAATAAAATCATAAATGGAAAAGGAGACATTACAACTGATACTGCAGAAATTCAAAGGATCATTAGTGGCTACTATGAGCAACTATATGTTATAAATTGGAAAACCTAGAAGAAATGGACAAAGTCCTAGACACATGCAACCTACCAAGATTAAAACAGGAAATAACTCAAAACCTAAAAAGATCAATAACAAGTAACAAGATCAAAGTCACAATAAACAGTCTACCAGTAAATAAATTCCAGGACCTGATGACTTCACTGCTGAATGCTACCAAACATTCAAAGAAGAATACCAATCCTACTCAAATTATTCCAAAAAATAGAGAAGGAGGGAATACTTCTACAAGTATTTTATGAGGGAATACTTCTAAACTCATTCTATGAGCCCAGTATTACCTTGATACCAAAACCAGACAAAGACACATAAAAAAAAACTGTAGGCCAATATCTCTGATGAATATTGATGCAAAAATCCTCAACAAAATATTAGTAAACTGAATTAAACAATACATCAGAAAGATCACTCATAACAATCAAGTGGGATTTATAGCTGGGATGCAAGGATGGTTCAACATACACAAATTAACGTGATACATCACATCAACACAATGAAGATAAAAATAAAATGTTCATTTTAATTGATGCTGAAAAAAGCATTTGATAAAATTTAACATCGCTTCATGTGAAAAATTCTCAAAAACTGGGGATATAAAGAACATACTTCAACATAATAAAAGCCATATATGACAGACCCACAGCTAGTATCATACTGAATGGGGAAAAACTGAAAGTCTTTTTTCTAAGATCTGGAACATGACAAGGATGCCACTGTCACCACTGTTATTCAACATAGTACTGGAAGTCCTAGCTAGAGCAATTAGACAAGAGAAAGATATACATGGCATCCAAATTTAAAAGGAAGAAGTCAAATTATCCTTGTTTGCAGAGGATATGCTCCTATATTTATAAAAACTTAAAGACTCCACAAGAATACTATAAGAACTGATAAATTCAATAAAGTTCGAGGATAGAAAATCAGCATATAAAATCAGTAGAATTTCTATATGCCAATAGTGAACAATGTGAAAAAGAAATTTAAAAAGTAATTCTATTTAAAATAGCCACACACAAAATGAAATACCTAGGAATTAACTTGACCAAGGAAGTGAAAAATCTCTATAATAAAAGAAATTGAGGAATAAGAAATCTCTATAATAAAAGAATTTTTTTATAATAAATTCTGTATTCTATTATAATTCTATAATAAAGGAAATTGAGAATAAGAAATCTCTATAATAAAAGAAATTTTTTTATAATAAAAAAAGGAAACATGTTCCATGTTCATGGCTTGGAAGAATCAATAGTGTTAAAATGTCCATACTACCCAAAGCAATCTACAGATTCAACACAATCACTATCAAACAACCAATGACATTTCTCACAGAAATGGAAAAAAATCTTAAAATTATATGGAACCACAAGACTCAGAATAGCTAAAGCCATCCTAAGCAAAAAGAATAAAACTAGAAGAATCACATTACTGACTTCAAATTATGCTACAGAGCTATGGTAACCAAAACAGCATGGTACTGGCATAAAAACAGACGTATAGACCAGTGGAATGGACTAGAGAACCCAGAAGCAAATCCACAAGCCTACAGTGAACTCATTTTTGACAAAAGTGCCAAAAACATACACTGGGGAAAAGACAGTCTCTGCAATAAGTGATGCTGGGAAAACTGGATATTCATATGCAGAAGAATAAAACTAGACTCGTTTCTCTCATCATATACAAAAATCAAATCAAAATGGATTAAGGACTTAAATCTAAGACCTCAAACCATGAAACTACTACAAGAAAACATTAGGGAAAATCTCCAGGACTTTGGTCTAGGCAAAAATTTCCTGAGTGATACTCTACAAACACAAGCAACCAAAGCACCAATGGAGAAATGGGATTACATCAAGTTAAAAAGCTTCTGAACACAAAGGATACAATCAACAAAGTGAAGAGACAACCCACAGAATGGAAGAAAATATCTCCAAACTACCCATCTGATGAGGGATGAATAACCAGAATATATAAGGATTCAAACAACTCTATAGGCAAAAACTAATAATCCAATCAAAAGTTGGGCAAAAGATTTGAATAGATGTTTCTCAAAATAAGACATACAAATGACAAACAGGCATATGAAAATGTGCTCAACATCATTGATCATCAGAGAAATGCAAATCAAAACTACAATGAGGTATCATCTCACTCCAGTTAAAAATGGCTGATATCCAAAAGACAGGCAATAGCAAATGCTGGGAAGGATGTGAAATAAAGAACACTTGGACACTATTGGTGGGAACGTAAATTAGTACAACTACTATGGAGAACAGTTTGGAGGTTCTTCAAAAAACTAAAAATTGAGCTCTCATATGATCCAGCAATCCCACTGCTGGGTATACACTGAAAAGAAAAAAAAAGTCAGTATATCAAAGTATCCATCAACAGTTGAATGGATAAAGAAAATGTGGTACATATACATAATGGAGTACTATTCAGCCATAAAAAAGAATGAGATCCAGTCATTTGCAACAACAGGCATGGCAGTTCCATAAGTGAAATAAGCTAGGCACAGAAAGACAAACATCGCATGTTCTTAGTTATTTGTAGGATCTAACAATTAAAATGATTGGATTTATGAACATAGAGAGTAGAAGGATGATTACCAGAGGTTGGAAAGGTAGTGGGAGATCAGGGAGGGAGGGATATGGGGATGGTTAATGGGAAAAAATTGGAAAGAATGAACAAGATCTACTATTTGATAGCACAACAGGGCAACTATAGTAAATAGTAACTATACATTTAAAATAACTTCAAGAGTGTAACTGGATTGTTTGCAACTCAATGGATAAATGCTTGAGGGTATGGATGCCCATTCTTCATGATTTACTGATTTCACATTGCATTCTTTTTTCAAAACATCTCATGTACCTCATACATATATACACTTACTATGTGCCCACAAATATTAGTAATAAACACAATTTAAACAAATTAGAGCCCACACATCCCATATACATACTTCCCATATTAAAGCCCAAACATCTCATATAAACACTTTATTATTTGAAATTCTTGGCCATGGAATATCGTATACTTGCATTTAATTTCTTCACCAACTCTATCCAAAAACAAAAAAAAACCCTTCAATCCCCATATGCACAGATCTTTGTTAGTCACATCTGCTCATGGACTCAACAAACAGTAATTGAGTCCACTGACTGCATTTCGGAAATCCACACTCATGGTCTTCATCTGTATGTTAAATAAATCAGAGCCATCGTGAGAGCATGTCATCATGGGGAACACAAGTGCCTGAGTTAGATTGATCAAAAAGATAAAATTTGTTATCATAACAAAGGGCTAACTCACAGAAGCCAAAGAAGATATGTAAAAGGATTGATCTAAGGATAGTACACTGGGTGTTATACAAGAAATCCTCTGTATATTTCTTATCTCTAATTTTCTCTGCCTGTCATCTTCATTATTTTATATATCTCTGCTTTCAGATTCACATAGTACAAAATGGTCCCTGCCAAGATGTTCTCAATTCATCTCTCCTTTGCCCTAGGGCTTCTTTTCCTAGACCAGTCAGTTGCTTACTGTATACCAGTAAAGTGTTGCCAGGGGATGAGTTCACATTACAGTACATGAACATAGTTACTCCTGATGTGAGCTTATGGAGGGGATGAGGGAGTGGTGCAGGTGATACACAAAGGATCTGCTGGTCTGCACATCAGACTCAATATTCTCTACTACAAGGAGACAGGATATAAGCCCAGTCCACCTGCTTCGTTCTTTGACAGTACATTTCATTCAAAATAAGTACAAGTGCAAAAATCTGTGGTAGTAAATCTACTGCACTTTTCTTATGTCTGACACTAATAACCCAAGAAAAACTATAATAAAATATTTCTGATTTTGAAATTAGCCTGCCACGGTTTGCATGGAAATTTACTACTGGTAAGCCCTTGTTTCTCTATCCCCTTACTCAGCTTTCTTCATGTGTATCTTCATAGCAAGAATCACCACCTAATACTGCATATCTGTATATTATGTGATTATTTTTTCTTTCCTGCTAGAATTAAGACTCATAAAGGTAGGGACATTTTTACCTTGCTGACTATTTTATCTGGAATAGTACATAGCACTTAGTAGGAGCTAAATAATTATTTGACAAATGAATGGATACATTAATTGATGAATTTGATGTCCAAATCTAGGCTGCTTTTGTTTACATAAACCTCTGTTTTCCACTAGTCACATTCTCTGCCTGCTACATGGAGAGAACCATTATTCAGGATTTCAGTTCTGCTCTAAACACTTGGATCCTTTCGCAATCAGGGATCTTCAATTTCTCCACTTGGTGTTTTGCTCAACAAATGAAAGTGCCTTTGAATATTCACACTTGGTCTTCCAAAACCACATCAGCTTTTAGAACAATGTTTCTAGACAATTTATTAGTAACCCTTCAAAGGTGTGCTCCCCAATTTTTATGAATGTGTAATTATATTTAAACTGAAATGACATAATGTTTCTGTGTCAAATATTGTAGAGAAAGTTGACCATCTTTGCATACGCTATTTGCCATTTGAGTTCTTCTGTGAATTGCCTGTTCACCTACTTTCCAACATTGCTATTAGGTTATTTAACTCTTTCTTATTGATTTGAGTAGTACTTTATTTCTTCCCTTGTGTAATATATGTATTTAAAGTATCTAAATATATTTCATGACTATGTTGTCCAACTTTTGTAATACATATCAACAAATATCTACCTGTTATATCCATTTTTAAGAAATACATAAAATGTAATAACTTGTACTTTTCTCACCCTTCTTTGCTTTTCTAAACAGTATTTATGTATTTCAACTTTTTAAAGTTTAAATATAATATACTTAAGTGTAGGTTGTTTTTGTTTTTTTAGTCCTGCTTGGTATTCTCCTAGATTTGTAATCGGTGATTCGTTGTCTGTCATTAATTTTGGCAAGTTCTCACCTGGCTTCTACAACATCAGACTCTTGCGGCTTCCTCAGCACCCAGCTTTTGCAGTGTAGAGCAGCCAGCAACGCCCAGCAGCTTCGTCAGGCTTCGTCAGACACCCCCTTTAGCAGTTTTACAGCAGAGAGTGACCACCACCACCCCATTTCCATGAACCTTACAGGAACAGCTTTCCCCAACACCCTAGAGGAAGGATTTCTGACAAGTCCCAGAGGGTGGATTACAGCAAACTACCGCTGGAGCAGCAGTTCAACAACTACCTCTCTGCCATTCAGTGAGCCATGGAAGTGCCTCCCTAACAAGGTCTGACCTCACCCTTGGAAAGAAAACTGGAGAAGGCTCCTTCTTGGGTACTCTATCTTAACCTAGGTGATGGGTTAATATCGAGTGTCAACTTGATTGAATTGAAAGATGCAAAGTATTGTTCCTGGGTGTGTCTGTGAGGGTGTTGCCAAAGGAGATTAACATTTGAGTCAGTGGACTGGGAGAGGCAAGACCCACCCTCAATCTGGGTGGGCACCATCTAATCAGCTGCCAGCACCACTAGGATAAAAGCAGGCAGAGGACCGTAGAAGGACTAGACTAGCGGTCTTCCACCCTTCATTTTTCTCCCTTGCCAGGGGCTCTGAGACCTTCAACCACAGACTGAAGGCTGCACTGTCAGCTTCCCTACTTTTGAGGTTTTGGGACTCGGACTGGCTTCCTTGCTCCTCAGATTGCAGACGGTCTATTGTGGGACTTCACCTTGTGATCATGTGAGTCAACACGCTTTAATAAACTCCCCTTTATACATACATCTATCATATTAGTTCTATCCCTCTAGATAACCCTGACTAATACACTAGGGAAGTAGCCATTTCGTATTATATTATATTATGCACTATTATATCTGCCACTGCTATATTATTTAGAGTTCTCTTTACTTCTTTCTAGCCAATCTCTTATTACTCAGATCTCTTGTTAAGATTCGTATTTCTTTATATTGATCTTTCTCATTTTACATTACTGTGTGATTTCCTCTCTCTCCTGACTAGACCCATACTTATAAACCCATTAAATTTCATTCAGGCATGAATCTAGAATAAAAATTATTCTCAGACATGCAAAGATTAGAAAAATTTGCTTCCAGAATATCCTTTTTTGGATATTAACAGACGGTGTGTCGTAGCAAAATTAGGTAGTCAAAGCAAGTAAGAGGAAGATATCAGATACCTGAAACATTATCTTCTACCAAAGAAAACAATGAAGAGAATCCCAAGATGACATCTGCTCAGCAGTCCTGGAAATCATTTCTTTTAGATTGAAACTAGAGAACTAAGGGCACCAGGAAGTGGATAAACATGATAAGTATGATCCCATAAATTTTACAGTATTGTTGAGATATTCAAAACATCTGAGGATATGATTAAAAAGTAGACTACATATATGAGGGAAAAGAAATTGCAAATAGAACCTTCATAAAAATTAAAAGATGCCCAACAAAGGAAATATATTCTCAATAATGAGCACATACGTGTTTAAAAAATACCTGGTTACAAACAAACCATAAATACTATCGGGTTTCAAAATATTAAAGATAAATTATAAATGCCAGAAGTTGGGATATGAAATAAGGAAAAAAGTAGAGCAGGAAAGAATAGGGTTAGCAGTAGCTTCATCTACAAGGAGAAAACTCAAGAGATCTTGAATATAACTGACAGAATAATAGAGTACTGTGTTTAAAAATACAGGGATTGGCCGGGCGCGGTGGCTCACGCCTGTAATCCCAGCACTTTGGGAGGCCAAGGCGGGCGGATCACGAGGTCAGGAGATCGAGACCATCCTGGCTAACACGGTGAAACCCCATCTCTACTAAAAATACAAAAAAAAAATTAGCCGGGTGTGGTGGCGGGCGCCTGTAGTCCCAGCTACTCAGGAGGCTGAGGCAGAAGAATGGCGTGAACCCGGGAGGCGGAGCTTGCAGTGAGCCAGTCGCGCCACTGCACTCCAGCCTGGGGGACAGAGCGAGACTCTGTCTCAAAAATAAATAAATAAATAAATAAAAAATAAAAAATGCAGGGATTACCTACGGAGGAACTAAACATAGTAAGATAATAAAATCACAAGAAAGATGTCAGAGACCTAATTTTTGGTGGTTTAAATTATCTGGTTTCATAACAGGAAGTCAATGGATGTCTAAATTAATACCCCCACATACAAAAACATACGCATATTACTGTTAAAGTCATTGAACTGGGGATAATGACAGTGGAGGAAAGGAATGGCGTGAAGGGCTCTTGTTTTCATTAAAATACATCTCTATTGTTTAATCTTCAAACTATATACTGATATCCCAATACATTTAAAATAGTAATTGTAAAGTAAAATATCATTCTTACTGAAATATCAAGAATGCTGCAGATGGTGGCAGAATGTTCAATGTGAAAAAGGATAGTGGCTTGCACTAGAATGACAGCAGTGAAGTTTGTTTTAAGCATGTAATTTTATAGTACCAATCTCTTACCTGTGAGAGCATGTAAAAGACTGAGCTCCTCAGTTCTCAAACAAAAGCAGACTTTAACTCCTGCTCCAGCCATGCTTCTTTGCTTCTCAAACATCCAAAACTGCATCTCAGATTGCATCATATTCTGAACACATGGAAGGACGAGTACGGGAAATAAGAGTGGCTGTGTTACCACCCTCAAGGAATCCTGACCCCTCAAATCCAGACCTGCCAAGGGGCAAGGAAAAAAGGGAAAGCGGCAGCTCCCTTGAATTTCTAAAGTGCAATGTCCCCACCTACTGGTGAACATGACCCAGTTAACATCCCTACAGCTGTCCATGTCCTCCTAAAACAAGAACCTTGAACTTCTTCCAGTAGTATAGAATCCGTGTCCTTTAGCACAGTTCTACACCAAAAGATAAACAAAATATTAATCCAAAATTTTTACAATGCAATGAGGGTGTGGGAATGATAATTTTAAAATATGCCGCACAAGGTTAGTTTTAAAATAACGCCATCGTTAGCATTCCGTTTCCCTAGTATCTATCTACTCCTCACAGCTTCTGCTCAGATTGTCTTCTCTCCATTGTCTCTTCCATCTCCCTGTACAAACCTCCTCTCTTACACTGCCTTTCCTGCCAACACACTGCTTCCCCATGTGTTAAGTTGGCAGCCTTTTTTCCCTCTCATTGTTTTCTGGCTTCTGATATTTCAGATAAGAAATTTGATTCCAGTCTGGTTCTCGTCCTTTTATGTGTAAACTGTTTATTTCCTTCTTGGAAGCCAATAGATCATTTTTATTACCATTTTATTTTCTGATTGTGTAGTAAAAATTTTCATCCCTACAGCTACAGAACTATTTGTATATTTTCATGATTCCACTTGATTCCTTTAAATTGCATGAATCTTATCTAGCCAGAGACTAAAGTCTTCCTTTCCTTCAGAAAAAAAAAAAACTTTGATTTTTTATTGTATCCTATATTTTTTCTATTTTTCCGGCACACCTATTATACAGCAGTTGGAGATGGCTGTATAGATAGAACTTTCTCAACATATTTTCACAATTTTATGTGTTCCAAGGTAGTTAAAACAGGAATCTGATTTCTTTTGTACTTTCTTTCCCACCCTCCTATTTTTTTTAAGACTCAGAACCACTACTTGAACACTCTAATTGATAACTGCTTAGTTATTTCTCACCTGCCTTAAAGAGTGTTTCTTCATTATGCTCAAGAATGAGAGCAATTTAAAATGAAATCATTTTAACCTGTCTCCTCAGAGACAAGTTCTGTTGGCTTCTTTTTTTCCTATGTATTATGTGTTGGTAAAATTTTCCAGTTTCTTTGCATGTCTTGTAATTTTTGTTTAATATTGATATTTTACATAAATTCTGATTCCACAATCCCTAGGAGTAAGTGCTCTTGCTGTTTGTTGTTTGTGTTAGTGACTTGCTTGGGCTAGTTCTTCCAAGTCTGTTTCCCCCTAGTATGCAGCCTATGGTGTCTCTGCTAAGTTTGTTTAATAATTTTTGTTTTCATTATTAAGCCTGATTTCCTACAATCACCCCTGGTCATCATAGCTTAATGTCAGCCTATGACTGATGAAAGATTCTGCTTAAACAATTGAGTCAGTAAGGCTTCCACACTTTGCCATTGAACTGAGTGGGATGTGGGAAATGCTTTCAAAGTTCCGGGACTTTACAGGTATGTCCCAATTTTTACTTTCTGCCTTCACATGTCCTTATATTCAGCCAGGTGTCTCCTGAGCAGGCTTAACCAAGCTGATGCAGACAGCTTTCCACACCACTGGGGATAAATGAGATTTTAGCAATGCTATTTTTGACTATCTCATTCTCTGGATCTCCCTGGTAAAATTCCTGACTGGCCTGCCATCATGACTTCAAGCTAGTTGAGATGTTAGCCTTCCATAATTATTTGCCCTGAGGTCTATGCTGTTTTCTACAAAACGCCAAGACGTTATTTTGAGGGTGTGTGTGTGTGTGTGTGTGCATGCATGTGCGTGAGCTCTTTTCCAAAAAATGTGTGTGAGCTCCCTCTGGCAGGTTAAGAAGAGCTGTTTAATCCCATGGCCTGTCCTCCCACACAGGTAGAAATTCTGCACCATAAGTTGGGGTGAAGGAAGTTGGTGAAAGCATACTCTGGCCAAAATAATACTGATTTTGCTGTTTTTATTAGGATTCAGTTTAGATTCTCTTAACTAAATGCTTCTCAATGTTCGTATCCTTTGGTCAATTTCCAGAGTCTTTAAATGATTGTTTTTGGCAACTTTGTCCAATGTTCTCACTGCTTTTTAGATTCGTTGAAATGTTTTGATGTCAATATATGTGGTATATTTTTATGTATTTTCTACGTGAATTTGAAAATAAGCTGTATATAGCATTTGGTACATACACACTTAGGATTATATGTCTTTTTGATGTATTGACTCTTTTTCATTATGAAAAATTTATCTCCAGTAATATTCCTTATTTGTAAAGTTTTCTTTGTCTGATATTAATGTAGCCACTCCAGCTTTCTTGCCCAGTGTATATTTTTTCATCCTTATATTTTTAACCTGTGTCTTCATACTTAAAATGCATTTCTTATGGACAGTGTATGGTCAAAAGTCTTGCTTATTTATCCAGTTTAGAAATATGCATTTAATGTAATTACTGAAGTACTGGATTTAAGTCTACCCCCTTGCTGCTTTTTGTTTTTGGCCCATCTGTTCTTTTTCTCTTATTCCTCTTTACTTGCCTTTCTTAGTATATTTTTCTCCTTCCTAATGGTAACTGAGTAGAAAGATGTCAGAACTTAGGTCTTTAAGATTTGTGGAAATTTAAAACAATTTTTATTTTATTTTATTTTAGGCAGAGTCTTGCTCTGTTGCCCAAACTGGAGTGCAGTGGCGCACTATTTGTAGAACTTGAGTGGAAAATCCTAAATAAGAATACCACAGAGGAGAGCCCAAAATTCTGCATTTGAAAGAAATTTGCATGCAGAATAGGGGCCCCTCTTTGAGTTTTCATGTTTTTTGGGGATTTTTCTCCTCAATAGCAACTAATTCTTTCGGCACCAAACTCCAACCTCCGTCTTCTCTTCCTGGTAAGACTGCATCTTTCTGCTTGAGCTTTGTTCTACCATCTACTGCTTTAGACTGAAAAGCACTCTCAGGGGAAACTCACAGTAAACGTTGAACTCACCTAGTTACTTTCCTTTTCTCAATATTTATCTCCTGATGTATTCTGCATGCTTCAAAAGATCTCCAATGATTGCAAATTTTTAAGTCATTTTTATAGATTTCATAATTTTTGTTTCTAGAAAGGCTAGACGTAGACATATGGTTTTTAATATAAGTAAGTAGCTATAGAAATAAATGTATAGATGTTTATGTGTATGTCCACAAATAGGATCTTAGACTTTTGACATTCCCATAGCAATGAGCACACTTAACACACAGATCTTGATCTAGCTTTTTAACCAGACTCTTCTAAAAGAACCCAGAGCTATGACAGATTCTAGAGCTTGAGAAAAAAAATAAAAGATGATCATAGAAAGTAAGGATATTTAAGAATGGTGGATACGGCCGGGCGCGGTGGCTCATGCCTGTAATCCCAGCACTTTGGGAGGCCGAGGCAGGCGGATCACGAGGTCAGGAGATCGACAACATCCTGGCTAACACGGTGAAACCCCGCCTCTACTAAAAAATACAAAAAAAAAAATTGCCGGGCGTGGTAGCGGGCGCCTGTAGTCCCAGCTACTTGGGAGGCTGAGGCAGGACAATGGGGTGAACCCTGAAGGCGGAGCTTGCCGTGAGCCGAGATCGCGCCACTGCACTCCAGCCTGGGCGACAGAGGCGAGACTCCGTCTCAAAAAAAAAAAAAAAAAAGAATGATGGATACGTGTCAGGTGTCAGAGATAAGAATATGTTCAAAGAATGGTAGATACATGCTCTTTACACAGATAGGCAAAAAATAACCAGAAGAAAGAATGCATACCACAAATACCTAAATCACAATAAATTCAGTATGATCATATTAATAACAAAAAAAATCTTCATTAAAAATATGTTTTACCAGGAATAAAAATAAAACTTGAGTCATAATGATGGAAAAACCATAAGAAGAACATAACTTTTCTAAATATGTATGCATCTAATAATATGACTTAAAAATAAATGATACAAAAATTGACAGAAATGAAAATATAGATAAATTTGCAATCGTAATTAGAGATTTTTAAATGCTTCTCTCAATAATTGGTAAAAGAAATGAACAAAAAATCAGGAAAATATATTAAACAGTGGAATAGCACTAATAATTAAATCAACCTAACTGACACTTATAAGACATTAGACTAGAATATGCAATGGCAAAATACATATTATTTCAGGTGTACATGAAATATCCATCAAGATGAACAACATACTGGATCATAAATTTAGTCTCAAGAAATTCAACAGTATGCAAACTGGGTAGGGTATGTTCTCTGAACAAAAAAGATAAAAATAAAAATACCTCAACTAAATTAGAAAGCAGCACCAAACTGATAACCTGGAAATCCCCTAAATATACAGAAATTAATCAACATACTACCAAATAAGCCATAGGTCTAAGAGGAAATTACAAAGAAAATTAGAGAATATTTTAAGTGAATGATCATGAAGTTCATTATATCAAAATGTATGAGATAAAGCTGAAAGAGTGCTTGAAGGGAAATTAGTTTCTTTAAATGTATACATCAGAACTGAAGAGAAGTTTAAAATCAATGGTGTGAGCTTCTACCTTAAGAAGGTAGAAAAAGGAAAGCAAACTAAATCTAAAGAAGATAGAAGGTAGAAAGAAGGAATTAAAAAGCAAAGATGTGGAACCAACCCAAATGCCCATCAGTGATAGACTGGATAAAGAAAATGTGGCACATATTCACCATGGAATACTATGCAGCCATAAAAAAGAATGAGTTCATGTCCTTTGCAGGGACATGGACGAAGCTGGAAACCATCATCCTCAGCAAACTAACACAGGAACAGAAAATCAAACACTGCATGTTCTCACTCATAAGTGGGAGTTGAACAATGAGAGTACATATCCAAGTCTCACATGTCTCAACAATGAGAACACACAAGGAGGGGAACATCACAAACCGGGGCCAGTTGGGGAGTGGAGGGAAAGAGAAGGGTGAGCATTGGACAAATACCTAATGCATGCAGGTCTTAAAACCCAGATGATGGATTGACAGGTGCAGCAAACCACCATAGCGCATGTATACCTATGTAACAAACCTGCATGTTGAGCACATGTATCCCAGAACTTAAAGTAAAATAAATAAAAAAAAGAAATGATTAAATGTGGCAAAGACAAATAAAAGAAAGAAGGAATTAATAAAAATGAAACCAGACAACAATGAAACAGAAAACCAGCAAACAGAAAAATTAACAAAGCTGGGCTGGGTGTGGTGGCTCACACCTGTAATCCCAGCACTTTGGGAGGATGAAGAGGGACGATCATTTGAAGCAATTCTCCTGCTTCAGCCTTCCCAAGTAGCTGGGATTATAGGCATGCGCCACCATGCCCGGCTAATTTTGTATTTTTAGTAGAGACGGGGTTTCTCCATGTTGGTCAGGCTGGTCTCGAACTCCCGACCTCAGGTGATCTGCCCACCTTGGCCTCCCAAAGTGCTGGGATTACAGGGATGAGCCACCATGCCGGGCCTAAAATGAAATTTTAATTGGCAAGAAGGCAGATGGTGAGAATTGTTGATCCAATAATAACATGAAGTCCATGAAAGCCTGTGGCTACAAAGAATGTTGAGCCATAGATTCCATCAGAGATAATAAAGGGGCCTCGAAATATTCTGAGACTTGTAGAAGAGTGAAATAGACTCCTAAGAGGATCGTGGTAAGTACTGCTTGAATTATTTGTTTTTGGTTACCTTCTATTAGGCTGTGATGGGCTCAAGTAATTGAAACTCCTGATGCAAGTAATACAGACGTATTTAGGAGAGATACTTCTAAAGGGTTCAGGGGAAGAATACCTGTTGGGGGTCAATGTCTTCCTAATTCTGGGGTCGGTGCTAAACTGGAGTGATAGAATGCCCAGAAAAAACCGGCGAAGAAGAATACTTCTGAGATAATAAATAGGAGCATCCCGTATCAGAGGTCTTTTAGGACAATTGTTGTGTGGTGGCCTTGGAATATACTTTCTCGGACAATATCACGTCATCACTGATGTATAGTCAGTGTGTTGGTTAGCACGCCTAAAGTTAAAAGAGTGGTAGAATTAAAGTGAAATCATATGGCCAGGCCAGATGTTATTAGGAGAGCCGAGAGAGCTCCTGTTAGTGGTCAAGGGCTAGGTACAGCTATATGGCAGGCATGAGTTTGGCGGGTCATTATGTATTATCATGCAAATAAAGACTTACTAATAGTATGAAGACATAAGCTTGAATAAGAGCGACAGCGAACTCGAGAATAGTTAGTAGAATTAGAATAATAAGAGATACTGAAGTTGCAGAGACACTAATAATTGATAATATTGGCACTGCACTGCGACTGTGGTCGGCGATTATCCCACTTCCAGGGCCAATCAGGCTAACAAATTATTTCAAACCTATTACAACTCCCTACAATGCTTCAAGCCCCAAGGCACCCCCGTTGGAGGGCCTATAACTAAACACACCCTCCTTTTACAATAAGCCTCACTTTGCTTTTCAGCCTCTGAAGGAAATTTCCCTGTAGGATCCTTCACACCTAACCAATGCAACCGCACTATCATTATTAAACACCCCTCTAACCATCAGACTAACCAAGCTGACTACCAAGTATCACCTGAAGCAAATGGAATGTTTCTGCATCTGGCTTGTTTTACAGCCTATCCCCTAACCAATGCCTCTGAACTAACTTGTGCTGTCCCTGGTTCCCACCTTTTTCCATGGCTCAATATCAATGATGCAACATCTGATCACATTAAACGTGTAAAAAATAACTCTTGCTATATCTCTACTATAGTGGATGTCTCTCTGGCCTCCTCCTTGTCCATCTGGAGTAATGAACCGCAGGAAAGAAACAACATCCAATTTTTAACACACTTATTCTCTTTCCATATCTCTGCCTGTATTTACGACAAAGGCTTGTTCTTTTTGTGTGGCACCAACACATATCTTTGTCTCCCCACCAACCGGACCGGAACCTGTTCTCTAGTTTATCTTTCCCCTTCCATTGGACTAGTTCCTCCTCATCAACCTTTGTCTATCCCATCCACCCAATATGTTAGGAAAAGGAGAGCCATCCACATCATTCCTTAATGGCCGCCTTGGGTATAAGCTCTGGACTTAGAGAGGGAGCAGGTGGATTAGCCACATACTTTAAGGTTCTTTCAACAGAACTACAGGGTTCTCTAGAAGATATAGCCTGAAGCCTTGTAAGAGTCCAAGACCAACTAGACTCCTTAGCTGGTGCAGTCCTCCAGAACAGACAGAGACTAGATCTTATAATGGTTGAAAAAGAGGGCATCTGCCTCTCACTGGGTGAGGAAAGTTGTTTCTGTCTCAACCAGTCGGGCCCAGTAAGAGGTGCTGCCGAAAAACTTAAAGAAAGGGCTAAAAAGCTAAGGGAATACCAACACAGTCAAATAGATTCTTGGTTTGGGAACAAAATCATAGCATGAGTCACCCCATTCCTGGGCCCTCTCCTAATGATATGCCTAGGACTAGTGTTCTTACCCTGCCTAATTAATCTTTTTCAAAGATTTTTAACCAACAGGATCATGGCCATTTCACAGACAACTACCCAAAAACATCTACAGATGGCATTACTCCTACAGTCAATCCGAGACCAGAAAACTCTCCACACTCCTCTCAGCAGGAATTAGCCAGAAAGAACACACCGTCCTCATCCTTTTATAACTATAGGATCTGGATTGACAGAGCAGGAGCATTGCCATCTTGGACAAGCACCACCATTTTAAAGTTCCCCTTGATCAAAAGCCACCTAAATCCAACCCAAAGGGCATCAGCCTAATGGCTAATGGCAGCATGACCTTAAACCACAAATGATACCTCTGACCAGAAACATTCCAACCCTGAGATAAACCCCTCTCCAACCAGAGACACACCAGCCCCAAGATAACCTCCCCTCTGACCGGAGAGATGCCAACCCCAAGATAACCTCCCCTCCAACCAGAGACATTCCAACCCCACAATAAAGTTCTCCTCCACACAGAAACATTCAAGCCTTTTGCCCCAAACCCTTAAATACTCTTAGTCTGTAAGAGAGAGGGCTCCTGACTGAAATCAGACAGCAGCCCTCTCAGGTTTATTCTCCAAAATAAACCTGTCTTTGACTGTTGAGCCACTTTTTGTGTTTCTTTCCTCTTTCTTTAACTCTTACAATAACACTGTGTGTATCACTATTTGGATTAACATAAATGAGAAAGGAGAGATAGAGACCGTGAACTAGGAAAATGGATGTGCATCATTTGGTGGAAGTATAAACACAATCTAAATTTACTCCATGCTCAAGCTCATAAATTATGATTATTGACAACATTATAATTTAGGTTGTTTTTATTTTGTGGAACTTTGTAGATTAACTAAGATTTCATTAATATAGTATTTTATATTTACATGCAATGTAATCCTTTAGTAACCACAAAGTAGGTTGTTGAGAGGACCCACGATGTCATACATATAAAACACTTAGACTATTTTATGACATACATAGGCCTCAAATAAATGTTATCTAAGGGTATGACTTATGTAATCTGTACTTGGGACTCCAGTTTCAATGCCCAAACTCTGGGAACCAAGTGTGGTCTACACTGAACATCATTTTTGCTTAAACTTGTTAGTCTTATACATCTTTACACCAATTCTAAGCATTAACGCTGCTTTCTTTTTCTTTCTTTTCTTCCTTTCTTTCTTTCTCTCTCTCTCTCTCTCTCTTTCTTTCTTCCTTCCTTCTTTCCTTAATTGTGGGAAAATAGAAATAAACTAAAACTCATCATTTTCACCTTTTTAAGTGTACAGTTCAGTGGCATTAAATACATTCACACTGTTGTACACAATAACCACCACAGATCTCCAGAACTTTTCCTCATCCCAAACTGGAACTCTGTAACCATAAACAACTCCTTATTCCCTCCTCCTCCCAGCCACTAGTGACCACCATTCTACTTTCTGTCTCTGACCACTCAAGGTGGTTTCATAAGGTAGAATCATACAATATCCGCCTTTTTTGTGACTGGCTTATTTCACTTAGCATAATGTCTTTACATTTCATCTGAGTTATAGTATATTTTCAGAATTTCCTCCCTTTTTAAGACTGAATAATATTCCATTGTATGTTTATACCACATTTTGCTTTTCCAGGCATCCATTGATGGAGATTTGTTTGTTTGTTTGTTTGTTTGTTTCACCTTTTGGCTACCGTTAATGTTTGTGCTATGAACATGGGTATACAAATGTATGTTCAAGTCTCTGCTTTCAGTTTTTTTGGATATATGACCAGAAGTGGAATCATGGCATCATATGATAATTGTATGTCTAAAGTTTTTGAGATATGGCTCTACCTTTTTCCACAACAGCTGCATCATTTTACATTCCTGCTAGCAAGGCACAAGGGTTCCAATTTCTCCACATCCACACCAACACTTATATTCTCTTTTTTCCTTTTGAATAATAGCCACCCTAACGTGTGTATGCACAACTACACATAAAAAAAAGGTGAATCTCGTAAAAGCAATATTTATCAAAGGAAAGAAACAAATCCAATAAATTATTTTATTTATATAAAATTTAGGACCATGCACACATTTTTAAAAAGTAAATAATTAGCACAAAATCAGAGTAATGTTTTCCTCCAAGGGAAAGATGGTAGGTAGAAGGTGCACACAGAGGGCTTCTAGGAAGCTGGATAAGCTTTTTAGTCTGCGTCATTAATTTTTATTAAACTCTATATACATGTTTATGCAACTCTGTGCTTAAGTTATGTGTCAGTCTAAAAGAAACGCTACTATTAAATCCTCAATTATGAAAGTCTTACTCTTCAGTCATGAGCTGAAGAATAGCAATACAAGTTGTTGATCGCTCTACTGGATAGAAATCCAGGATAAGAAATACAAATTGAATTTACTCTGAGAAATTTATCTTTCAAGACATATGAAGTATTTAAACTTAAGAGAGGTGAAGAACCTTTTTACTAATATAAATTTAAGATCCAATTCCCTTCAAAGATGTGGACTTTAGGGAAAAAATTAATTGTTGTTAAGGATTATGGTGATTATGGTGATTCTGCTCCATAGCAGCTTCATTAAAGGACCTAGTCTAAGTTCAAGATTAAAAGGTTATATGAAGCATATGTGTAAGAGCAGGACAGAGAAAAATAGCAAAAATATCTTCTTTTGAACCATGGGACTCTTTGTGAAGAAGTTTTATGGTGGCAAAGCCTCAAGAAGAACATCACCAGTGATGTTTTGTGGCAAGTTATATATATTAAAGTTAGTAAAGTTCGGAAATTGAATATGGTAGGCCTCTTGTGTATAACACAAAGCAAGACAATGAGGAAGAAGTAGGTATTTCATGGAAAAATAAAATACCCTGAGAAGACAAAAAGAGGGAGGGGAAGTGAATCATTGGTATAGTGAGTTACTAAAAGTGGCAAAATAGAGAATTAAAAATAATAAATAAGGCTTTTGTATCCTGCAGCTCAGAAGGATATGTTTGGTCCAGATTTCACCCCTGCAGATAAGCATTGAAAAAGGCATGAATGTGAAAGTGTGGTTTTGAGTAGCTTCATCAAAATTGTTTTCTCTTGAATTTTACGTTGACTAAAACAAATCTGGATCTAAGCAAATTGTTTTATATTGTGTTGTGAAATTGTCAAAGATAAAAACTCCTACACTTGTATAGGGCACTTATCATGAATGGAGCTTGCAGGACTGGAAGTTGCTCTGGGTGAATCAGCGAGTGAGTGGTGAGTGAATGAAGGTCTAGGCCTTTATTGTACACCATTAAGTATTTCGTAAAGACTGTACACAGCCTACACTAAGCTTACAGAAAAAAAAATCTTTCTTCAATGATGAATTTACCTTAGTTTAGTGTACCCTTTTTACTTTATAAACTTTCTGAATTATTATAAACTTTTTGACTCATGTAATAACACTTAGCTTAAAACACAAACACACTTAGAGTTATACAAATGTATTTTCTTTCTCTATATCTTTATGTTTAAACTTTTTTCTAAACCTTTTACTTTTTATACTTTTTTTTTCTAAACAGTTAAGGTTCAAACACACACGTTAGCTCAGGCCTACACAGGGTCAGGATCATCAATATCATTGTCTTGCACTTTCCCATTTTGTCCCATTGGAAGGCCTTTAGGGGCAATAACACAAACACACATGGAGCTGTCACTTCCTATGATAACAACGTTTTCTTCAGGAATACCTCCTTAGGGATCTACCTGAGGCTGTTTTACAGTTAATTTTCTTTTTATAAGGAAGAATACACTCTAAAATAACAATAAAATGCATTTAGCTGGTGCAGTCCTCCAAAACAGACAAAGACTAGATCTTATAATGGTTGAAAAAAGGGGGCATCTATATAGTGTATAGTATAGTATATACATATACCAGTACCATAGTCATTTGTTGTCATTATTGAGTATTGTGTACTGTACATAATTGTACTGCTATACTTTTATGTGACTGGCAGCACAGGAGATTTGTTTGCACCAGCATCACCACAAACGTGTGAGTAATGCATTATGCTACAATGTTACAATGGCTATTATATAGGGATAGGAAATTTTCAGCTCCATTATAATCTCGTGATGACCAACCTATACATGTTCCTTCCTTGACTGAACTGTCATTATGTGGTGCATGATTGTATCACACTGTGAGCTCTGGGTCCCATTAAAATTCTAGGAGAAGGTTGAATTTTTTGTTTTAGCAAGAACTAATCTCATCAAGTTTAGAATGCAAGCTGTATCTCGCTTTCTGTATGCCGTAGTTCTAACGTCATTATAGTTTCCCAAGACTTTGCCATGCTGTTCGTGCCTGCCCTGTGCCTGGGCCTCTCAGCCACTAGTCTGGCACTAGGACTGTGATATTTGTATCATAGTTCAGCTCCTAATGGCTTTGATATGCTGGTGTGAAACTGTCCCCCTAATGTGCGGCTTGGGGAGCCCAAGACCCTGAGAGTTATGATGGTTCATGTATAGAATTAGGGATCCCTTTCTCTCACTCTCTCCTCTGAGATTTTTCCCACACTCTCCAGTTCCCATAGGTCCCTCTTACCCGTTCCTCTGGCCAGAAAGGTTGGTTTCTCTCAAAGTATTGTCATGTGATTCTGCACACCTGGGGCTTCCCTTGAGGCAAAGTGGGAAGAGAAAGTTGAGCAAAAATATAAAGGGAAATACCCCATATTCCTTAGGCCACAGGGTTCCTTTTCCCTAGTTCTTTTGGGATTTTTCTTTCAGAGTTTTTGATGGTTCCACCACAGCAGCCTTAGTACAGCTTCCTGATTCTGACCACACTCAGGGAAGAACTAGAAGTGAAAAAAGAAGTAAAGTTCCAAAAAAGGAGTATTGCTCCACACACTCTCTGGAGACCCCCTTTGCAATCTGTACAGAAAGAGGAGGTGTCTCTTGGAGTTTCTTCTCTCTGCTCTCACTGCACACTACATGTCTGGAGTTACCTTCAAGTCAAAGCCAGGAGACAAAAGAGGAAAAACCCTAGGAACTCACTCCCTTACTATTATTTCTCCAAGTTCTGACTTCCCTCCCTAATATTCATGCTATTTTGTACTTTTCAAGGTCCACAGATGGCTGCCTTTTATATTCTGCCTGATGTTTCCCATTATAATTAGTGTAAGACACAGACTATAGTGGGCTTATTCCAACTTGGCCGTCACAGAAAGATCCTCTTCAGCTTTGTTGTTGAAGGATGTTTTACTGATTTTAGAATTCTAGGTTTGCGTTAGGGGTAGAAGTTTTCTTAGCGTATTTTAAGGTTTCATTCCATTTTCCTCCAGATTCCAAAGTTTCTATTGAAAGTCAGCCTTAACCTTTTTTGTTCTTTTTTTCCAAAGACAAGACACTTTCGTCTCTGGCTGATTTAAACATTTTCTCTTTATCTTTGTTTTTGGGCAATTTATTATTTTTTTTTACATATGGTTTTATTTCACTAGTCTATGATTGAGGTTGATAAGTTTCTTGTATCTGTGTTTTGACATCTTTATTTCAGTTTTGGAAAATTTTCTGCCATTATCTTTTTGTTTTCTCTGCTGCACTCTTTATCCTTTATTTTTATGTACAATTGTAAGTATATTTGACCATTAGATAATGCCTACATGTCTCTGATGCTGATATCTTTCTTCTTCATTTTATCTTGTGCTATGCTTCAGAGTAGATGCTTTCTATTAAACTGTCTTCAAGTTAACTACTACTGCATTTGCCTGTGACCAGTCTGCTGTTAAATTCACCCATTAAGTTTTAATTTTAGATGATGTACTCTTATTTCTTTTATTTAGATTCCGTATCTAAAAGATTCCACATTCATATTCTTTTTTAGATTGTAAATCTTTTTCTTTACTATATATTCCTTGATATTTATGAATATATGGTTAAATAGAGTTAATTTAAAGCTCTTTTGTGCTAAGTGATTAAGTCTAGAAAGAGCTTTGTGTCTCCCAAAAAATTGTGGGTGAGGTTGTTGGCATTCAGAGTATCATGGGATCAAATATATAAAAAACTCACAACATTTTTTATTCAGCTGTATTGGTAAAACTGCCACCAGTCTGGACTGAAAGAGACTGAGGTTTAAAATGTAAAAGGGCAATGGATCTGCAACTCTCTATGTAAAAGAAACAGGCTGAGAAAGTTGTTCAAAGTGCCGATCATCCTATGTGCTCTTTAAAGGTGGCCAAGGAGGGAAACAGAAAAGGAAGTACTTTTCAAAGGGAAGAGCATAGAATTCTGAGGACAGGTAGACTAATGAGAAACTCCCAAGGAAAGGAGTCAGGGGCTAACCAAGGAATATTGTCCACCCCTAGAGGGGATGTGCAAGGCAGCATTTGTTCAGTGGAATTTCAGAATTGCCAGGGATCAGTGACTGTTCAGTCCCCCATTCTTTCCGTTTTTGAATGGGCATGTTTACTATCATTATCCTGACCCAGTTTCAGCACTGTGTATTGAGTGCTGATGGAAAGACAACTTTGTTTCTATTGTTGTGGCTTGTATGTCTTAGAATTAACGAAAGAGGAGGCCGGGCGCAGTGGCTCAGGCCTGTAATTCCAGCACTTTGGGAGGCTGAGGCAGGTGGATCATGAGGTCAGGAGATGGAGACCATCCTGGCTAACACGGTGAAACCGTGTGTCTCTACTAAAAATACAAAAAATAAGCCAGGTATGGTGGCACACGCCTGTAATCCCAGCTATTCAGGAGGCTGAGGCAGGAGAATCACTTGAACCCAGAAGGCAGAGGTTGTGGTGAGCCGAGGTGGCGCCACTGCACTCAGTCGACAGAGTGAGACTCCATCTCAAAACAAACAAAAAAAAAAAAAAAGAAAGAAAAAGAAAGAAAGAAAGAAAGAAAAAGAAAGAAAGAGAAAGAAAGAGGAAAGAAACACATGAAAAGGTGGCTCACCAGTCACGGCACACTTATTTTAGAGAAAACAAACCTGAGAGGCGCCTTCTGGCCGAGTTAGGTCAGAGGCACGCTCTCTTATAGACTAAGTTTTTTAAGGATTCAGAGTGGGAGAGTTTATCCAAGGCTTGGACTGCTTCTGTGTCTCTTTGTTGTGCTTATCTAGGAGGGAGAGTTGTGTGTCTGTTCCCATACATCTTTTTTGCAGCTGCAGGCATATCCCCAGAGTCTGCTTTTAGCTTCCCTATCTTAGTGCACCTGAAGGGAAAGGAATGTGCTTATTAAGGCCCACTGTTTTAGGGCCCATTGTATGAGGGTGAAGTTTGGCAGTTACCCAGGGGACCTTCCCCCCACCTTTCTCTGTGCCCAAACTCTCTTATCTGTGTTTTACTGTCTGCTCTTTCTGGCTATTTGTAGTTAGAAGAGAAGTGATTTCCTTGAAATGCATGAGGCTAGAAAGGGAGCTGGAATTTAAAGTGGCGGTGTTTGTCCGAGATGACAGGGCTCCAGCTCTATCAGTATGTTTCTGGATTAAGGAGAACTGCATTCTGACCTGCATCCTGATTGTGAGATTTTGAACTTGATGGCTGATGCCATGATTGCATGAGACTTCTGGTGATCCCAGATTAGGGGTAAGCATATTTTTCATATTGGAAGAATATGAAAAATTGTAGCAATAAAAGTGGACTGTAATAGATTATGATGATGATCCTAATTCATCATCCCTCCCTATATCCACGCCCTTTGCAATCTAACTTTACTATGCTCTCCCATTATGGATGGGTGACTTGAATTGCCTCTCAACATTAGGCCTAACCATGTGTTCCTCTACAGCCAAGGAGTTATTAGCAAATGTCACACACTCTGGGCCTTGAAATTGGCGTATGTATTGGAGCTAACATTTTGCTTGCTTCTGCATTGCCATAAGGACATTTCTAGGCAAGTCCACCGGCCCTAAGAAGAGGATGAGAGGCATGTGAAGAAGAGTCCACCTTGGATACATAAGTGAGCTTGGCCAAGGTTAGCAGTGCCACCTAGCTGACCCAGACATATAAGCATATTGTTATCTGCCACTGGTGATTTGTGTTGTTTGTAATGCAGCATTGTTGTGACAACAGATGACTAATATACTAACTAATGTACCTTTTAAAATGTTGTCTATGATCTGTTCCTAGACCACTAAAATATACGTCCCATGAGGACAGGAATAATTTTTTCTGCCTTATTTCTGTTGTATCTTTAGTACCTCCAACACTTTCTGGCACAAAGCAGTTTTCTCAAATATATATACACACACACATATATATATGTATATATATATATTTAAACAGAGTCTCATTCTGCTGCCCAGGCTGGAGTGCAGTGGTGCAATCTCATTTCACTGCAACCTCTGCCTCCCAGGTTCAAGTGATTCTCCTGCCTCAGCCTCCCAAGTAGCTGGGATTACAAGCATGCACCACAACACCTGGCTAATTTTTGTATTTTTAGTAGAGTCAGGGTTTCACCATGTTGGCCAGGCTGGTCTCGAACTCCTGACCTCAGGTGATCTGCCCGCCTCAGCCTCCCAAAGTGCTGGGATTATAGGTGTGAGCCACCATGCCCAGCCAAAAATATTTTTAATAAATAATGAATTTCAAATTTTAAAAACCTTCTTATGAAAAGACCTCTTGGAGAGTTTAATGTACATACATATTCCAGAGTTTGGACAATTCAGTAGATTGGTACCTGGGGTATGCTGAAGAATGCTGAAGTCCAAGAGTCAACTTAGCTACATGTTTTTGAAACAGAAAAAATTCCCTTGTTCCCCTTGCAGGGAGTGCGATGTGGCTCTCTTCTCCAGTGCCCGCTGCTCAGACCTCCAGGGGAGCATACAGATGGTCAGGCTGTGAGGCTCTGATCCCAGAGCAGTGTCTGGGGGTGAATGTTTACAGCTCCTGAAGCCCCAGTGGGTGTGTTCCTCTGCTGATGTGCTCTCTCTCAACGTCCAGCAGCTTCTGTCCCTGTCTTGCTAGGGTCTCAGGTTTTTATAGGCAGAGGATGGGGCATGGCAGGCCAGAGTGGTCTTGGGAAATGCAACATTTGGACAGGAAATGCCTGTTCTCACCTAGGTCCGTGGGGGTGGAGCCCTAGCCAGGGACCATACCCTCCTCTACCCAGCACTTCTGTTCCCTGCTTCCCTATCATTTAAAGGGACCACACTCTTGCCTTCCTAGCACTCACGTACCATTTTCAAGCAGAGAAAAGAACAAGTAGCTACACTAGGATTTGCCTGACTTCCAGAAGGAAAGAGATTCATCTTTCCTTGGCAATTGACATAGACCAAAAGTAAGGGAAAAGTCTGGGGTCTACTTGTCTTAGTATCTCAAGGCAGCCTCCAAGAGAAACAGATCATAGAAGAAAGAGGCTGCTAGTATTCCAGAGTGCCTAGTGACTGAGAATTCCATGAGAATGGAGATGCAGTAGCCCTCACCGGGCTCTGAACTAGGGGAGTGTGGATTCTCAAAGAATTCATGAAAATGTTCACAATGGAGTCTTCTTATGCATCTGTTTTCCCTAGAGCATTCAATTCAAGCACATGAAATATCAGGCAAGTAAAAACTGTCCTCTTCTGCTCTTCATGCCTCAACTCGCAGGGGTCTGAAACTATATCAGGTAGAAGAAATAGAAGCACAAGCTGTAGAAACAAAAGAAGCTAATTTTGCACCTTCACTGTTTGTGAGCTTCTCATCTGCAACACTCTTGAATAGGCAAGAGTGTGAGGCCTCCGTTTTGAATAAAATATAGAAATTTGACTATTGAATGGGACTAATTGAATACCTTTCTTTTTTTACTTAAACATTATCAGAGAGGTTATGAAGCCTTCCTGAATGCTCATTCAAGGTAAGGAATTGGCTAACCCCAAAGAACACATTGAAAAGAAAAAATGATGATAGGATTAAATTAAATATGTTTTATTACATTGCATCAGTTTAGATGTTCGATATATTCTTTTTTAATAAAGAAAAGTTTATTTGGCTAATGATTTTCAGGTTGTACAAGAAGCATGGCACCAGCATCTGCATCTGATGAGGACCTCAGGGTGCTTCCACTTGTGGCGGAAGAAGGGGAGCCAGCATGTGCAGATACCACACGGCGAGAGATGAAGGAAGAGAAAGAGGAGGAAGGTTCCAGGCTCTTTTTAACAATCAGACCTCACAGGAACTAATAGTGTGAGAAGATGTTTAACATATTCTAATAAGATATTCCTAATAAATTGCCATGAGATAACTGCTGTATTAGTCTGTTGTCACGCTTCTAATAAAGACATATCCAATACTGGGTAATTTATAAAGGAAAGAGTTTTAATAGACGCATAGTTCCACATGGCTGGGGAGGCCTCACAATCATGGTGGGAGGCAAAGGAGAAGCAAAAGCATGTCTTACATGACAGCAGGCAAGAGAGAGCTTGTTCAGGGGAACTCCCATTTACAAAACCATCAGATCTTGTGAGACTATTACAAGAACAGCATGGGAAAGTCCCACTCCCCTGATTCAATTACTTCTGACTGGAACCCTCCCAAGTCACGTGGGAATTATGGGAACTACAGTTCAAGATGAGATTTGGGTGCGGACACAGCCAAACCATATAAACTGCAGTTTATTTTTTAATTATGACTCATATCATAAAGAAAAAGGGTTGCTCCAATAATCTGTACCCCATTTCATATTCATAAGGAAAAGATTCTTTTATTGGCTAATTGTTCATGTTTAAATAAAAATCTTATAATTTTACAAGGTTTTGCCTTTTACACTTGATGCTGAAATCAAGAAGTCTTTTAAAAAATAATTTTCATTTAAACTTTGAGTACAGCTTTTCACTAGGATTGCCAACATGGTGAAACGAAGATTTCTCTTATTTAAAGAATATATTAAAGTGTTTATTATTAATTACTCTTTTAATGTAAAGATTTTTGTCTTTTATGGTAATTTGACTTGTTTTGGTTTGGTTTCCATTTGATACTGAGGATGAAGGGAAATTAGGGCAGAATTGCTTATTTACATTATTTCAAACTTCCAACCATGAAAGGAAAAGGTTTGGGATCTTGTTTGTAAAGCCATGTGTGTGTGTGTATGTGTGTGTGTGTATGTGTGTGTGTGTGTTTGAAAGGGGCTTATTTACACTGGGTTTTACTTTGGTATGGAGGTAACTCTTATCCAAGTGTGGTTGGTTCGAAGGACAAGTAGGGATGATAAGAGGCTGCTTGGCACTAAGGATTAGGTAGAGTTGGGGCTGAGTCATGGTTGTGTGGAAAGCTAGGATCATGGTTGGGGATGGAAGGAGGCTAAATCTGCTACACAATTTGAAACTAGGGCATGATAGTGTGGCAAGGAAGAGATAGAGCTTGAAATAGAAGTAGTTACTTATTTAGCTTGTGTATTAATTACTATATGATTAGTTCAGTGTCATCTGACTAAAATGGAGATTAATGTACTAATGATTAATTTATATGGGTTTTGTTTATATTATTATCTAATACAGGCTATGTAATAATCTAAGTTAGAGAGACAATGTTTTATGAGACAAATAAGGTTGCTGCTATCAAAGAAATCAAATAAATGAAGAATGATTATCATATAGTAATGAGTGCTCTCTGAGGAGAAAAACAAAAGTAATTGGGAGTGATTTGAGGGAACTTCTTTAGGTTGAGTGACTAGAAATTGTTACTCTAGAAATACTCTATTTGAAAAGAGACCTGAATGCTAAGAAAAAGCCAGCTATTCAAAATCTATAGCAAACGACTCCACACAGCAAGAACATAAGTGAAAACTGCTAATGAAGAAACAAATCTGCATGTTAGAGAAACAGATAGGGAGTTAGTGTACTGAAGTTTATTGAGCGGCAAAAGAATGTTATATTGTGGAATAAGTAAAACCATGGAGAAAAACACATTATAGAAGAGCTACTCGGATTGCCCTGTGATTTTCTGGAAACTTCCTGGCCACAGCCGACTGAAAGGGACATTGTGGTAATGCTGGCTTCTCTAGACTGAAACCAAAGCCTATGGCTTGAAAGATTAAAAAGAGATAATGAGCTTACCATTCATTAAAGAAAGCAAGCCATAAAAATAGCTTAAAATATGGAATAAGCGACAGGCATGTCAATTATTTCTCCTTGGCACTGGATTAACAAAAAGTTGTTGTTGTTGGTGGTGGTATATTAAGTAGAAAAGGTCTATTGGGCCTAAAAATTATTGACATGTACATTATCTATTCTGTAATGAGGCCATCCCTCCTAGTTTCCATTGCAGAGGATTGGATCTGGAAATTGTGTTACTAAGAAAAATGCAGGAGAAGGTTTGAGTGTCCCTATTCCCATATGTAGTGGATTGTCATGCAACATACCTCTCAACCTCTTCCGGTGCACTTCTCCTGTACTGCAAAAGGTGTACAACTGAAAAGAACATTTCCTGGATAGCATTTGATGTCATTTAGATTTAGCCAATCAGAGGCATTCTGGTAAATTTTGGACATGCTGAGGGTCTTTTTTTTTTTTTTTTTTTGACCTGAAAAGGCACCAGTGTAGGGGTGCCTTATTTTCTGTGTCAGAATTAGGAGAGATTTTCATGTCTGATAACTGACTTCATGGATATAAAGAGGCAGCATGCCTGTTACTGGTGCAGATTGTAGCAGGTGATCGTGGGGGCTTACTGAATGGAGGAGCTTCCCAAATATGGCTGTTCTGGGCAGCATGAGTTCCTGATTGTAGAAGAGGAGGTGGTTTCCTTGGTTGCCTGATTCAGTTCCTTCTATTGTCCTGATGATTCTCTAAGCTATATTAAGGTCTGTAATAAACTCCTTTCCACTCAAAATCAACTAAGGTAAATTTTGTTCTCTGTAGCTATTCAATACTCCATGTCTACCACTTGAACAGACAGAATAAAAAACCTCTTTGATGGCAACTCAACACCCTCTTCTGTAATAAATAAATAAATTGTGACTTGAACTCCTACTCTAGTTGGCACTATATGTAGGGATATGGATTCTGGGGTCGTGTCTGTTTTCAGTGATCATTTATTACCTTGATCAGAGGAAGTCCTCAGCATCTTTGCCCTCAAGGCCAAGACACGAAGACCCTCCTCCCAATTGCCCCTGAAATTGATCTTCTTCTTGGGAATTTTCGTTCAGCACACTGAGTCCCAATGGGTAACTGATTGCCTCTTTATTTTTTCATGGAGAACCAGAACAGAATGGAAGACTTGAGCAACATCAAAGAGTTAGCTATATTTGAAATCCATATAAAACTTACATTTTGAGTAATGAATAGGATACCATAGAGAACCCATCTCTTCTTGACATGTTTTCCCTGGTTCATAGAAATTAGATAGTAATTATTTTCTCTTGTTTCTGGCATTAAAAACCTAAGACAAAGTCTTAGAATAAGAACTTCAATATTGGCATATCTGGTGGGCTCAAAAACAAAACAAAAATGGCAGCTATAACATCTACTAGGTGTTTATTGTATGTCCCTTCCAATGCAGTACAGACAGAAAAAGAAGAAGCTATAAAGTTTGAAGAGAAAGAAAAGCTATCATTTTTAGCAGATGTTATAACTATGTACAAAGGAAATACACAAAATAATTTCAAAGGTAGACTATGCAATTGATAAGAGTGTGTAGCGAGATTGTTGATTTGAAGGTCTTGTATGATAAAGCATTGTATTTCTGTAGAAAATACAATATTGAAGATTTTTAAAATACCATTTAAACAACATCATTTCATATTCATAAAAGGGAAATGTGGAAAACACAAAAGTTAATACTGAATAATAATGGTGGAATTCTGCCTTATGAAAATATTACCACCACTACCACCATATATGTGTCAATGGACAAAAATAGCCAAGAAAATTTTGCAAAGGAAAATCAAGAATGAGGAAGAGGACACCCTAGATATCAAAGTATATTATAAAATAATAATGTGTGATATTGGCACAGGAGTACCAAAACATTCCCAAGAAAGGACGAAAGATTTGAGAGACAGGTGAATTCCTGAAGAAAAAGTCATCATGTAGTCAACCAGCAAATATTTATTAAGCACCTACTGTATACCAGGCAGTGTTCTAGGTACTTAGAATATTGTTGAACAAAATAGACAAGGTCTCTCTTTTGATTTTATACTCTAAATAAATAGATGAATAAATGATAATGATAGATAATAATTATAGATCAATAGATTGACAGAGACCAGAAAAATAAGAGATTATATGTTTATATTATGATCAATTAAGTGAAAACAAAATGACCAGGTAGAATAGACAATTTCATTGAATTGATTTGTTGGTTTAACTGGCATATTTCATTTCTTCAGTAAACAAGCTGATGCCCGTGACATGCCAACAGCTCACAGCTGTTTTTTGGCCTTCCTGTATATTTCTGCTTCCATTAGTTGAGTTTAATGTTTGCCAAAAGTTGCTGGCGTTTGCTCACAAATCTGTTCATCTCTATTGACTTGTTATTGTAATTATATATTTAAATAAAGTAAATATTTCATTATGAATTAAGAATTAATTTTAAAAGGGAAAATTTAAGTTCTTAAACCATTAAATGCTTTGGAAATAATAAAGATAAGTTGTCTAATAAAATATTATTAAATTGGATATAGGTAAAATAACTTTTAAAATGGAGAAAATGAGGTGAAAATCTAAAGGGTTTCTAAATTCAGAATTCTTTGTAATGTTTCACTCTAAATTCTCATAAACTTTTTAAAAAACTAAAATTTGATACAATAGAAAGTTTGTTATGGGTGTTGTTTAGCCATTTAAGATAACCTAAAACTCTAAACAACAGACACATTCTCCAAGTGAAGGTTTGGTTCTATGTCAACATACTGCCAAACAAATATACATGTATACATGTATTTACTTAAGTTAAAATAAAATGTTTACCACATTATATATTTACAAATCATTCTAATTATTCTCAACTGCAATTGACTTTTAAAAATAATTGTTCAACTACCAGGTCTTACAATTGAATATATGGCTTTCACAAATGTGATAACTGATATGAAGAAAATTAATATTTAACTAAGAATAACTGAGTGGCAACTCCAAATTTGGTCATCAGGAAAATCTTTTCTTAGGTTATATTTAAGCTGAAACAAAAATAACATAAAGGAGCTAGAAATAAGACAATGTACATGTAACAATCAGGAAAAGAAATATTCCAGGCAGAAGGAACCATCCTAACATAGACTAAACCTGAAATGTTAAAAAAAACAGAAATGAAGTCAGTGGCAGAGATGGCTGGATTTCCACCAAAATTTGTGCACTCCTCCTCCTGCTGCTTAGTGATATTGCTCAGAAATGGCAGTCCAAGTAAGGACTCCACTTTCACGCTTTTTCATCTAGGTGGGGTCACATCACTAGTTCTCACCATGAAATGTGACTGAAAGTGAAGTGTGTCGCTGGCACACCAAGGAATTAAGTAATAAGTGTGCCTTCTCCACCCTCTCTCTTTTGCCTTTCATCATTGGAAGCAGAGAGCAGAAAGTCCAGTAAAAGAGCAGAATCACAGCATGTGAAGGGCCTGAGTTCCTGAGTCACTGTGTGGAGAAAAACATCTAGACTATTAACAATCTGGCAATGGACTGTTATGTGAATAAGAAGAGAATGTCTATTTAGCTAGTCCCCTGAAATTTTTATCTTTATTCCGTATAGCAGCTGGTGTTACCCAAACTAATAAAATGAGATAGTTAAAAGGTAGACAGTGAACTCAGTAGTATGGGCAAAGAGCAGATCACAGAAGATTTTATTAGCCAGGCAGAAGATTTGATTAGCCAGGTAAGAAATCTAGGTTTAATTCTAGATGCTATAAGAAAACATGTGAGGTGTTTAATCATGATACAGATGTGGTATAGATTAAGTTGTATAAACATTTCTAGCAGTTGTGTGGAAAATGAATTGTAGGAATCAAGAAGGAAGTAGGGCGATGGGGTAGGCGGCTATTTCAACAATTCAGGAGGAATACGGCAGTATGTTAAAGTCAAGTGGCTACAAAGAAGATGAATAAAATGGACTAAGCTGAGAAATATTTTATCATTTAATTGATAGAATTCACCAACTGGCTGAATGTGGAAGTTGAGAATGTGACAAATCAAGGATAATTCCTCCTTCCCCTGATGCCTTTCTGTTATTTCTTTTATTAAATAAAACCAGTGATGTAAACTAAAAAGTGTGGAAGAAGCTAAAGGCAAGATACTCCCACACATCTGAAGTCATAGATAGGTAGGATCTAGTATTTCATAACTGTCCAATCTGATTATTTAAACCTTAAATAGGGGCAGGACTCCAAGAGCTAAGCTGCTATTGACTCCTCACTAGAAAACCTTAATAACAGAGCATCTTGGGGATCTATACCTGAAAACGTTCATAACAAAAGAGACTCACATGGACATGACAAATCTCAAATAATATTGATATCTGCCCTAATTTTGCCAACCATATTTTCCTTGATGACTCCCTCCAAAATAGACAGTAGTAGCAGACACATGTTGGGGACTGTGTGTGAGGAGTGCCCTGTTACATAACTCCAGCTGCTTTTGCATTTGGGTCCTAGTGACTCGTTCTTTCTCCATAAGAGATTACATCCCCATGAAACAGCAGCGGGCAACAGATTTCACCTAGCGTTTCAATATCTCATCACATTGGGCAGAAGTGATCGTTGATTATGGTTTCATTGTGGTTATGTTATTATTTCCACCTGTATTGAAGGTAGATTTATCTATTATTTCATCATAGTTTGTAGGACAAATAAGAGTCATGTTCAAAGCAGTTAAGGAGAAATTCATATCACCAGAGTTCCTGGAGTTGGAGGTTTTTATAATTTGGGATTTTCTCATTTTAGAATGGGACAAATGAAGCTTCAGTTGTATAAGAACTACATATATTATACTAAAAGGGAGCATCTTCTGAATTTTTTAATGTGAAAAGGAACAGAGAGAAACAGAGAGAGAGAGAAAGAGGGAGAGAGACTTCATATATAAGAGCCTTGTATAATAGATTATGATAGTTATTATTTTTATTGCCACTACTATTATGACCTATCCAGCCTTGGTCTTTTTCCATCTTTGTTTAGGAAAAAGAAAATCTGTATTCCTGACACAGAAGTGGGTTCAAATCTAAGGCCTGGTTAATCAGAGTCCCACATCCCATGGCTAAAGTGATTGGTTGAGAAACTGGAATGCCACTCAAGCTAAGCTTTCGTCAGATTATCAAAATGGAGCTGACATGTTTGATCTGTTGCTATTCAGATGATGAGCTGAAAATATGAGATGTCCATCTTCATAGCCATGTAGGAAATGTTTGACTTCCATAGGAGAAAATAAGGGTAATCAATAGGAAAAAAGCCGAACTCAAAGAGACCTACACAGAGAACACAAGCAAGAGACAAAGAAATACATACACACAAAGAGAAACAGAGACTGAAAGATGCAGGGAAATAAACAACATAAACATAAAATATAGACAAAGAAAAAGACAATGGACAGATGGAATGACAGAGAAAAAATGGCAGTGAGGCACACAGGCCAGTAGAGAGATGGAAGGGGGGAAAAGAGGTGGACAGAGAGACAACCCAAGAGGCAGATAATAAATTATATATACACACACATACATATATATATACACACACACATATATATGTAAGAGAGAGTCACAGAGAGAAAAAGAAACAGCGATTCAGAGAAATGGATATAAGGGAAAATGCAAATCGAAGAAAGAAAAGCTATCAAATATATTAATGGGGAGGAGGTCTTTCAGACAGAGATAGAAAAGAGATTTGAAGAGAAAGGAAGAGACAAACAGTCAGAGAGAAATATAGAGTAGAATGAAACAGAAGTGCACTGACAGAAGGGAATGAGGGCAGAAGGGGGAGAGAAGGGTCAGAGAGAGAGAGGGAGGGAAATGAAAGAGAAGAGAGAAAAAGGTCCCATTTGTGTCCAGTATCTAAGCATTTTTCAGAAGCTAAATTCACCTAGAAACTTTGATTGCATGAGCCCCAAAATTAATTTTTCCCCTTAAGATGGTCTAATAGAGTTTCCATTATAAGCTACCAAAATACTACTTTCTAATAAAACCTCCATTGGTAATTATACAATTGGGTAGGTTGGATGGAATCAACAATCATTGTCTTTTGCCCTGAAGAACACGGTGTACTCACCAGAAGATATCTGTGGTGCCGTTTGGTTAAGTTATGGCATTAGGTACCATGACTGGTGCAAAACAATTCTACTTGCACAAATAAGTGAAACTAATCAGACTATTGCAGAAGCCAGGAAAGACTGCTGCACACAATCCCAACTTCCAAGCCCCACTGTTGATGAAAAATTAAATTTATTTCATATCTCATTTCACATTCTTATGTAGCACCTGACTTAGACCAAGTATGGGGACTCATGATTTTTGAGTGTCCTTCCCTGGACATTGTCTTCTTTGGGGGTCATAACTGAACTAAAGTTCTAGAATCTGATCCCTTTCTTAGCTCAATGTTTCCCACCAACACCACTACCCTACTCAATCAGAATTAGAAACACAAGTGACTCACAAATCTATTTAATTTTGAAAAACTAATTATTGAATTATAAGAAGTTTGACATTTAGTTCATGATCAGTCTTCAGAAACAGAAGAAGGTAGTAAAAGCTTATGAAAGTACTTATGGTCCAAACAGGGACAGCAGACAGCAGAGAGCAGAGCTCTCATTATCATGGTAGTGAGCAAACATTTAGGAAATTTCTTGCAGGCAGGAATTTAGGAAAGACAAGAACAAGCAACAACCTGGCAGCCACTTCTCAGTCACCATGGGAGTCATGTCCTGATGGGTGACACAGCTGGCAGAAATGGCTTGCTCACAGGCCTGACAGAAGAGGAGCTGGGAATTACAGACAAGAGTAAAGCCAAGACAAGACAAGAAAGAGGTGACAGATCCCAGAAAGAAAAATGTTTGCAGTCAATGCGTGAGCCCTCTAGGAGACAGAAGAAACAATCACATGTCACACCAACCCCTGAAGAAACACAGTCCCTCCCTCCCTTGGGGCCTCTCTGCAGTTGTCAGGACACTAAGGTTGAGCTTATGTCAACACCTGCTCCTCGTTACCTTTCCTGGTAACTGAGTAGAGATGGCAACAGGAATGCCTCATTTTATTGTGCTATGCTTTGTTGTGCTTCTCAAATATTGTGGTTTTTTAAAAATTGAAGGGTTGCACCAAGCAAGTCTATCAGCACCATTTCACCAACAGCATGTCCTCACTTTGTGTCTCTGTGTTATATGTTCGTAATTCTTGTAATATTTCACGTTTTCATTACTATTACATGCCGATCTGTGATCAGTGACGTTTGATGTTACTGTTGTAATTGTTTTGGGGCACCATGAACTGAACCCATATAAGACAATCAACTTTATTGTCAGATGTTGTGTATGTTCAGACTGCTCCACTGACCAGCCATCCTCCCTCTCTTTCGCCCTCTCCTCAGGCCTCCCTATTCCCTAAGAACACAAGAACATTAAAATTGGGCCAGTTAGTAACCCTACAATGGCCTCTAAGTAAAGTCACTTGTCTCTCACTTTAAATCAAAAGCTAGACATGATTAAGCTTAGTGAAGAAGACAGGTCAAAAGCCAAGATGGGCTAAAATCTAGGTCTCTTGCTTTCAACAATTAGTCAAGTTGTGAAAGCAAAGGAAAAGGTCTTGAAGGAAAGAAATTAAAACTGCTACTCAAGTGAACATACAAATGATAAGAAAGTAAAACAGTCTTATTGCTGATGTGGAAAAAGTTTGAGTGATCTGGATCGATCAAACCAGCCACAACATTCCCTTAAGCCAAAGTCTAATCCAGAGAAAGGCCCTCATTCTCTTTAGTTCTATGAAGGCTGAGAGATGTGAGGAAGCTGCCGGAAAAAAGTCTGAATCTAGCAGAGGTTGATTCATGAGGCTTAAGGAAAAAAGCCACCTTCATAATACCAAAGTACAAGATGATGTAGCAAGTGGTGATATAGAAGCTGTAGCAATTTATCCAGAAGATCTAGCTAAGATCACTGATGAAGGTGGCTATATTAAATCATAGATTTTCAATAGAGATGAAACAGCCTTCTATTGGAAGAAGGTGTCTTCTAGGATTTTCAGAGTTAGAGAGAAGTCAATGCTGGCTTCAAAACTTCAAAGATCAGGCTGACTCTCTTGCTAGGGACTAATGCAGCAGGTGGCTTTAAATTGAAGCCAGTGCTCATTTACCATTTCAAAAATACTAGGGCCCTTAAGAATTATGCTAAATCTACTCCGCCTGTGCTCTATAAATGAAACAACGAAGCCTGATAACAGCACACCTGTTTAAAATATAGTTGGCTGAATATTTTAAGCCTATGTTGGGACCCATTGCCCAGACAAAGACATTCCTCTCAAAATACTACTACTCATTGACAAGGTACCTAGTCATCCAAGAGCTCTGATGAAGATGTACAAGGAGATGAGTGTTGTTTTCATGCCTGCTAATGCAACATCCATTCTGCAACTCATGGATCAAGGGGTAATTTTAACTTTCAAGTCGTGTTATTTAATATATTACATAAGGCTATTGCTGTCAGAGACAGTGATTCCTCTGATGGATCTGGGGAAAGCAAATTGAAAACCTTCTGAAAAGCCTTCACCATTCTAGTTGTCATTGGGAACATTCATGATTCATGGGAGAAGGTCGAAATATCAACATTAACAGGAGATTGGGAGAAGCTGATTCCAGCCCTCATGGATGACTTTGAGACGTTTAAGACTTCAGTGGAGGAAGGAACTATAGATGTCATGGAAATAGCAAGAGAACTCGAATTAGAAGTGGAACCGGAAGATGTAGCTAAATTGTTGCAATCTTATGATAAAACTTGAATGGATGAGGAACTGCTGCTTGTGGATGAGCAAAGAAAGTGGTTTCTTGAGAGGGAATCTACCCCTGGTGAGATGCTATGAATGTTGTTGAAGTGGCAACAAAGGATTTAGAATATTACATAACTTAGTTGAGAAAGCAGCAGCAGGGTTTGAGAGGATTGACTACAATTTTGAAAGAAGGTCTACTGTGGGTAAAATGCTACCAAACATCATCACATGCTACAAAAAAATATGTCATGAAAGGAAGAGTCAATCTATGCAGCAAACTTCATTGTTCTTTCATTTTAAGAAATTATCACAGCCACATCAAACTGCAGCAGCAGCCATCAACATCAAGGAAAGAACCTTCTATCAGCAAAAAGATTATAACTCACTAAAGGCTCAGAGGATTGTTAGTATTTTTAGCCATAAAATATTTTAATTAAGGTATGCACTTTTTTAGACATAAGGCCATTTCACACTTAATAGACTACTATATATTGTAAACATGACTTTTATATGCACTGGGAAACCAAAAGATACGTTTGACTTTCTTGCAGTGCTGTCTGGAACCAAAATCACAATACATCTGAAGTGCACTTTACTCTGTTAAAGTGAACACAAAACATCAGCTTGAAGGGGCCTGTGGAAGGCAGAAGAGGATGTCGAAATGCTTTGGTGATGCACAGGTCGTGGACTAACTGGAATGGTAACAACTGTAATTCCCTCTCATCTCACCTATCACCAAGTTCAGCAGCACTCTCTGCAATTTGGGGATTTGGGGGCATCATCCAAGCCTCACTGACTGACTGATACCACAGGTTGGGTCTTATTCTGAGGAATAATCCCTGAAGTTTAGAGCAGAGACTTTTCAGAACATTCCAGAATTTTTCCAGAATTTTTTCCAGAATATTCCAGAATTTTGTTTCATGCCACATTCATTCAGGAACAGCAAAATAACTGAAGCATGTTCAGGTGTCCAGAAAAACACACTCAACTCTTTTTTCCACCTTATGTGTGTCATATTTCTGGGCAAGGAGAGCAGGGATCTTACCTGTGAGTGGAGCCCTGTCTATTTAAGAATAACCCTCCACCACTCCCTTCTGTAATGATGCAGACATGACCCAGGCCAGGGAGCTCTCAATGCTCCTAATTTCTGTGATCTATTCCCATCCCCACCTTAGCTGCCTTTCCATTACAGAGTCAGACAGGACGAATTACAACAAAAAGCCTCAGTCCCAGCACCAGTCTCTCCATCTTCTTCAAAGGTGCCTTACCTTTCTTATTCCAAAAATGGCTGGGCCACAAGGCCCAAACCAAGAGAGATCAGCCCCAGCACAAGACCCCAAAGGCCACTCAGCATCTTGCTCTGGGCAGATTCAGACAGTGTCCCTGGGAAGTGAAAGCCTGTGTGTCAGAGCCTGTCCCCACACCCCACAGTGTCCTCATCTGGAAGCCTGGAGTCCTATCCAGGATGTAAGAGACAGAGGTAGTCTGTCACCAAGCAAAGGAGATGACAGGCAGGCAAAGACCCCAAGGGGCAGCATGGATGGATGAGGAGGAGGGGAAAAAGGAGATGACAACTCCTCAAGGATATGTCCTTCTATAACCCCACAGACCATCTCCAAGACATCAGCCCTAAGGTCAAAACCTAGAACTATAACACCTCAGAAGGCACACCGACAAGGCTGACCTATAGTCTGGGAGTCAGGTGATGCAAAGGGGCCACCATAATAAACTGGGAGAAAAGGAGGTCAGTTCTCAGAAAGTGCATTTTGACTTGAGACAATGGGATCTCAGTCTTCCATGACTACTAGTCCAGAAATTATATCGGGATACAGTTGTGTAGGAGAGAAGGTATGAAAATATATAACAAGCAGAGGTTAGTAGTGACCTCACCCCCACAAGACCCAGAACTCCCCCACCCTTCCTTTTTTCCATTGAATTTATGATATCAATAAAGTGCTCCTTACATCATTCTACTGTGATGGGGCTCTGGAGGCTGGGGTGCTCCAGATGGTAGGTGTAGACATCTCCATGCTCGGGTATTATTTCTAGCATTACAAGAATCTGGTAGGTCTAATCCCTATTCTGAATAGGTGTGGATACAACTCCAGCAGTCTGCTCCTGTTTTTTCTGGAACCATCTGAGTTTCACTTGGCAAGGAAAGAAATTTGTCACCAAACAGACCAGCAAATTGTGATGGCTGACCTCTGTCTTAGCTGGGGAGATGGTCACTGCAGGCTCCACTAGGAGGAATGACAACAGGAAAAGAAACTTAGAGGGTAAGGCAGCAAAGAAATCCTCAACATGGGCTCACATCCCTCCTTTGATACTAAAGTGGAAAAGATAGCAGATATTAACTAGTCTTCTACTCCAATCCCAGATCTAGGTTTTAATTAGCTAACTTGTTAGCCTACTCTTTAGAAAAGCAATACTTTTATTCAGTGGTCACTTGTTTATTAAACCAGATCATTCATGTGAAAGCTCTTTGTAACATAGACTGATAATATTTCAAATACTCGTATATACATATATGTGTAGGTATATGTACTTGCCTTCTTATGTCTGGTAAAAATAATAATTAAAAAAGATCTGACAATGTGTAACTATGTGTGATTTCTTACAAAACAAAGATCTTCATGTTTAAGTAAATCTTTAGCTCCATTATTCACAGGTTTTAGGGAAAACTGGCTAGCCATATGCAGAAAACTGAAACTGGACCCCTTCCTTACACCTCATACAAAAAAATTTTGACTTTTCTATTTCTCCTTTCATTTCTATCTGCTTTTGTCTCATGTATTTCGATGCTCTGTTGTTAGGTGCATACACACTTAAGATTGTTATGTGTCTTTGGAGAAATAACCCCTTATCATTAAATAATATCCCTCTTTATCCCTGGTAATATTCCTTGTTCTGACATCTACTTTGTCTAGTATTGACATAATTATCTCATTGTGGTTTTGATTTGCATTTCTCTAATGACCAGTGATGATGAGCTTTTTTTCATATGTTTGTTAGCCACATAAATGTCTTCCTTTTGAGAAGTGTCTGTTCATATATTTTCACCACTGTTTGATGGGGTTGTTTTTTTTCTTGTAAATTTGTTTAAATTCCTTGTAGATTCTGGATATTAGCCCTTTGTCAAATTGATAGATTGCAAAATTTTTCTCCCATTCTGTAGGTTGTCTATTCACTCTGATGATAGTTTCTTTTGCTGTGCAGAAGCTCTTTAGTCTAATTAGATCCCATTTGTCAATTTTGGCATCTGTTGCCATTGTTTTTGATGTTTTAAAGTCTTTGCCCATGCCTATATCCTGACTGGTATTGCCTAGGTTTTCTTCTAGGGTTTTTATGGTTTTAGGTTTTATGTGTAAGTCTTTAATCCATCTTGAGTTAATTTTTGGATGAGGAGGAGGAGAAAAAGGGGCAGCAACTCCTCAGGAGTATGTCTTTTTATAACCCCACAGACCACCTCCAAGACATCAGCCCTAAGGTCAAAGCCCAGAACTTCAACACATCAGAAGGCACACCAACAAGTCTGACCTGCAGCCTGGGAGTCAGGTGATGCAAAGGGGTCACCATAAAAACCTGGGAGAAAAGGAGGTCAGTTCTCAGTATGTCCTTTTGACTTAAGAAAGTGGTCCAATTTCAGTTTCTGCATATGGCTAGCCAGTTTTCCCAACACCATTTATTAAATAGGGAATCCTTTCCCCATTGCTTGTTTTTGTCAGGTTTGTCAAAGATCAGATGGTTGTAGATGTGTGGTGTTACTTCTGGGGCCTCTGTTATGTTCCATTGGTCTATATATCTGTTTTGGTGCCAGTACCATGCTGCTTTGGTTATTGCAGCCTTCTAATATAGTTCAAAGTCAGATAACGTGATGCCTCCAGATTTGCTATTTTTGCTTAGGATTGTCTTGGCTATACGGGCTCTTTTTTGGTTCCATGTGAAATTTAAAGTAGTTTTTTCTAATTCTGTGAAGAAAGTCAATGGTAGCTTGATGAGGATAGCATTGAATCTGTAAATTACTTTGGCCAGTGTGGCCATTATCACAATACTGATTTTTCCTATCCATGAGCATAGAATATTTTTCCATTTGTTTGTGTCCTCTCTTATTTCCTTGAGCAGTGGTTTGTAGTTCCCCTTGAAGAGGTCCTTCACATCCCTTGTAAGTTGTATTCCTAGGTATTTTATTCTCTTTGTAGCAATTATGAATGGGTGTTCACTCATGATTTTGTTCTTTGTTTGTCTGTTATTGGTATATAAGAATGCTTGTGCTTTTTGCACATTGATTTTGTATTCTGAGACTTTGCTGAAATTGCTTGTCAGCTTAAGGAGATTTTGGGCTGAGATGATGGGGTTTTTTAAATATACAATCTCTTGCCAGTCAGAATGGTGATCATTAAAAAGTCAGGAAACAACAGATGCTGGAGAGGATGTGGAGAAGTAGGAACGCTGTACACTGTTGGTGGGGGTGTAAATTAGTCCAACCATTGTGGAAGACAGTGTGGCGATTCTTCAAGGATATAGAACCAGAAATATCATTTGACCCAGCAATTCCATTTTGGTCATATACCCAAAGGATTATAAATCATTCTACTATAAAGATACATGCACATGTATGTTTATTGCAGCACTGTTCACAATAGAAAAGACTTGGAACCAACCCGAATGCCCATCAATGATAGATTGGATTAAGAAAATGTGGCACATATACACCATGGAATACTATGCAGCCATAAAAGAGAATAAGTTCATGTCCTTTGCAGGGAAATGAATGAAGCTGGAAATGATCATTCTCAGCAAACTAACACAGGAACAGAAAACCAAACACCATATGTTCTCACTCATAAGTGGGAGTTGAACAATGAGAACACATGGACACAGGGAGGAGAACATCAAGAAAAAAACACAGAATATTATAACACTGCAACTGTGGTGTGTAAACTACTCTTATTCTAAGTAGTAAGACTACGTGATGAACCAATAAAAAATAATAACTACAACAAGTTTTCAAGACATAGTACAATAAGATATAAATAGAAAAAACAAAAAGTTAAAAAGTGGGGAGATGAAGTTAAGGCAAGTTTTTATTAATTTTCTTTTGATTTTGTTTGCATGGTATACAGTTTCATTCATTTTACTTTTAATGTAGGTATGCCTTTATATTTAAAATGGGTTTCTTGTAGACAGATTATAGTTCAATTGTGCCATTTTTACTGTCTGATCTTCTTTATCATTTAATTGGTGTGTCTAGGCCAATTATATCTATGAAATTATCAACATGGTTGGATTATTTTTGCTAGATATTTTTTATTAATTCTATTAAACGTTTGTTCATTTTCAAAATTGTTTTTCTGCCTTCTTTTGGATTAGTTTTTGCCCTAGGATTTTACATTTATGTATAATATACTTTCAAATATACCTTAGCTCAGTATGCTCCAAATTTCTCTCTCTCTCATTCATTGTGCAATTGTTATCATATACTTTTTTATATTCCATAAACACACAATATATTGCTACTAATTTTGCTCTAGACCCTCTGTTACCTATAAGGTAACCTTTCAAAGACAATTCCGTTTGTTATTTAATATCATCCCCACCAATTCTTTGTCAGTAACAACTCCTATATGAATGAACTAGTTGCTTTAAACAGCTCTCTTAAATAAACTACACAATAACAAAAAAATAGTATGGGGAAAATACTGCTCCCTAATAGTCTTCTGTGGGAAAACACGCAAAATTACTCCCATGTGCAGATCTGCTTTCACCATAGCCCCAGGTTACTCTTCAGCTAAACAGAATAGGTTATTTGATAAAGACTTTGTGCAGAGACTATAGTATGTAATCAATAAATACTTGTTGAGTTGAAGTGAAATTCTTAATTCATCTGAATCAGGTTGTAGAACTGACTACTGGGAAACAGATAATATTCCTCACGCCTAATAGTGATTGATTCTTTTCCTAGGAGCTCTCCAATCCTAATGTACATATTGTGAACGTTCTTTGAATAGATCTTTTCATTTATTTATTTTTAGAGACGGGGTCTTGCTACTGAGACAGCCAGGTGGGAAGGGGTCCCCAGATAAATTCCAGCCAGCCTGAGCACTGGGAGGAGTGCAAACTGGGACGGAGCCACAGAAGTTTGCACCATTTGCGGCAGGGAGGAGACTGACCCCTCTTCTTTGGGTGGAACGTGGAATTCAATCTGTGAGGTGGGAAGCCCACTGGCAGAAAAAAATGCATTCTCTCACTTTGCTAAGAGCCTCTGTTTCCCCTTTTCTTCCTTTTCACCCAATACTCAACCTTCAAGTTGTCCTACTCACCCTTCAAGTTGTCTGTGAACGTAATTTCTTGTGGCTGTGTGGCAAGGACGCTGTCATTAGCTGAACTAAGGAAAAGTCCTGTAACACTATGTTTCCCAGGCTGGCCTCAAACTCCTTGGCTCAAGTGATCTTCCTACCTCAGTCACCTGAATTGCTGGGAGTATAGGCACACACCTCCACAGTCAGCTGTACAGTTATTTTTACTTAGCATTAGTGATTTTAAAATGACAAATAATTTTAAATGGAAACTTTAAAAGCAAGTGTTTATATGAAATTATTCATATGTATTTACCAAAGGTCATCATGTATATGTAAAGCATTTTACCTAGAAATTTTAAGTTGTGATTTTGCCAGAACATTAAAAACAGAAATAATAACACAAGAATAATTCAAATGTTTTAATAACTGACAACTTTAGGGAAAAATGAATCCAGATATGTGTGATGTTTGGGGATTTTGAAAAATACCTCAAACAAAAGAAATATTTTATAAATTATTTACAATGATACAAGTTGAGTAAAAATTATTCTTGCTATAGTATTTCTCTAAAAGTATCCCATTGACTAAAGAAGATTGGCAAGGACAATCTTGCACCTGAGAGATGGTGGAGCTTGAAAGGCTTACAATGGGCACTAAAGAGAGAAGATGGGGGCAGGGGAATGCTTCCACTCTCATTTGTCCTCCTCTCCGCGCCTATGCACTTGAGATAGTCATGCATTCATTATTATCTTTGAGTCGTGGGAATATTGGTGTCCATGGGATTTTTGCACCATAAGAAATGTAAAAGGAAGACCTTCACACGGTAGCCATATGATATCACATAGAAACCTGGATCTATACAAAGAAATAAACGCTGGAAATGAAACATTTTTTCACATTTAAAAAATGGTCTAAAATGAGGCTTCTCAACCTCAGAACTGTTGGCATTTTGTTTCAGGTGATTATTTTCTTGTAGGAGGCTACCATGTGCATTGCAGGATGTGTAACAGCACCCCTGGCCTCTACCCAATACCTGCCAGTAGCACCCTCCCCAGTAATGACAACAAAAGTATCTCCAGACATTGTCAAACATCACTTGCAGGAATTTTCTATTGGCCCCATTTTAGAATGTCTGTCTTACAGAATCATACGAAGATACTAAATCGTTGTTGGAAGTCATTAAGTTTTGGAATAGTTTGTTACATAGAAAAATCTGACAGATACAACAGTCTTCAAAGAAATTCTGTTTCCTAGAAATCTCTTAGTGTTTCTGTGGCTCACAGGCTCCTATATGCCTGGAGTGCCACAGGGAGAAGCTTAAATGAATGAAGAAAAAGTAATAGTCTGTCCCAGCCCAATATGTGATGTTACTATCATTATCATTATTAATATTTGTCTTTATGTAGCAGCTCCCACTTGGGAATAGTTGCTAGGTGTCAGACACTGGCCTGTATTTAACTGTATAATTTGTACCTATCTATCATTTCATCATATTAATTATCTTCTAATAGTTTTCATCCCACATTATAGAAAATAACCCTAAGGCTCAGGTATTCTGAGTGGCTTGCCAAGGGTGATGGAGCTGATAAAATCAAAAGCAGCATGGAATACATATTTATTTTATTACAAAATCTATAATATTTTTATTTTGCTATTCTAGACTCTGTTATTGTTGTGAAGCACCTTTAACTACTGCAAGATAGAAGTCTTGGCCTTCAGAGTAAAATTTCATCAATGCATAAAATTAGACCTAAAGATAGGGTCTTAGAGAATGTTATAACTGCTCCTTAGAACTAACATAATTTCTGCCTAATTTCTTAGAGGGCCCTTAATAATATCAATTGTAATGGCATATCCCATTGATATTTTAGTTACGAAATCAATGGCATGTCAATTAGTGCTTTCTAAGAAAGTTATTAGACAAAGTAGTATTTTGAGCTCCAAATTTTACTCTCATTATTACTTTATGAAAAGGACTTTTTCTTTTTTCTTTTCTCTTTTCTTTTCTTTTTTTTTTTTTTTTTTTTTTTGAGATGGAGTCTCGCCCTGTCACCAGACTGGAGTGCATGGAGTGTAGTGGTGCGATCTCGGCTTACTGCAACCTCCGCCTCCCGGGTTCAAGCGATTCTCCTGCCTCAGCCTCCCGAGTAGTAGCTGGGACTACAGGCGCGTGCCACTACACCCAGCTAATTTTTTTTTGTTTTTGTTTTTGTTTTTGTAGAGATGGGGTTTCACCATGTTGGCCAGGATGGTCTCGATCTCTTGACCTTGTGATTCGCCTGCCTCAGCCTCCCAAACTACTGAGGACCTTTTCTATTTCTACAAGACAAAAGTAAGAAATTGGTTTCTGTTAAAATGGTATACTGTTCTTCTGAGTCTAATTTACTGATTATTCTATCTTGCATTAAAATTATGACCTGAAAACAGAAGCAAATAGAACAAGGTTCGCTGTATTCTGGCTGGATGAAGCAGGAGGAGGAGAGGGACACAAAACCAGTTAAAGATAGAAAGGGCATCTATTATCTTTTAGTCAATGACGTGGCCTTGCTTGGACTTTCCCTCCATCCCACAGGATGTGAGATCTGAGACTGAACCCACGACTTCCCTTCTAAGATACAATTCTGATCCCACATTTAACACCCTAACTTCCTAATTAGAGTTGAGTTTTTTAAACTGTAATATTAATAGGGGAAATTCTGGAGTACTATCAGGAAAGATTTAGTTCATTTGCCAAAATCTTAAGGAATTTCTGTCAGATACAAAGCAGGTAAGTCTGGATACAGGGGAAAAAAGATAGAAATGTGTTATTTACTACACAGCAAAGAGGATGCTGCACGGTGAAGGGAGCAGAGCTCAACTGCAACCTCAAAAACCCTCTTAGTTCACAATGGCAGTGGCTAGAAAGAGTAATAAGGCCATGTATAGTGTCATATATCTCTCCTAATCGTATTAGGGCACTTACTCTGAATCCACACAGAAGGAGACACCCCTCACCCCTCACCCCTCATGAGGAATCATGGCTTGCCCCTGTAGCATCCCATCTCTACTACTTACGAGCCATGTGACCCTGGGAAAAGTCCTTTACCTCTCTGAGTTTTAATGTCCTCCTTGAAAAATGTGGATGATACTAAAGTATGACAAGTATTTATAAAGAGTAATTCATTCCAAGTGCAGTATATGTACATTCCTCACAACTGCCTAATGAGGTACCATCAGTGCCTCCGGCCAAAGACCACGAAGAGCATATCCTTGAATGAACAAGTTGGCTTTATTGTTCATTGCAATGATGGAGAAAAGTCACCATGGGGAATCATGCAGCAGTTCAGTAAGAGATTGTTGGAACCAAAGAAGTAGAACTAGGAGAACACATATATTAAGAGAATGACTGAAAGGAATTAATTTGTGCAACTGTGGGGGTGGACTAGGCAAGTCTAAGACCCACTGGGAGGTGGTCATCAGGAAAGGCAGGTTGAAATTCTTAGCACTGGCTGACGCGCTGTCCACAGTGGAATTTCTGTTTCCTCAGAGAAGCCTCAGCTCTGCTCTTGAGACTTTTCAACTGCTTAGACTAAGCTCACCCAATTTATCTCAGATAAATTCATACTTAAAGTTAACTGATTATGAACTTTAATGACATCTACAAATTATCGTCACAGCAACACCTAGATTATTAGTGTGTGAATAACTGGGGACCACAGTCCAGTCAACACATAAAATTGACCATTAATCAATTGTAAGATTTGTGCTTGTGTTAGGTAATTTTGAGGAGGATTTAAGAAAGAGGGACTTCATTTTTAACTGGATTCTGACAGAAAGCAGGGAGTGGGGATGGCAATACTATGATTGGGTAGCTTCATAAATACTACCTAGAAGGACGGAAGACTATCCTGAGGCTACGGCTGTCATTGGTAAAGAAGCAGCAATCACTCTTTCGAGAGATGTGCCTGGTTATTTTTGTAGTTTGGACAATATTCATGTTTTGTCCGGGTGCAGACGTGATGACTGAGTGGCCTTATTTTCTGTCTCAATCCATCGCACTCACAGACTACCTGTCTGATTCTGATGTTCTATGAAATTGATTATCTTCAACGGGAGAATCAAAACCAGCTGTGAATACAAGGCTAGCTCCTAGCAACCCCAAGGCCTTGTTAATTGCATCCAGGCAGCCCCCAGGTATCAGGACACTTTTTTATTTTACCTTTTTTTAGTCTCTGCCACTGGGAGGCAAGACAACATGCTGAGAATCTCAGAAGGCCATTCGACAAGGACAGAGTGATTCTAAATGAAACCTCCATTACTAACTTGTTGTTTCTATAACATACAGAAAATAGATTCATCTGAAAAAAGGTAAGTTTCCCTGTAATGACTACCTTTTAGCTCATTCCCTAGTCCCTTGCAATATCTGAAATCTTAATGTGGTTGGATAACAAATATGAAAAGATCCAGTAGTTTAAGAAAAGTAAACCTATTTTCTAAGTTAAAGCAATTCTCCTTATTCTACTCTCAATATTTGACTTGACATTCTTAAATTAAAAAAAAAAAAATTACTGGCCGGGCGCGGTGGCTCACATCTGTAATCTCAGGACTTTGGGAGGCCGAGGCGGGCAGATCACGAGGTCAGGAGATCGAGACCATCCTGGCTCACACGGTGAAACCCCATCTCTACTAAAAATACAAAAAATTAGCTGGGCGTGGTGGTGGGCGCCTGTAGTCCCAGCTACTCGGGAGGCTGAGGCAGGAGAATGGCGTGAACCCAGGAGGCAGAGCTTGCAGTGAGCAGAGATAGCACCACTGCAGTCCGGCCTGGGCCAAAGAGCGAGACTCCGTCTTAAAATAAATAAATAAATAAAATAAAATAAAATAAATTATTAGAGTAATTGAGCCAGCCAAAACTTTTTTAATGTAATCAATGTCCCTAAATTTCCTTTAAATATATTCAAGCAGCACCGAAACACAGAGCATAAAGATTACTAGAAGCAAAAGAAAAAACTGTGTAAAAGATCGGTTACTGTAGGCAGCACCGCATGACAGTCTAACCCCTTTAATTGCCCTGGTCAAAAACACCTGGAGCTTTTGAGAACTTACCCAACTGGATTTATACAAGTAGAAAAGGCAAAGGTATTGCTTGGCTACCACCAGCAGAGATCCCTAGGAAGGTGGGGTCAAGTCAAAATTTGGGGAATACCATATACACTATGGAAGCAAAAAGAAAAACAGCTAACCCACATACAGAAGCCAGAGAAAGGGGAGGGGATGGGGACTGCCAGGGAGGAAAACCACTTCAGGGAAGAATTCCTGGAGAATGTAACCCAGAAAACCCTGAAGGATGCCATATTATTGATGACCTTACCTATCCAAGCGGCTGCTCGGAAATTCCCGCCCCTCTTGACACTAGCAGACATGCACACATGACAGAAGATTCAGATTTAGTATCTTCCCTTTATTTATAGAAAATTTCCTCAAGACCATGCTGTGTGGAGGATGTGTCAGAACCAGAGGATGTCCCTGTCTTCTTCCAGGGCTCTTAATATAAACTCTGCAACTGGCAAACAATATGTCACCATAGGGGATTTTTCTGATTGGCCAAAACCTGACCTGGCAGGGTTTGGTTTGGGTGTCTTCAGATTTGCTTGTCTCGAGGTCCTCACAATTGCTCTGCAGCTCAGAGCAGCAACTGCTGAGGCTGCCTTGGGAAGAAGATGATCCTAAACAAAGCTCTGCTGCTGGGGGCCCTCGCCCTGACTGCCGTGATGAGCCCCTGTGGAGGTGAAGACATTGTGGGTGAGTGCATGAGTGAGGAATGTTCTCTGGAGCTGAAAAACAGTAAATTAAAGGAAAAGAAAGAGTGCAATTTGCTAAGAAATAGTAGAAATTTCCCAAGGGTCTTTTCAATATTAAGAAATTTTAAAATTATGGCAGTTCCTCCTTTAGGAAACCAGAGCTCCAACCGACTCTCTTTGCTACCTGTGCTATTGGAGTTTACCAAGGACGTTGTTCTGTTTATATTATATCCAGAGACTATAGCCTGGAGGTCTGTGTGGCATTCCATCATGATTGCCTCAAAAACTAGGGATGTTTCCATGAATGGAGTATTTTTTTGTTATTAAAAATTTCTGAACTGTTACTCCCAAATTTCTCTGAACAACTTTTGAAGCTTTTCATATGCCTCCTATAGCATATGTTGGGGTAGATAGTTCCATGAAGTATGTACACTCTGTAGATATAAAGAAAGAGGTTCTTTTCTTTCTCTCAGACTTACATTTCCACATGGGAATTGGCACAGGTGGGGAGTAGGTGAAAGAGCCCAGCAGGCTGAATGCCTTCAACAATCATTTTACCACGTGGTAAATGTGGTACTTACTCTCTGCTACCTCATATATGTCACCTCGCTTATGATCAAATAAAATGGGCATGTAGATATGCTTTATGAATAGTAAAAACACGAATGTCAACTTTTTTTAACTTATTTCTATTACAGGTATAACTTCTTATTTTTTCTTTAGCAAAGTAAGGAATATATTTTAAAACTGAGAACTTTATGATAAAATGCTTGGTAAATTAAATTATTTTATTCTCAAATTGTCAACCCAAATTACTTGTTCTTCACCTTATCTAATGAAGTCTTATAAAGAGAAAAATGGGCAGGCACAGATTAATTATTTGGTCCCTTAGTCCCCTCTGCCTTTGTCGTCCATCTCTTCCCACCTCTCTTCATGCATCCCTTTCTCCCTCTTCCCTTTCAGGATCCATCTCTGACTCCCTGCTCCTTTACAGACATGGGCAGTGAGTTTGTAAAACAAAAGTTGGAAAGTCAAATAGTTAAAAGGGGAAGTGAACTGGAAGCTACTCGAAACTTCCACAACCTTATTAACCATGGCTGCTCCCATTCTGATTTTGTTTGGCAGTGGAAGTTTCACCTGCTTCTCCAGAGCACTTGGCTTTTTTGTTTCAAATCTCCTTTCTTCAACCTCACACCAGAGTGCCCCGGTGAGGCTCGACTTATCCATTAGGAACAGTGTGGGCAGTGAAGGAGAGTTTCCAAACTGTAAAGCTACAAGAGAACGTTTTAACTCGTTTTAAAATTAGAAGAAAAATGAAGTTTTACAGTCTATGAAAATGTTTTAACTTTTTTTTTTTTTTTGACGGAGTCTCGCTCTGTCGCCCAGGCTGGAGGGCAGTGGCGCGATCTCGGCTCACTGCAAGCTCCGCCTCCCGGGTTCACGCCATTCTCCTGCCTCAGCCTCCCGAGTAGCTGGGACTACAGGCGCCCGCCACCGCGCACGGCTAATTTTTTGTATTTTTAGTAGGGACGGGGTTTCACCGTGTGAGCCAGAATGGTCTCGATCTCCTGACCTCATGATCCGCCCGTCTCAACCTCCCAAAGTGCTGGGATTTGTACAGGCGTGATCCACCGCGTCCGGCCTTAACTTTTAATGTAGCCTGGATTGTATTTGTCTTTATACCAATACAATCAGAAGCTGTAATTTTCCGTATTTTTATGGAGGAAGGCGCCCACAAAAGCAACAGTGCTCGGGGCTCACAAGTCAGAATTCAGCCCTGGGCATCCCTGATCCTGGGCTTTGCGTGGTTCTGCTACCTGGGTGCCTGTCAGTCTTCCCCAAAATCTATGTAATTGTCAAAAATTGCAATTGTCATTCAATACACATGTTTGAGCACACAATGAGCTAACTTTTGGGAATTCAAAGATAAAAAATCATGCTGTCTGCCTTGCAGAGGGTGCACAAACCAGTGATGGAAACAGTATGGGGCACAGGAAAGCAGAAGGCCCTGCTGAGCAGGACAGTGGCCCAGCAGAGGCTGAAACTATAAAAATGACTTGGTTCCAGCTGGGCCAGTAGAGTGATGTCCTCCAGCAACACTCAGCACCCAGGACAAGTACCAGATGAAAAGAAGGATTGCATGTATTCCACATATATTCATGTTTGAACAAGGAGTCAAAGTTTATTGTAAGGATAAGGAGTCTTTGTTGGTGGCCTGTTAAGTAACCAACCAGGGCAGTCATGCTGGGTAGGGAAGAAGGTGAGCTGGAGGAGGAACAGACAAACTTGGAGAGCCAGACATTGAGATTCCATTGAGGCGTTGGAGGTCACAACGCGGTCAAAAACATGTTGAGAGCACTTAGCTGCAAAGTTGTTAACTAAGTAGAAACCTCAAGGATGAATTTTAGGATTTCTCCAGGAAATCCTAAAAGATAACTTATTTCAGGGAGAAAAAACAGACCCTTGCAAAGACATGAAAGGAAATGTAGTTTGGTTTGATTGGCAGATAGTTGTGAAGAATGTCGGACTGTAAGGCTGTCGATATCCTCCTCACAGAACTCCCCAAAGTACATTGTATTTGCTCCCTTACCGACCTGATTCTCCCACTATTCAGTTCATTCCTTGATGCTGTTTTAAGCAACCCCTGCTCTGTCTGACACTTTTGGATGCTCAGTAAATGAGGAAGGAAGGAAGGAAAGATAAAATGGTAAAGGGCTCACACATGTCTTAACAAAAATGTCCAGTTCGGCTCATTTGGCTATACTTCATGGCTGCTGCTCTGCCCTTGCATCCTCGGATAAGCTCACTGCCCATTAGAGGAAAAAGGGTTTAATTTACCTGAGTCCTCGAGTGAATGTAATTGTTGAATCAGAACACTATAGACATTTAGTAACCTCCTTCAGAGGAAAAAAAAAAAAGTGGGGGCAATGACAGAAATTAAAAAACCAGTCGAGCTTCCACTTTTCATTTCAGAAGAAATCAGGTGCTCTCCTCTAAGGACCACTACTATTAACAAAACAGAGACCTTAGAAGAATTGTTTATTTGTTATAAATGTATAATGTTGCTATTCTTGTAATAGTCTTTCTCGTACCCTATAATTGTTAGAAGAAATTCTTTTAAGTTAATACGTTCCTACATGCTTTTCTTTGGTTTAAAAAAAAAAGAATAAAGGAAACTCTGTGTAGAAAGTGTCCTGTTCTGATCTAGTCCTGACAGGAAACGAAGTATAATCAACTTGTTATTAACTGAGAGAGAAAACTTAGGAAGCAGAGGGAAATAAACTGAATCTCTGAGTAAGAAAACTAAATCCTATGATAACTCATTCATTCCTTCCTTCCTTTGTTTATTGCAATATTCATCATAAGCTTATGATGTGCCAGGCACTAAGTAGGCACTCAGGAAATAACAGACGTGTGACGTTCTGCCTTTGTGGAGCATATGTTATAGTGAGAAAGACAGAATCAGTTCTAACCTGATGACTACCAACGTTAGGCAAGGAGGAAGCAGGTGTTAGGAAGATTGTTCAGGGACTGTGCCAAAGATGAAGCCCATAATATTTGAAAGTGAGTTTCTTCAATCACTTTCTGTATTAAGGTTCTTTCTCCCTGTGTTCCACCCTCCTGCTTGTCACCTTCACTCGTCAGCTGACCATGTTGCCTCCTATGGTGTGAACTTCTACCAGTCTCACGGTCCCTCTGGCCAGTACACCCATGAATTTGATGGAGATGAGGAGTTCTACGTGGACCTGGAGACGAAAGAGACTGTCTGGCAGTTGCCTATGTTTAGCAAATTTATAAGTTTTGACCCGCAGAGTGCACTGAGAAATATGGCTGTGGGAAAACACACCTTGGAATTCATGATGAGACAGTCCAACTCTACCGCTGCCACCAATGGTATGTGTCCACCATTCCGCCTCTCTTTACTGAAACTAATCTTTCATACCAAGTTTTACTCCCTTCTTCTCAAGAGATTTCCAGATCTTCTCATGGTAATTGCTGAAATTTTATCATCTCCCATCTCTAAAATCACATATTCCCATGTAATACAAGGGTCTTTCCATTATGTATTAATTCCTACTTTATTAAACATGCCCACAGAGAGAAGGGCACAGGAATAAAGCAGAGGCAATGTGTCGTTGCTCCCAAGCAGAAGGTAAATAAGACCTCTTTGACTATCAGGTGGTGAAATGCTGGTAGGAGGGCTCTTCCAGGATGTAATGCAGAAGCTCATGGCAGAGCTATTCACACTTCACATCAGTGCTGTTTCCTCACCACAGAGGTTCCTGAGGTCACAGTGTTTTCCAAGTTTCCTGTGACGCTGGGTCAGCCCAACACCCTCATCTGTCTTGTGGACAACATCTTTCCTCCTGTGGTCAACATCACCTGGCTGAGCAATGGGCACTCAGTCACAGAAGGTGTTTCTGAGACCAGCTTCCTCTCCAAGAGTGATCATTCCTTCTTCAAGATCAGTTACCTCACCTTCCTCCCTTCTGCTGATGAGATTTATGACTGCAAGGTGGAGCACTGGGGCCTGGACGAGCCTCTTCTGAAACACTGGGGTAAGGATGAGTTCCACCACTTCATGGGTTTCTAATAATAGACTTCACTCTTCTCCCTAAGCCTGGGGCCTTGAGTCTTGCAGAGCCAGCCCTCCACCCCATCCCATCCCACACACATGCACATGAGCACACTGCACATTCTGACCTCAACAGCTCCACTTTCACAGAGCCTGAGATTCCAGCCCCTATGTCAGAGCTCACAGAGACTTTGGTCTGCGCCCTGGGGTTGTCTGCGGGCCTCATGGGCATTGTGGTGGGCACTGTCTTCATCATCCAAGGCCTGCGTTCAGTTGGTGCTTCCAGACACCAAGGGCTCTTGTGAATCCCATCCTGAAAAGGAAGGTAAGATTGAGATTTGTTGGAGCTGAAACCTCAGTATGAGAGGGAGGAAAGTGGGAGGGGGTTGTGGACATGAATGTGGTTGAAAGTTGTAGGCGAATTGGGAAGTGGCATGATGATCACACAGGAGGCCCCTCAGACCCATCGATCTCATGTCTGTCCTGTTGCAGGTGCATCACCATCTACAGGAGAAGAAGAATGGACTTGCTAAATGACCTAGCACTATTCTCTGGCCTGATTTATCATATCCCTTTTCTCCTCCAAATGTTTCTTCTCTCACCTCTTCTCTGGGACTTAAGGTGCTATATTCCCTCAGAGCTCACAAATACCTTTCAATTCTTTCCCTGACCTCCTTTCCTGAATTTTTTTATTTTCTCAAATGTTACCTACTAAGGGATGCCTGGGTAAGCCACTTAGCTACCTAATTCCTCAATGACCTTTATCTAAAATCTCCATGGAAGCAATAAATTCCCTTTTATGATGCCTCTATTGAATTTTTCCCATCTTTCATCTCAGGGCTGACTGAGAGCATAACTTAGAATGGGCGACTCTTATGTTTTAGGCCAATTTCATATCATTCCCCAGATCATATTTCATGTCCAGTAACACAGGAGCAACCAAGTACAGTGTATCCTGATAATTTGTTGATTTCTTAACTGGTGTTAATATTTCTTTCTTCCTTTTGTTCCTACCCTTGGCCACTGCCACCCACCCTTCAATTCAGGTACCAACGAACCCTCTGCCCTTGGCTCAGAATGGTTATAGCAGAAATACAAAAAAAAAAAAAAAAAAAAAAAAAAGTCTGTACTAATTTCAATATGGCTCTTAAAAGGAATGACAGAGAAATAGGATACAAGAATTTTGAATCTCAAAAGTTATCAAAAGTAAAAAATTTTGTTACCAAAAGTCAAACTGCATTCTCAAAACTTTAAATTTGTGAAGAATGACAACAGTAGAAGCTTTCCTCTCCCCTTCTCACCTTGAGGAGATAAAAATTCTCTAGGCAGGAAAAGAAATGGAAGCCAGTTAGAAAAACATTGAAATAAGGCCAGGCACGGTGGCTCACACCTATAATCCCAACACTTTGGGAGGCCAAAGTGGGCAGATCACTTGTGGTCAGGACTTCGAGACCAGCCTGGCCAACGTGGTTACACCCTGTCTCTACTAAAAATACAAAAATTAGCTGGGCATGGTGGTGGGCACCTGTAATCCCAGCTACTCAGGAGGCTGAAGCAGGAGAATCGCTTGAACCTGGGAGGTGGAGGTTGCAATGAGATTGTGCCACTGCACTCCAGCCTGGGCAACAGAATGAAACTCCATCTCAAAAATAAATAAATACATATAAATAAATTTTTTAAAAAAGAAAAATATTAAAATAAGGCAATAATATAAGTGGGTATCTGAAAAGGAACAAATGCTTGTTCCTTACTTAGGGTTAGTGACAATGGAAAACGGATAGAAGTAGAAGCTACAGACCTATTTAGGGGCCCCAGCCCCCTGCTCCTCACCTTTCCTGGCTAAGGAAAGCATGAGCCTATGAGAGAGAGATCCTAGGAAGAACAAGACAGTTGAGACAATGTAGCAGCAGTAGTGGGTGCTCTGTCCTACACTGGATTCGTGGTCTCCTAATAGAAAATCTCTCAGAGGAAATGGGTCCACAGGGACCTGAGGGCTCTAAACAGCTATGAAATCTGCCAGGATATTTCTGTCCATGCTATCTGCATCAGTGAGTTTAAAATGTAATAGGAGAAAAAAAAAAGACAAAACATTAACATAATAATTGATACAGCATAGTTTTGTACAAAGAAACCTAAATCTAAATACATGACTCAGTATTTTGAAGCTAATATTTTAAACTCTACTGGGTAAAGTATCTGATTGACATTTCTGAACCTTATTTTTCTCATCCACAATGTGGGAGTGATAATATTTTCCTTGCAGAGTTATTGACGGAATTTGAATAATCTTGGTATATAGACAGTGCCTTACACATACTATATAAATACATAAGAAAACACTGCAGTTATGTTTATAATGGATTTATTAAAAAGAATGGATCATATTATATGAAAAGTACATTTGTTTTCCTTAGCCCTTTAGTGATTTAGGAGATTCAAGTGTAGACGTAAAAGTGAGTTTCTTTTCATATGTTAACTGGAGGATTTTTTTCTTTCTTGAGAGGCTGAGATTGGGTTGCTAAGAGAACTCTTAGGACAAGAAGTTGTAATATTTGGCTTCGGTTTTTAACTCTCTAAGGGGTATATTCCCTCCTTATGGCCCATAAATTTTAAGTCAAGGTGAATTATATGCAACAGCAGTTTATCCATATTTACTTTGGGGAGGAGGTGGGGAGACTCCGGGAGAAAATAATTATAAATGCAGACTGGGAATTAGTAAGTGCAGGGAATCTGAACCAGTGGTGATCATGAAAACGTCCATCACAGAACACAGAGGATTTTTAGGGCAATGAAACTACTCTATTTGATACCACAATGGTGAATAAATATCATTATGCGCTTGCCCAAATCCATAGAATGTACAACACCAAGAATGAACCTTAGTATAAACTATGGACTTTGGGTGATAATGATGTGTCAGTGTAAGTTCATAAGTTGTAGCAAATGTACCTCTGTCGTGGAGGATGTTACTAGCGGGGGAGGCCATGCATGTGTGGGAACAGAGAGCATATGGGATACATCTATCTGTACTCTACAATTTTTCTGGGAACCTAAAACTTCTCTAAAATAAACTCTATTAAAAAAAAAAGAAAAGAAAAGGTCAACAATAATGATCCCAAATATATAAAATTAAAACTGTAGTATAAAAATGGTCACATGAAAATGCATGAACGTGCTAAGAACTTTTCTGCAATAGGATTTAAAATAAATTTTATATAAATTTCAATGATTCATGAGCCAAGAACCCAGCATTCTGGAGGTGTGTGCATTTGTGTGTGTGTGTCCGTGTGTGTGTGTGTGTGTGTGTGTGTGTGTGTAAGGCTTACATTGAATGGCATTATAACCAGAGTCATACAGAAATACACAAATGCTCCCCTGTTTAGAATCCTTCCCCAAGAAATACTGAGGAAAGCAAATATAATGGTAGTTGGATTTTACTGAAAGAATGTATTCAAAAAGTATTTATATAATGTTAAAATAGCATAGTTAAAAATAGTTTTATAAAATAGAGCAAATATATCTTTTTATCAGCTAAAAGTTCAAAGTGAAATCATCATTATTATTATAATATTATAAACAGTTATAAATCAGGCTGCATGATTTTAAATTAAATGATTCTTAAAAATTAATTGTTATCTGAATTATTTCAGATTACATACATAAAATATGACTTCATTAATAGGTAATATCACATTGTTTAAATTTTACAAAATTTCCAGTCACAATGGTTCATGCCTGTAATCTCAGCACAAGATGAGGGTCCCTTAAAGCCCAGGAGATGGAGACCAGTCTGTAGTCCCAGCTAGTAGGGAGGCTGAGGCAGGAGGATTGCTGCTTGAGCCCAGGAGTTCGAGGCTGCAGTGAGCTAGGATTGACTGCACCACTGCACTCGCTCCAGCCTGGGCAACACAGCGAGACCCTGTCTCTAAAAATAAATAAATAAATGAACGAATAAATAAAAATTACAAAACGTAAAAATCACGTAAAATATTTCAGGTTTGTACTTACCACATACAAACTAGAGATATGAAGAATTAAACATTACAAATAAAGCACTTCACACACAGACTGGCCCATAGTAAGCAGTTTATAGAAGTTAACAAATTTGTGTTATTGTTATTTTCTGGAGTCCAAGACAAAATCCCATGATGAATGACACCACAAGGATGTAAGCAACAAAATTCAGAATATGAGAAGTTCTACTAGATTAAATAAAAAGATTTCTCCAGCAAACAATTTGCAAAAAAAGTTAAAAATAGAGAAAAGAAAAGCTATACACTTGAAAAAGACTGAAGAAATATAGTAACCAAATGCTGAGCTTTGTCTAGATTCATATTCAAACAAAACATCTGTTAAAAAATTTATATGAGGCAATCAGAAAAATTGACACTGAGTGTATTAAGGAATTATTTATCTCGTTTTAAATGTGTTAGTGGCATTGCTGTTATGTTTCTAAAAAGCCATTATATTTTAGATTTCCATAATAAAAATGTATAAATGAAATATGATACCTAAAAATATCTTCAAAATAATCCAGTATGTGCCTGTATGATAACTGGGTGGGTTTACAAAATTGCTCATGAATTGATTATTGTTAAAGCGAGGCTGTTGATACATGGAATTCTTCTTTCTACTATTGCACACAGTTGAAATTTTCTGTAATACAAAGGTTTTTTTTTTTTTTAAATGTATTCAGGAAAGTCCCATAAACATAGGCAGACAAGCATTCTGTTTGAAGTTATGTTAGATTTTCAGGTTTTCTCATTTTTATCATATTTAGGAAACCCTGTCCAAGGCCTGCCTGCCCAAGACTGTAAGAACCTCTCAGGAATGCAACTGTAAAGAATGTGTATGCAGGAACTAATAATAACAAAGGAAAGCAAAGTAATGCTTGCTTTATTATTGGCTGGACTAAGCCCCCAGACTTGTTTATATATTCACTAATTCATCAAAAATGCAAAAATGGTCATTGAGTACCAGTGCTGTAATAAGTACTCATAGTTTGTTGAATGTTATTAAAATAATGGGAAAACAATTACATTCATTATCTTCATAGAACTTACATCCCAGTGGGAGGAAAATACATATATTACATAATTCCACAAACATAGTTACAAGGTCTGAAACATTTATAAAGAAAAAGAATGAGGTAAAATGAGAGAGTGTTGCACAGGAACCAGGTATAATTTGGGGCAGTTTAGAAGTGGCTTGAAGAAATGTATCTTGAGATGAAATAAGATGGTATACAGTAGGTAAAGGACAAGGTTGAAGAGGGCAGAGCAAATGTTTGAGAAACTCTTACAATATGAAAGAGAAGATGAGAATAAAATAACATGAAAATTATCACAGATTTAATAGAGAAAGTTCATGTAACAGCAAACAAGTTTAAAGTCATTCTAATTAGAATTCTTGATCTGTAAAAGTAATAATAGAATGCTAAAAACAATTGGAAAATTTAATAGAAAGATTGGAAAATTAAATCAAGAAAATCTCACAGTAATTTAAAAGGCAAAAAAAGTGTAATATATGGTAGAAACAATAAGATGGAGAACAGACCAAGGAAGTCCAAAATCAAGTGACAAAGCTAGAGAGACTGACAGGGAAGATGAAGGGAGAAAATGATCAGAACAAATAATAAGGGAAAATTTTCCAGATATGAAGGATTTAATTCTTCCATGGAATAGTCTTGTCAGGTATTTAGCAAAATTAACAGACTCACTTCTAAATAACTCATTTTCAAAATTTCAGAACTTCAGGTGTTAGAAAAGTCATAAAATATTCCAGTGGGGGAAACCAAAATGAAACAAACTGACAACAAACAAAATACTTCTATTATTAAGATAATGAGAAAGTCCTTGAAGTTCTAAAGGAAAATTATTTTTTAATAATAAATGTAGACCTTTTCAAAGTCACAATCAGGCATGGAGAAAGAATAAAAATACCTGTGAATGTGAAAGGACATAAAATTTACCTACCACGCAGAGTTTTACTAGAAATTGACTAAGGATATGACCAATTGAGATTGTTAATCAGGATATAGGAAGGTAAGGAATCCAGGAAACTGGGTTTAACCCAGGATCTCACTGAAAAGGGATCCTACTACAGCAGTTTCTTGGCAAGCAAAGAATACCTGACTACATAAGTGATATTTAGAAAGCAATAAACTTTTCTTTTCAAATTTAGAATTAAGCTGTGAGCAAAGCCCAAGGAATCTTATTGCTACAGCAGAATGTCAATATTTTCAGCTTTGACAATATTGGGGGAAAAAAAGATGTAGATACTTCATTTTGGCAAGTGGAAGCGTAAAGGAGAGGGGAAAGGGAGGGTAAAAATGCCAATAACTTCATCTTCCAAGAAGGAGGGGAAGAGGCATTGCCCATACTTACAGAAGTCACAAAGATCAATATATTTAAATTACAATCACAACTGGAAAAAGTATGTAAAATGACTCACGAATTAGAGCAAGGTTTTAGAAATTGGACTATTATTTCAGTTACAAAAAAAAAATGGACTGTTATCCTTCGGCCTAACTAAGCTATTCGGAAGCTGCAAGAGCCCCTCAGAGTTGGCCTAAATTAGAGCAGGCTTTTATACTCCTATACTGACCAATCATTATAGGTGAGTTCCTCCTGGGAAGTGGATCAAAATCCGATGAGGCAGCTTTCATCACCAAAGGCAATTCCGGGGCATGACTGACAGCTGAGGGCAGTCAGCCAGCAACATTCCCAGCAATGACAGAATAAATCTTTCAGTCTCAAAGGGAGGAGTTTAGGTACAGTGGAACAGCACTGACGACAGAAACACTGTTCTAGTTCCTGGGAGTACATATACATTCATGTGGAAGAAAACAAACAGATAAAATTCAGCATCTATTTAAAAATTAAAAATAAAACTACCACATGATCCAGCAGTTCCACTTCTGGGTACATATGCAAAGAAAATGAAATCTGTATCAAAGAGATATCTGCACTCCCGTGTTTATTGCAGCACTATTCACAATGGCCAAGAGATGGAATCAACCTAACTATCCATCAGCAGATGAATGGATAAAAAAAATGTGGTGCATATACACAATGGAATACTATTCAGCCTTATAAAAGAAGGAAATCTTGTCATTTATAGCATGGATGAACCCATTGGACATTATGCTAAGTGAAATAAGCCAGGCACAGAAAGATAAATACGACATGACCTAACTTATATGCAGAATCTTAAAAAGTCAAAGTCATGGAGGGGGTGGGGTGTGGGGAGAGGGAGAAAAAGGAATGAGATGTTGGTCAAAAGGTACAAGTTTCAGTTAGAGAGGAGGAATAAGTACTGAAGATCAATTGCGCAGCATGGTGACTAGTTAATAATATCATACAGTTGTCCCTTGGCATCCATGAGGGATTGGTTCTAGGACCCTTCCTGGATACCAAAATATAAGAATGCTCAAGTCTCTTATTAAAAATGGCTTAGTTTTTGTACATCACCTAAGTATGTTTTCCCATATACTTTAAATCATCTTTAGATTACTTATAATACTTAATGCAATGTAAATGCTATGTAAATAGTTGTTATACTGTATTCTTTTAAGTTGTATTATTTTTATGTTGTATTGTTGTATTTTATCATTTTTTCCAAATATTTTCAATCCATGATTGACTGAATCAGAGGATGCAAAACCCACAAATACAGGGCCAGCTGTATTGTATATTTGAAAATTGCTAAGACAGATTTTAAATATTCATACCACATAAAAAAATAAGTATGTGAAGTGATGGATATGTTAATTAGCTTGATTTAATCATTTCACAGTGTATACATATATCAAAATGTCAATTGTACCTTATAAGTACTCATAATTATTTGTAAATTAAAAATAATTTAAATTTTTTGAAATGTAACATTCTTAACTTTTTCTTGTTCAAATAAAGTTTTCTGTTCTTTATTTTCAAAAATTTTTTTGTTTAAAAATATCATCTCAATCATCTCAATTTCTATTAACTCAATTGATTCACCCTATTAACTTATGAACTCTCCTCTGAAGTTAAACATTCCATGATTATTGAGAAGGGTAAAGTTAATGTGCAGTAAGATCTTAGCCCACAGTAAAAAACAAATCTCAGTGATGTCACTCAATAAAGAGACTTAATTCCACAGTTTCTCCAGTGACTCAGGTTATATGGAGTTTCCAATGTCTCATCGTGCATCTACTTGCAAGTTCCATTGGCTAGTATTAGTCAAATGATCCCAACCTAACAGCAGAAAAGACTGGGAGATGTAAAGAACCTTATGGCATATTGATGAGCACCATTGTCTCTGAAAGATATACTGATATTTCCTAAGGTAAGGACAAATGCTCACAACTGGCAGGTTGTTCTCTAGAACACCCACACACTTTCCTCCAAGTTATATGCTGACTAAGACTCAATTCTTCTTGTTAGCAAACTTATTTATAAAAAATGTACTTGTTACTTTAATTATCAATTAAAGATTATACTACCCAATGAAATCTGGGTGCAAAAAATAATTGTTTCTATGAAACTGTCAGTGGAAGAAAGGGAAAAAGACTTTGATCCTCTCATAACCAGGATGTGTTCAGTGTGACAATGTTGAACTGAATGTTCTAGAATCTGTGTTGGACTGCATTAAATACGGTCATAGGCTGCATGCAGCCCGCGGGCTGAGGGTTGGAAAAGCTTGTCTGACTTAATGACAAACCCAGAGACTGACATGTAGACCATCTTCAGGGCTGAGCCCACATCAAAGGGGTCACAGTGTGTAGTGACGTCCCTCATAACCGGGAAGAGGGTGTCATCAGGAATGAACAGGTTACGATGTCAATGACAAAGGGAGCTCAGACAAGGAATGAGATGGTTGTGAACAGGTACCCCCACTGAGGGACCCTAGAACCAGAGGAAGCTCTGCCGTTTGACCTGTGTCCTCCACAAGAAACAAACTTCCCCTACACCACTCTACTGTGAGGAGGCTCTGGAGGCTGAGGTGCTCCACATGGCTGGTGTAGACATCTGCACACTGGAAGTCATTTCCAGCATCAGAAGGATCTGGAAAACCCAGTCCTCCTTCCTAATAAGAGGGATGAGCACGCTGGCTGGCAGCATCCTGTGCACAGGATGGTGTGTTTGGGAGGTGTGCATGTTACCCAGGCTTGGACAATCAGAATCTTTCCCCAAATTATTAAAACTCTGGTAGACACTTCAGAAACATATACAACAAAGACAGACACACACACACGCACGTACACACACTCACACGAAGAGAGAGATGAGATAAGGTGTGAGGTGATAAGAGAGATGCAGAAAATAAAGAGATGCAAAAAGAAAAAGAGAAAGAAATGCAGATAAATAGTGACAAAGGATTACAAACATAGAGAAAGGCAACAATGCAGTGAAAGAGACACAAGAAGGGAACAAAGACAAAACTGGAGAGAGACACACAGAAAGAACTACACAGGGACAAAGAGACACACGGAGAGGAGAGGAGGATGCACAGATGAAACTATAACAGAAAGAGAAGAGAGAGATGAAGATCTCATTGAATATCTGGAACTAGTCACTTCTGAAACCAACATTCCTTGTAACATGAATCAAATATCTTTGGGTTGGGTGTCTATCATTTGGAACCAAAAATAGTACTTTCATTGCTGGTTATGCTTTCTTAAAAATAAAAATTAGTCTTGATTGATGTGACTTGCCAGCCAGAATATATTTGAAACATCAGTCACTATAGTTGTCCCCAAACAATTCCACCATGCTTACTTAGACAACACTTGCCAAACCAGAAGAGAGGCTGGGATGTCCTAAGGCCATTGCACTGAACATCAATATTAAAGAACCATGAATGATGTGATGACTGAATTGATTTTCTACCTCCTCTGCCTACCCTTACTTTGCACCCCAAGATGCTTTCAGTGTCTTTTCAAAGTACAACCCTCTTTCTAGCCACGGTTTGGCTGGGTCACCTCAAGGTATGTTCCTTCACTTGGCAGTGGTTTCCTACCTCTGCTTAGTTAAGGAAGTTCCGAATACAGATAACTCAGAATCAGGTTTAATTATGGGAAAAAGCACTAAAGTCAGGTAAATGATTTTGTTTGTCATGCTTCTCTTGACAGGTCTGTGGGGGGAGAATGGAAACAGAGATGCCCCTTGGGGCCTGAGTAGACACAGCTTGCAGTGCACAGGCAGAGGCTCTGGGTCAGTGCAGGAAGCAGAGTCACCGCCAGTGCCTTGGGGTGGGGATCACAGAAGGTGACCTGTGGCTGCATGAGCCACTGTAGGACTCTGACCTCAGTGGGACAGGGTGAAACAGGCAGCTAGGAATTCTGGGCAGGGGCAGGTGGGCATTAAAGAAGAGTGATGACCAATCCCAGACAAAAGTCCTCAGGAGTCAGTGCAGGAGTCCTGGAGAAGAGAGACGAGGCATGGTCAGCACAGGGTACCCTGAGGGACACACCCTCTCCCCCAGTCCTCAGTTTCCTCTGCAGCATCAAACAGAGGATGCTGAGGTCCAGGGCATATCATCATCACGTTCCCCAATATCTGTGTAAAGGTAAAATCAGCTCATGAGGACACAGAACTTCAGCTTGATGCAGATATGTGGAGGTCGGGGAACAGCAGTTACCCTTCTGGGTAATATGAAGAGTTTGATTTTTTTAGCAAATTGGGTGACACTTCATCTCCACCACTAGCAGCCTCTTTTAGTCACTGAAAATGCCTACAGGCAGTAGCTAACAAAATGTGGCACAAAGTGGGCATCACCCTACTATCTCACATTCAAGATGTGGCTCTGTCCCCACATTTCACAAAAAGATGCCACCAAAGTTAAGGCCTGGTTCTAGGAAACAATCTCTGGAGATTCGTAGAAACTGGCAAACTTCTCCCCTAAGTCTTAACCCTCATAGCAGCAAACAGGCCATGAACAGAGACCACTGTGCCCTGGAACACTCCGCTCATGCTCTTCTTTTTTTTTTTTTTGAGACAGACTCTAGCTCTATCGCCCAGACTGGAGTGCAGTGGCGCCATCTTGGCTCACTGCAACCTCTGCCTCCTGGGTTCAAGTGATTCTCTTGCCTCAACCTCCCAAGTAGCCGGGATTACAGATGCACACCACCACGTCCAGCTAATTTTTGTATTTTTAGTAGAGATGCGGTTTCACCATGGCTCTTCCCTCTTATGCCTGTGCCCTCTCCCCTGACTGGATCATGGCTGAAATATTACCTGCAGGTGGAGGCCCTCGAGGTCCTACAAAAGGAAGTTATACAGAGAAAGGTCTTGTTAAACAAACAACCACTATCTTACCCCAAAGGAAAATGACACATGTAGTTTAATTGGGGTTATATCCTCTTCCCTCCCGTGTTCTTTAAGTCCTTAAGCACCCTAAGTTAAAATCCCCCAAAACAAAGGAAATTGTCACTAGAAGACAAGGAGGCCGAGGCTCTGACCCTCTTAATGGAGGAAGCTTTTAGAAAGGAGCCAGTGAGACGATGATGAACGGTAAGGACGCCCTGGAATAAGCTCTATCAGTCAGCTCTGGCAGCGCTACCATTCACCCAGTAAAATCAGATTCCAATGCCTCCTCCAATCTTGTCCTGTCTCCTCGCACTTCCTCTCAGGGTAAGGAGGAAAGAGCTACATCTAGAGACAGAACCTCTCTGAATAGAGGGTCTGGGTCACAGCCCATCTTCCCCCATTTCCCCCTTGGGTTCCTCACCTTTCTGACCCCTGTGACGGATGATAAGGCCCAGCCCGAGGAAGATCAGCCCCAGCACGAAGCCTCCAACACCACCCAGCATCTTGCTCTGGGCAGATTCAGACTGAGCCCCTAAGGAGCAGAGCCTGAGTGTGAGTGTTTGTCCCCACACCCCATAATGTCCTTGGTACAGGAGGTGGAGATGTCAGGGGACACTAGTTCTCCAGTCTGACCACCCTAGGGAAGAGAAAGACCAGCCAGTAGGTCTTTGGACACAATAGGTGGGTGAGGGAGAGGAGGAAGCACACCCCTGCCCCTCAGGACTTCATCCATAACCTTAAACCCTAAGGCCCCAGTCACCAGCCCTAAGTCAGTCTCTCATAGCTGTCAGAGCTGGTTCTGGGGCTTTAGTAGTGTTGATATGGTTTGATTCTGTGGCCCCACCCAAATTTCATGTTCAATTGTAATTAACAATGTTGGAGGTAGAGCCTGGTGGGAGGTGACTGGATCATTAGACCAGATTCTTGTCACCATCTCCCTTAGTACTGTCATTACAATAGTGAGTTCTCATGAGATCTGGTTATGTAAAACTGCGTAGCACCAACCCCCTCTCTCTCATGCTCCTGCCCCTGCCCTGTGAGACACCTCACTCCCTCTTTTCCTTCTGCCATGATTAGGAGCTTCCATATGTCTCCCCATAAGCAGAAGCCACTATGCTTCCCCTACAGCCTCAGAATCATAAGCCAATTAAACCTCTTCTCTTTATAAATTACCCATTCTCAGGTATTTCTTTATAGTGGAGTGAGAAGAGCCAATTAAACCTCTTTTCTTTATAAATTACTCAGTCTCAGAGATTTCTTTGTAGCAGTACAAGAATGGACTAACACAAATGTGGAAAGTGATCTCCCTGGTATCTGGAAAGACAAAGAGATCAGGATTCATCTGATGTGCTTGCCATGGGGCAACAGGTGCTCTAGTCTCCTGTGATTCCCAGCTCAGTAGTGATGTCAGGGACAAGAGATGGGATGGGAAGGATCAGCGGGAGCTCTTCCCTTTGTCTTGTGGGGCCCACAGTAAAAGGAAACCAGTTTCCCCTTACGCCACTCCACGGTGATGGGGCTCTGGAGGCTGGGGTGCTCCACTTGGCAGGTGTAGATGTCTCCACGCTGGGGAGTTATTTCCAGCATCACCAGAATCTGGAAGGTCCAGTCACCATTCCTAATGAGGGAGGTGGACACAACACCGGCTGTCTCCTCCTGGTCATTCCGAAACCACTGGACTTTGATCTGGGCTGGATAGAAATCTGTCACTGAGCAGACCAGCAGGTTGTGGTGGTTGAGGGCCTCTGTCCTGGATGGGGAGATGGTCACTGTGGGCTCCACTGAGGGCAGTAACAGACAGGGAAAGATATAGGAGTGAGATGTGAGACCACACAGCACGCCTGCTGTGAGGAAGGTCCCTCCTTGGAACCAGAATGGAAAGATACCTGGAGTCCAAGTCTTGGATTAAGGTTCCTTCAACAAATATAAATTTGACAATCACTGAGAATCCAAAAATAAACAACAAACCCTGGTTCCTGCCTTTATAGAACTTGCAATCTAGTAACAGAGACCAAAAAATTGAATGTTATTTCAAAAGTTTGTAATATTTGAAGGAAAAGTAGGCAGGCCTTGAAAAAAACGAACACTGATCAAACATCATGTTTGCCCATAACTCAATTCCTTTATCTTCTCAGAGCGGTGCTCATGGTCAAAAATGACACACCTTTCCCTGCATATTTTATACATCTTAACCTTTGCCTCTCTGGCCATTTTACTGCATTTCCTTTATTTCTTTAGTGTAAAATTATAGTAAATATTTAATGTATGCTTTATTTACTTGGTAATATGTTCTCTCATTTTCCTGCTTTTTCTTAATTTCCTTTTAACCCTCAAGATAGTGTAATTACTAGCTGCCTACCCTACTCCATCCCCTTGCTATTGAGAATTACTTTCTTGTTCTGAAATCAGACATTATCATGTACGTTCTCCATAGGAAATATTCTGAGATCCATGCAGAGGTTGGCCTGGGTGAATGTGCCTGTAATGCAAACATATACATATAGCTGGGATTTGCTGAGGTCAGCAGGTAGCACCCCAATTAAATGGCACTCTTGAGCCATTGTCTGGAAGGAATCTTGGTTTCTGCTTGGACTTGAACTTTTCTTTAGGCCCTCCTTCCTGGAGTCTGACTGAAATAACAGTCAGCTATGTGGGGACTTACAAGATTTGTTCATCTTAAAAAGACTGAAAGTAAAAATAGAGGGCACAAATTCATGAGAAAAAAATGATAGAATAACTTTTATAGAAATAGACTTGAAATGGCAAAAATATAAATACTTGACAGCATTAGGATGTGGGTCAGAAGAAGGCAAGGAAGTTTTGTGAACCTGCATAGATAACACTGGGGTCAGACTAGGGATTGATTAATCAGTGAATTTTCAATGCCTTGAAAGTATCATTTTGTCCCATTAACAGTGAAAACAGGCAGGAATAGACCCATTGCTGCTTCTTGTCAAAATTGGCTTTAACAAGGCTTTACTTCCCTTAGGCTGTGTAGACGAGTATTGAAGAACATAAAAGAATGCTGTGTATTTGGGGGAGGCTTCAGGTCCTGGTGCATAATTGTGGGTTGATTACTTAAAGTGTTTATCATGTACCAATATTACGATATATAAAGTGGCAATGCTAATCTCTAATGCACAGGTAACTGTGCTATTAAATGACATAACTTAGATGGTGTTTGCTAAGGCAATTGTCTAGAAATAAGTGCTCACTAAGTGGGTAAAATTGACGTTCAGAATGTTTATCCCTGAAGTGGATAGTGATGGGGGGAGGGAGAAAATCTACTCCAAAAGCAACCTGAAACTATTTTTATTCAATAATTTAGTGGCTTCAATCTATGTATTCCAAAGCTTCTGCTCTTTTCATTGTGCCATTTGTTCAGCTTTTCTAAGAAATTAAAACTGCCTTATAACACCATTCAAGAGTTGTTTTTATTTTCAGCAAACACCTTTTTCCCTAGACTGCATTCACAAACCTTACTAAGATCCAAGTCAATAAGAGTTTAAAGCATCAAGCAAAATAATAGAAAATAATTGATAAAGTCCATCTTTAAGGCTCTATTTATCCTCTGCTTTCCCTTGAGCCTAAGTGGATGGGCAGCTGAGTACATTTATTCATTAATTTAACAGAAGATCATTGAGCTCATACCACATGCCAGTCCACGAGTCAGGTACTAGGCATGCAATGATTAAAACACTCTCACCTCAAAGAGCTCCGCCATGAATGAGAGCCGTTTAAGAAAACAGAATTACGATGAATAATAATTTGAAGCCAAAAGTTAAAATATCTTATTTCACAACTGTAATTGCTGGATGCCCTGCGCGCAGTTGTGGAGCAGCCCTAACTCCACCAGGCCAAACCTGAAGCTTCCTGCGGCGCGAGCTGTGCAAGTGGGCCTTGCTGGGTGGGGCAGTGCTAGTGGGGCGGGCGGGCAGGGGAAGAGGGCGGGCATTCGGGCAGAAAGAACTGCTTAGCGAAGGTAAGGCACGAGGAGGCAAACGCATAAGGCACAAGGCAAGAACATGCAGAGCAGAGGACAAGGCCGATGGACGGGGAGGCTGGGGACACACTGGGCAGCCTAACCCAACCCTGCAGGGAACTAAGGGATGCTTTTGTGCATCCCCCTGCTCTGCCCTAGATCCCCGCCCCTCCGATACTACCCCAGCCTCCAAATCCCCGCCACCTTCCTGTACCCTGGGATGGACCAGGGCTCGGTCCTTGAGGCCGCGCCGTCCTCGCCCCTCTGTGCGCAGAGACTCGGGCCCCGGCCAAGGGTGAGCACCGCGGAAGGACGACGACGCTCACCTTGCCGCTGCAAGGTCGTGCGTAGCTCCGCCTCGTAGTTGTGTCTGCACACCTTGTCCACCGCGGCCCGCTCCTGCTCCAAGAAGTCCTTATAGTTGTTCCAGTCCTCGATGCTCCGCCCCAGCTCGGTCACCGCCTGGAACTCCCCAACGTCGCTGTCGAAGCGCCCGTACTCCTCGCGGTTATAGATGTATCTGGCCACACCCCGCACGCGCTCTGTCCCGTTGGTGAAGTAGCACATGCCCTTAAACTGGACCAAGAAATCCTCTGCGGAGAATCACGGCGGGTCAGTCAGGCGCCAGCACGGCCCTAGCCCCAGCCCCCAGCCGGACCGCACCCTTCAGCCGCTGCCCTGACCCGGCCAGCAGCTGCGAAACCCGTCCAAGCGAAATTGAGTTCTTGGCTGGGCCCGTGCCTCGTGCTCCGGACCTGGGATCCTCGAGACATCTCTGCCCCAGCCCTGCCCGCCCTCTCTGAGGGCCTCGGGAATCTGCCTTCCTTTAGGGAGGTAAGAGGGAAAGCCCAGTCCCTGCCTGAGCCTGTGAACCAAGTGAAGAGGGCAGTCGGACCGATTCGACATTGACCTCTGCTCTTAGATCAGGGCGTTCTCGTATGAAATCCCATTTTCCATGGAGCTCTTGGGAATCTCAGAGACAGAGTTATCCACATAAATTTGAGAGTTCAAGGGAATAACGAGAAAGGTTCAGGAATTAAGCTTGTTCTCATCCTGATGTAAGTATTCTCTTGGTCCCTGGGCAAGAGACCAAGTAAACCCATGCCTGGATTTACTCTCTTTCTGCTATACCCGCCCAAGTGCCCTGTGAGGTTCACTCACTTCTGTGTTAGAAAGGACCTACACCTCCGGAGTCCTAGAAGGAAACATTTATTCATGGAAAGAGCCCAAGCTTTTGAATTCTATAGGGTCCAATTAAACTGAGTCAATCACCAGCTTGGGCAGGTTACTTAACAGAATATCCATATCACAAGTATAATTACATAAAAGGAAAATCATGATACCTACACATAGGATGTTAGGAGGAGTGAGAGAGGATTTATAGAAAGTACTGTCCTGTGTCTGAATGGAGTGGTTTCTCAATATGTATTATTTCCCTTCTTTACTTCCTCCTTCCTATCATACTAAATTCAGTCCACCATCAACTCAGGTCCCTGAATCCCACTCAAGTCACCTTTTGCCCATAAATCAGTGAAACCCAAAGTAAGACTCCCTGTCTGTGGTCATCCAGTCACCTTCCCTCAGTACTAAGAGTTTGCCTCCACAAACTCTCCACTCGAGTCAGTAGTATAGACTCCTTTACCTCCAATACAGAGACTACAGACACCATTGCTGCCTTACATTTTCCCAGTGCAGAAAAATCCTACTGTGTCTTTGGGGAAATGCATATCTTTGGGGAAATGCATAACCGTGGAGTGCCATGGTCATTTTGTCCTGTCACAGGTAGTGAATGCACACTTTGTCTCCTCTTTCCTCTCTCCTCCTTCAGGCTTAAACCTGTGGGATTGGGGTTGGATTATCCTCACCTCACCCATTATAAGGTGGAAATAAAAATGCAACATAGCTCTATTTCCCAAAAAGAATAAATGGTGATAAAAGACTGTGTTCTGAGATCATGGAGATCACCATCCCCCATACTCCAACCCAAGGAGAGCCTGTTCCCACAGTGGTGGCTCTCGAGAGCAGCTGCCCTGCACTTACTGGGAAAGTCTCTGGCCTCAGCCACTGGGGTGCTCAGCATCACCAGCATCACGGTCACAGCTGCTGCCCAAAAGCCTCCAGGGATCTGCAGAGCCATCTTCCAAGACATAAGTGAGACCAAGGAAAAAGCAGTGGTAGTCAACACAGCTCAAACCTAATGGATCTTATGTACCTGCCGGAAAGAATAAAAACCTCTGGATGTTTCCATGTGTGGTAGGATTGGGGAGTCCCTAGGAAAGGAACCAATCAGCACTGGAGCTGAAGGACCTCATCTGCCTCTGGGCAGACATTTTTCTGTGAAGATTCTCACTCCAATGCCTGGCACTGTTTCTTCTTCAAATTGCACTAGATGAACATTTGAGGTGAAGATTTCTGAATAGCTGAAGATTGAATGGCTTAGGGGTTTTAAGAAGCAAAAGACAAATGTGATTCAAGAGTAGACATCTTACAACCTATTGTTCTTATACTTGGGAGTTTTAGTAGGGCAAATTAAGTGAGGATCATATTTCAGGGAACAGAAAATTGTCACAGAAATGTTCACTTCTATTAGACACTCTGAGGAGCCTTAAGTTTTGGTGAGAAGAGCAAAGTTCTTAGAAGGAAATGATGGTGAGTTGCAGTTCTACCACTAATGTGCTTTATGAGAGTCAACAAATTACTGAACTCCTTTTCACCCCCAGGCTTCTCTTTGCAAAATGTGGATCATGTTTTATGCATTTTACATCTAGATCTTCACATATACAAATTTAACATTAATATGACTAGTTTAATATTACAAAAGCCTCCTCCACTGTTATGTGTAACTATCAAGCTAATAGGAGGAACAAGAAAAAAAAAAGTTGACACCCAGCCCTACTGGCAAGTGATTCTTTATTATGCAAGAAGGTATTGCATTCATGCTCTTCGAGTGAAAGTATTTGTTGACTTTTCTCTTGTAAGTTCTTCAGCTGCTTAAATCCTCCCTGAACCATGAAACAGGTGCATCTGATATGAGCAAAGGCACAATACACAAATTTTACAGTATTCAGACACAGTCACATTTAGTTTTGAAGATAGAGAACAAAAGCTGTGAAGAAGAATTTCCTGGGGGCTGAATCGTATTAATGATGGAGCAAATGTTTAGAGTTACAGGTCATATTGGGCCAGCCCTAAACATCAAATCCAAAATGGCAGAGGTACCAATGTGTTTTTATAAATAAATTTCTTACTTATCAGGCTTACGTTGCCCATGGCTAGGGATAGTACTAATGGTTATAAAGCAATTAAAACAATGCCTGACAAACATTACTGGTAATCCTAACCAAGACAATAAATATCTCCACCTCTCTTCTTGTCTCCCTTCCTCCCACTCTTCCCTGTATATTAGTAAAGTAGAAGATAGAGAGCATCTAAAAGCAGAATATGTTTACCAGGTAAAAAGAAACAGGGAAGAGACGGTAGCAAGAGGTTTGCAATAGTGGCACATGAAAGCATTGAGCCACTCTAATATTCTGTATTATTCTGTGCATAGATTTAGATCACCTGAGACTGGGAACGTTGTTACTGGGCTTCTAGCAGCAGTGGTGTACTCAGGATCAGGGTAACCCCCAGTCTAAGGAGGGTCTCCACTGGTGCGATGGAAGCATAAAGGAGGAACATCAAACTCAGACCTAGAACGGAACTGGGGGCAAGAAAGAATAGGCAGAGAGGGACCTGAAGATGCCCTCAATGTCCTCTCAGTCCCCACCTCAGCGTCCCTCGGAATAGAGGCCTCTGGCCCACCCCTTCTTCCTGTTCAAAGGGAGAAACTTCCCTCAGGTTTATTCTGGGGCTGTGAGGCAAAGTCTACGTCAAACCTAGGGACTCCCCAGTCTCATGGGCCTCTTCAAACAGACTTTTTTCTTTTCTTTTCCTTTTTTTTTATTTTCCTTTTTTCTTTTCTTTTCTTTTTTAGGGACAGGGTCTGGCTCTATCACCTAGGCTGGAGTACACTGGCATGATCATGGCACACTGCAGCCTCAACCTCTTAGGCTCAAGTGATCCTCCTGTCTGAGCCTCCCAAGTAGCTGGGAGTACAGGCACACACCGCCATTCTGTCTAATTTTTAAAAAAATTTTTATAGAAATAGGGTTTTGCTATGTTGCCCAGGTTGGTTTCAATGTCCTGGCCTCAAGCAATCCTCCCACCTCGGCCTCCCAAAGCACTGGGATTATAGGTGTGAGCCACCACACCTGGCCACACAGACTTTTCAACTAGCAACGAAAGTGTCAGCTTAGAGCCATTTTCTGACTGGCTAAAACCTCATCTGAGGCCAGGCGCAGTGGCTCACCCCTGTAATTTTCTAGCGCTTCAGGAGGCCAAGGCAGGCAGATCACTTGAGGTCAGGAATTTGAGACCAGCCTGGCCAACATGGTGAAACCCGTCTCTACCAAAAATAAAAAAAATTAGCCGAGTGTGGTGGTGCATGCCTGTAATCTCAATTACTCAGTAGGCTGAGGCAGGCGAATCGCTTGAACCCAGGAGGCAGAGGTTGCAGTGAGCTGAGTTCGCACCATTGCACTCCATTGCACTCCAGCCTGGGGGACAAGAACAAAACTCTGTCTCAAAACAAAACAACAACAAAAAAAAAACACCTAATCTAAAAGGCTTTGGTTTGGGGCTTCTGCCAGTTGTGTCCCCCTGATCCAGCCTTCTCTACAGTTCTTTGCAATGTTCCTATCCCTGCTCCATTACTCAGGGCAGCCACTATTGGCCTGGCCAGAGGAAGGCAACTCAGACAAGCATCCTGATTCTGAATGCCTCACCCAAATCACCTGCCCGGCCTCTGATGGGGACAGAGCGCTTAGGATGAGACCACACACACCCCATGTGGGAAGATGGGATAAAGACACTGCTGTTATTACGGGTCAAGGTTACACTAGGGAGACTCCCCAGGGCACATTGTCTCTTCTTTCAGGGCAGAAAAAGGTTGTGGACTCCTTCTTTGTGGAATCAAGGGAGAAATCATCTTCCCTGGTCAGCATCTCTTAGAATCTGTGCTTGGTCAGTGCAGTTGAATGTAAACACAGGAGTCATCCTGTCACCAGAAGGGTTATCCAGGACTCTGTCCTGCAATTACTTCCAGAATCAAGAAACACTGTAGAGTCAGAAAGGTTCTGTGGCCTCCTTAATGCCAGTGGTAACAGAAATACAGCCCCAGAATATCATTTTCCTTTAATAAAAATTTATCAAGTAATTATCTCCAAATTTTTCAAAACCTTGTGAAGCTACTTACATATTTCTCTTATATCAACTTTTAGGTAACCGGTTACATGAATTTTTCATGACACATATAAGGTAGGCCTTTTCTCTTTAAACAGTTATCTCTTTAAAATGACAATTTAGAAAATCTGAAGAGAGAGTCTGTAGCATTCAGAGGCTGTGCTCAAACAGTGCCTCCTTCAAGCAAGTAACCATGGGGAGACTCCATAGTGGAAGTCAGGTAAGGACTTGGAGGATACCGCAGGGTGAAGGACTAGGAGTATGGGAAAAGCTTTAGCAGGAAGATAGAAAATCAGATGATACAAGGCATTTGGGACACTTGGGGGAAATGGGGAAGGTGAGTGATCTCTGGCACAGGAGTCCAGAGCCCACCAGTCTCATGGCTTCTCATGCAGTATGGAAATGGCCCTTGAAAACAGAAGAAGACTGGGATGAAAACCCAGGCTGCCTGCTATGGACGTGTGTACAACGGAGCTTTGTTTCCTGATCTGTTTCTACAGGTTTCTTCTTCCAGTCAATCTCATCCATGCATCACCTCAGCTGGACCACTGACGATTTCATCACCCAGAGCTAACCTACACATGTCACTCTTTGCAACATATCTGTTCGTCTCTACTTCTGGTTCCCTAGTAATGCCTGGGATATTTCCAGAGACAACTCTTCCCCAGCTTCTAGATTTGTAGTCATCATGTGCCTTCATTCCCAGACAAACCTTAAATATCTTTCTATGAGATCTTTATAATGTCTTCTTCTACAAGTTCTTACCAGTAGAGAGAAGAACTAATATTCAGGTATGTAAAAAATATTTCAGTCCTATTTAAGCTCATGTCCAAGTACTCAAGAATTCAAGTGTCCAGCTCAGCTCAAGGTCATGGTTCATGCAAAAAAGCAACATTAGTAGTAATATTTTGGGGGGACTACTCATATCCTCAAATAGGAAAACTTAAGATATTCAATTTAAACCTCAATGACATATCAATCCATGCTTTTCAGGATGACTATTATCAAAAAGACAAAAAATAACAAGTGTTAACAAGGACGTGGAGATAAGGGAACATTTGCACACTGTTGGTGGGAATGTAAATTAGTATGGCCACTAGGGAAAACATTATGAAGGTTCTTCAAAAAGTTAAAATAGAACTGCCATATGATGTAGCAATCCCACTTCCAGGATACAGACAAAGGATTTTAAATCAGTAGGTTGAAAATATATCCACACTCCCATGTTCATTGCAGCATTATGCACAATAGTCAAGGTATGAAATCAACCTGTGTCATTCAGCAGATGAATGGGTAAAGATAATGTATGTATACACAATGGAATTCTATTCAGGCTTTAAAAAGAAAGAAATCCTGGTGTAAGCCGAAAAGTGACTGAGGCAGGTCTCAATCAATTAGAGGTTTATTTTGCCAAGGTTCAGGATGCACCTGGGAAAAACACGAATCACAGGAGCATCTGTGATCAATGCTTATTCCAAAGAGGGTTTTGAGAACTTCAATGTTTAAAAAGAAAGAGTAAGCAGGAAGGGAAAGAGAGAGGAAAAAAAAAAAAAAAAGGAGGGAAGGTAGGCAATGACACAAGTGGTTACATTCTTGTGAGTCTGATTAGCCTCAGTAAATCTACATTTTACATGTGAAAAGAGGGAGTAGAGGAAAAAGTCACTTATGCAAAAACAATAACATTGTAGAATCTTCCCAAAAGATTCATTTTCTATTCTCACAGACCGACAATTCCACTCAAGTTAATTTCTGCAAAAGCATCCTAACTGGTCTTCCTGCCTCTACTTTATAATGTCAACATTGCTCATAAATCCAAGTTAATCTCTCTGAGTATGAGTTTCTTTAACTGCAAAATGAGAATATTATCTATTCCATAGAGTAATGCCAAGGATTAAATGAAGTGGCAAATATATAGCATCTAAAATAGTTTTGAACACATAGTAGATGCTCAATAATAATTTTTTTTAATTTTTAATATAATTTTAATTCAATAGCTTTTAGGTTACAAGTGGTTTTTTGTTATATGGATGAATTGTATAGTGGTGAAGCCTGGAATTTTAGTGAACCTGTTACCTGAGTAGTGTGCATTGTACTCAATATGTAGTTTTTTATCCTTCACCCTCCTTCCCATCCTCCCCAATTTCTTACTCTCCATTGTCCTTTATACCATTCTGTATGCCTTTGAGTACCCATAGCTTAGTACCCACTTAGCTCCTACTTACAAATCAAAACATATGGTATTTAGTTTTCCATGCCTCAATTAGAAGTTGTAAATTTTGATGGAGTCCAATTTATATATATTTTTTTCATTTCTTGCCTATGCCCTCGGTGTTATATCCAAGAAATCATTGCCTAATCAAATATCATGAAGATTTTCCCTATTTTTTTTCTAAGAGTTTTATGGTTTTAGTTTTCACATTTAGGTCTTTGATTCATTTTGAGTTCATTTTGTCTATAATGTAGGGTAAGAGTCCAGTTTCATTCTTTTGTATGTGGACTTCCAGTTTTCCCAGCACCATTGTTGAAAAGGCTGTCCTTTCCGCATTTAATGGCCCTGGCACTCCTGTTGAAAATCGTTTGACTATATATGTCAGGATAATTTCCTGGTTTTGATATTGCACTTTAGTTATGTAAGATGTTACAATTGGGGAAAACTGGATGAAGGCTATACAGAATCTTTTTGTTCTATCTTGGTAACTCCCTTTGAATCTACAATTATTTCAAAATATAATGTTAAAAAAGCAAAGCCAACCGAAATAATGTGTTTATCTTTTAACAAACTAATTCAATAAGATACCTAATAAAAATTACCCAATGTGAAATACAAAGAGAAAAGAAGAGCAGGGGAAAAACAAAACAGAGCATCCAAGAGCTGCAGTGCTGTATTGAATGGTTACATCACCTTTGTTTGTTTGTTTGTTTGTTTGTTTGTTTTGAGACAGGGTGTCACTCTGTTGCCCAGGCTGGAATGCAGTGGTGCGATCACAGCTCACTTCATCCCCCACCCTCGCCCCCAACTCAGGCAGTCCTCCCGTCTTAGCCTCTTGAGTAGCTGGGAATACCAGCACCATGCTTGCCCACTTAATTTTTCTCTCTTTGTAGACAAGGTCTCCTTATGTTGCCCAGGCTGCTCTTTAGGTTCAAGCATTCCTCCCACCTCAGCCTCCCAAAGTGCTGAGATTACAGATGTGAAACATTGTGCCAGGCTTATTTTTTTAATGTACTTTTACTCTCTTTCTCTCTTTGTGTTTCACTCTGGGTAATTTTTATTGATCTATTTCAAACTCACTGATTCTTCCCAGGGCTGTACCACATTTGCTGATGAGCTTGTCAAATGCATTCTTTATTTTTGTTAATTTATTTTTATTTTATTTCCATTTCATTCATCCTTAAAGCTTTCATATCTCTGCTGAAACTGTCTAATCTTGCATGTTGTCTACCTTTTCCATTAGAGATTTTAGTATATTAATCACAGTTTATGAAGCAGGTTTACTAATTACCAATACCAAGGGAGGAAAGGGAGGACTTCCACTGCATGGAGAATAGAAAAGATCATCACTATGCCAACCACCAGGAAAAGAGGTCCAGATACTTCTTCCCACTGCATTCTGAGCTACTGTTTATGTCCACCATGCACTGGCTACCTGTTTATCTGAGTCTGGTGAAACAGAACACACTCACACACAAATTATGTGAAGCAGTTTTATTACTTACAGATCAGTAGCAAGGGACAGAAGAAGCCTCAGCTCCATTGTGAGTCAGTCTCCTAAAGCTCAAGAAAGCTGCCCAGGAGAGATGAAGTCTTAACCGCACCAATTACTCTATTATAGCCTAAAGTGTAAGTCACAGCTCAAACTCTTGATCACTTCATTCATATTACATGTTCCAAAAAACAACCACAGGAAAACTTCTCCAACAGTAACTTTGCATGAACTCATGTGTTCTGTCAATCGAGAAAAATGGCAAGTCTCAATCATTTTAGGAGGTTTATTTGCCAAAGTTAAGAATAAGCACCCAGGAGACAGGTCTATACCTTTCTCCGAAGATAATTTTGAGGGCTCTAAATTTAAGGGGAAAGGGTAGGGATATTGAGAAGTACACAATTTTCATGTAAGAGGAGGGTAAGGAAAAATAGTCATTCATGCCTTTGTCTGGCTCAGTTAATCTGCATTTTTTTTACATAAGATGACATAGACAAAACGGGGGAAGGGGAACAATTAGATATGCGTTTGTGGCCGGGCGCGGTGGCTCATGCCTGTAATCCTAGCATTTGGGGATGCTGAGGCAGGCAGATCACTTGGGGTCAGGAGTTTGAAACAGGCCTGGCCAACATGGTGAAACCCTGTCTCTACTAAAAGTACAAAAAAAAAAAATTAGCCAGGCATGGTGGCAGATGCCTGTAATCTCAGCTACTTGGGAGGCTGAGGCAGGAGAATCACTTGAACCCGGGAGGTGGAGGTTGCAGTGAGCCAAGATCGCGCCACTGCACTCCAGCCAGCATGACAAAGCGAGACTCCGTCTCAAAAAAAAAAAAAGAAAAAAAAAAAAGATATGCATTTGTGTCTTCTGGGCAGGGGCGTGACTACACCTGTAAAGATAAGCTACCAATTTACATTGCCATGGTAAAATTTTAACAGAAACACCTTAGAGTAAAGATCTTGCAGCTCACAAGGACTTTCCTTGTGGACAAAATATGAGGGAGGCATGTAGCTTTTCATTTTGTAGCCATCTTATTTAGGAACCAAAAAGGGGGAGGCGGGTTTTCGCAACCCCGTTCCCAGATTAACTTTTCCCTTAGGCTTAATGAGTTGGAGTCCCAAGATTTAATTTCCTTTCATAGTTCTAAAACTATGACCAAGTGTTCATTTCTTCCTGATAGGCACTTAGCACACTGACCATGTGCCTTAAATTGACCATATGATGCGAAGAGCTATAAATCCATGGAGTCGTAAGTTTGGGGATACCAACCACAATCCATCTGCAGCAGAAGTGGTTCCTTTGGAACCAAGCTTGAACAGGTCTAAAAACTAGGTTGTTCTTCTGGTTTAGTGACAGAGACTACTATCCCAGATGAAAATACAATAGTCTTTTAGTGCTTCTATGCATGGTCATGTCTGTCAGTAGACACTAAAACAATCATAATTCAAGAACAGAGTAAATAGTAACATAGACCCTTCTGGAATAGTTGTCTCTGTCACCAAAACAGAAAAACAAACTAGACTAAATTCAGAGGATGAGGGGAATCAAGAATGGCTTGTGAAGGAGGGAAACAAATATTAGTTACAGTCATAATGACAACTATAATAGTAGACACTGTAGCAAATTTCACTAACTTTCTTGCCTTAATCTTCTAGATCACAATTGATCACTCTTGTACCTCCCTTCTTGAGGAAAAATTAAAATGTGTTAATTTTCTCAGGAAAAAAAATGAAAGGCACCATATTGGACTATGGGAGCTTGGAATTCTGAATCACCACCTGGAGAAAAGTGACTCACAAATCTTCAATATCCTCCTTCTGCTACATTAGTGAGTTATAAACTTCTACTATATTTCAGCCACAATACACATTTTAGTCTATTTGTTGCAGCAGTTTGGCCTATTCTAATTAGTATAAAAAGAAGAAAAAATAATCATAGAAAAAAATTAAATGAAGAATATAACAATTTTAATAGTTTCTCCTGACTTAGACTCACCTGAAATGATCCTCATTCTTTGTTTTAGGATTAGCAGAGATGTAAGACAGAATTTCATGAAAATATTCAACCTGGTGGATGATGCCAAATTAGCAGTTAGCGTGTGTGCCTGGAATTCAAACCATACAAATCCTCCCTGCCCACCTCTCATCCTATCCTTTAGAGCAGAGCCTGTTTCTCATATATTGCCCCCAAGTCTATATCAATCAAATTAATTTTTATTATCCTGAAAACACCTATAGAAAGACTAACATGTTGAAAGTTATATTTAAATATGGGCACTCTGCTTCATACTCTTTTGCCAATATTACTTCAAAACTGTACAAACCTATATTCTTTGCATTTGTGAGAAATTATTATATTGTAGATAAGGCTAAAATATTTTGTGAATCAAAACATACTATAAAAAGTTGGAAAGAAAGACTTCATTTGGATGTAAATACATGAAAATAGCAGCCCAGACACTCAAGACAAGAGGAATAATAACTAAGTGACCACAAAGGAAATTTTTTATCACATGCCTGGCTGTTCCAGACAGGGAAGCTTGCTTTACCTGAAGGAAGTGGTCACTAGACCAGAATGTAACCAAATACAGGATTCTGCTTTAAAAAAAAAAAAAAAAAAGATTCACAAAAGTCACGTTCAAGTTAAACCATTAAATACTTTCTTCTCCAACTAATGAGAAGATGTGGGGCCTCATTAATTCTCTCTGGCAGATTAGGTCAATGAATCCATTCCAGAAAAAAAATTATTGAAAAGAGCAATAAATATACAAAATATCAAAGCAGTCATGTGTGCAATCCACAGAAAAGAATAGAAATTTACTTAAGGACAGAAAGAAGTTTAGTAAACAATGATACCACTTTCTTGGACAGGGCAATTTGTGTCACTTTTCCAGACAAAATACATGGATTTGGTGATGCTTTAATCTAAATAGTAATAAGACAGTTTTATTAACAAAATGTTTCTAACTTTCAAGAGCGGTATACAAAAACAACTATTGATAAAAATAAGGAGAGGTACTCTAATAGATGTTTACAAATGATTATAAAGCTAAACAATTAAAACATGTTCATAGTGCCCCAAAAAAAGGACAACTGTGGAATGATATTGGCTGCACATAAACAGAACCTAATTTATGCCACAATTAATGAAATTGAAAATTTTGTTTACAATAGCCCCCTCTTATCCATGGGAGATATGTTGCAAGGCACCCCAAAGGATGCCTGAAGGCATGTACCAAACTCTGTATATGCTATGTTTTTCTACACATACAAACATATGATATAGTTTAATTTACAAATTGTGCAGTCATAGGTTAACAACAATAACTAATAATAAAATAGAACAATTATAACAATATACTGTAATAAAAGTTATGTAAATGAGATCTCTCTCTCTCTTTCTCTGTCTCTTTCTCTCTCCCCTCTTCTCAAAATATCTTATTGTACTAAACACCTATATTTTCACACTGTGATTGATTGACCACCAGTAACTGAAACTGTGGAAAGTGAAACCATCGATAAGGGAGGACCACTGTATTACATTTCTAGGAAGTCGCAAACCCTTTGAGAAAATTTTGGGATGGGAGACAAACATATTTCTAAGAAGCCTTCAATGTTACAGGTTATATTCTTCACTTCTTCAAAGTACATAAGGGCCCACTCTACTCTTCTGGAGTCTATCCAAATTTGTAGGGTAATGGGCTGTAGCTAATGAGGAATGGAACTCAGTGGGATGTAAGGGGTCCGGAAACAAGTTTTTTGAAATATACTTGATTGTCATGACACCAATATGGAATGAAAGAGAAAGCAGCATAGTGATGAGGAAATTATGGTGAGATTTTTAGGACAAGAAGCTATTTTAAAAGAATTTTAAATCATTTTTCTTGGTGTTAGAAATACAATCCTAATTTGATATTTTTCAAGAGGTTGCAATATAATTTGAAGTATTTGAAATGGAGTATGGGGAAATTTGCTCTGGCCTCTCTAAAGAACATCATACTGGGACTGCTTTCAAGGATAGAACAAGTTATCCTGCATTTATGTTGGATAAATTAAGAATGTAGTGCATAATAAAGCAAACTTTTAATCCAGTGGAATAGGAAAAATTACTAAAAATAGTGTTGGGTCAATTAGTGAGTTAGTGGGATAGTAAAAAGAGCCCATACATACACACATACAGAGATTATACTGAGGCAGATTAAAAGTTTAAATGAGAAGGAACTCAGAACTGAGGAGGAACCACCCAGAACATGCTTGCTAGTAACACATCTTCCCACCCCCTTATGAATAATCATGTAAGACTCCCATAAAGGGAGTTTCCCCAGTAACATTCAACACTGTCTCACCCGCACAAGCAACCTGCCCTGAATTGTCTCTTGGGGTGTACTGTTGATTCTGCACCTAACTTTCAGAGTATCCTTTCTCCTTTGCAAGAAATTGCTCTATGTTGTATCTCCTTTGCTGTGTGTCTGTTGTTTAAATTCTTTTAAACTAAGAAGACAAGAACCGAAGTTTCATGAAAGCCATCAACAAAAATATAGAAAAAAAAAGTAAATATTTATTTTATTAAAAAGTGGTGAGATGAGTTTAAATAACAAAACAAAGAAAGAAACCGTACAGGAAAGTATTCTTAGACTATACTAAGAAAAAGTAAAGAATTAATATGTGAAAGGTATATCAATTTTAAGCATTCTGTTTATGTCAAAGGTGCTTATGGTGCAGTATGTAAAATTTAAATAAACAAAGCATATTGTATTAATTTTCTAGCCACTGTCATAACAAATTAGTAGAAACTTTGCAGCTTAAAACAACACCCATTTATTATCTCAGTTTTCTAGGTCAGAAGTCTAGGCAAAGCTCAACTGGGCTCTCTGCTTAGGATCTCACAAGACTGAAGTCACAAGCTGACCTTATAATTCTCATTTGAATATGGAGTCCTCTTCCAAGCTCACTGCCTGTTGACAGAATTTATTTCCACGTATGACTGAGGTCCATGTTTTCAAGCCGGCTATCAGCCAGGGATCAGTATCAGCTCCCAGTGACCACTCTCAGTTCCTTGCCACATGGCCCTCTACATCTTCAAAGTCAGTAATACAGAGTCTTTCTCATGTTTAATCTCCCTCTTCAAGAAAAGTTCAGTCCCTTTCAAGGGCTCACCTAATTAGTTCATGCTCACCTACAATAATTTCCTTTTCATAAGGCTAATTGCAGTCAAAACATAACCCAATCACAGTAGTGATCATACCATTAAATTTACTGGTTACTATTGGGAGCAAGCCCCCCAAAATCTGGCCATAAACTGGCCCCAAATTTATGGCCCAGTTTATGGCCATAAACTGGCCATAAATAAAATCTCTGCAGCACTGTAACATGTCCATAATGGCCTTAACGCCCAAGCTGGAAGGTTGTGGGTTTACGGGAATGAGGGCAAGGAACACCTGGCCTGCCCAAGGCAGAAAACCACTTAAAGGCATTCTTAAGCCACAAACAAAAGCATGAGCAATCTATGTCTTAAGAGCATGTTCCTGCTGCAATTAATTCAGCCCATCCCTTCGTTTCCCATAGGAATACTTTTAGTTAATTTAATATCTATAGAAACAATGCTAATGACTGGTTTGCTATTAATAAATATGTGAGTAAATCTCTGTTCAGGGCTCTCAGCTCTGAAGGCTGTGAGATCCCTGATTTCCCACTTCACACCTCTACATTTCTGTGTGTGTGTCTTTAATTCCTCTAGCGCTGCTGGGTTAGGGTCTCCCTGACGAAGCTGGTCTCGGTAGGTTCCACCCACATTTAAAGGAAAATAATTTTATAAGGTATGTACAACAGGGGGTGATAGATATTCCTGGGGGCCATCTTAGAATTCTGCTTTCCTTCTCACCTCTTCAGCCCTCTGGCCACCTGTAATTCATGTCCCTCTCAAATGTAAAATACATTAATCCCTTCTCAAGGGCCCCCCAAAGTCTCATTCCATTACAGCCTCAGATCAAGGCCAATATCCTGTCTAAATCTTGTTAGCTCAAAGTCCAAATTCGCAGTGCCTTCATACCAAATTACAGGACTTGAAGATGTGAGAATTAGGAACTTGACAGAATATCTAATTATAATTGCTAACAGTCATGAGATTAGTTTATTAATTAAAATCTCACCTGGGAACCAAGTGTATAAATGTCATTGAATCCCTGGGGATAGAGACAGGGAAGCACAGGGATCTGATGATATTTATAGTCACTTAACAAAAAAGACTAGGTGGTATTTTTTTCACCCACACCTAGCTTTGCTGGCATTGAGAAGACACACCTAAGAGAATAATTAATCATACCTACAGGACCCCTTCTTCACTGAGACAGAATAGCAATGAAGTCATTGTTATTGGTGTCATCTGCACTCTACTTATTTATACTTCATATACTTACATAGTATATACCAGAACACTTAAATTAATTTCATCTCCAATTACTGTATATTATTATTATTTTTTTTGAGACAGAGTCTTACTCCATTGCCCAGGCTGGAGTGCAGTGGCACAATCTTGGCTCACTCTGCAACTTCCATCTCCTGGGTTGAAGCGATTCTCCTGCCTCAGCCTCCTGAGTAGCTGGGATTACAGGCATGTACCACCACACCCGGCTAATTTTTGTATTTTTAGTAGAGACAGGGTTTCCCCATGTTGGCCAGGCTGGTCTCAAACTCCTGAACTCAGGTAATCCGCCTGCCTCGGCCTCCCAAAGTGCTGGGATTATTTTGTATTCTAGATGTCGATTTTGCTGTGTTAATTAATTTCCTGATGATTGCAATAGAATACCTGAAACTGGGTAATTTATAAAGAATCAAAATTTATTTCTGGAGGCTGGGAAGTCCAAGAGCATGGTGCCAGCATCTGGTGAGAGCCTCCTTGCTAGTGGGGACCCTCTGCAGAGTCCCATTGTGGTGCAAGGCATCACATAGCAAGCAGGCTGAGAGGGCTACCTCAAGTATCTCTTTCTCCTCTTATCAAACCCTTAGTGCCCCATCACCCCATCCTCATGACCTCATCTAATACTAATTACTTCTCACATCTCCCACCCCTAAAATATCATGGTCTGTTTTCTTACCCTTTTATACTGTTACAATAGGGATTAAGTTTCTACATAAGATTTAGAGGAGCAAACTTTCAAACCATAGCATTTCACCCCTGCAGCCTCAAAACTCATATTCTTCTCACATTCAAATACATTCATTTTATCTCCAGAGCCCCAAAGTCTTAACTTTCTCTAGTACCAACTCAAAAGTCCAAAAGTCCAAAGTCCTTATCTGTGAGCCTGAGATACTAAAGCCAATTATCTACCTCCAAGATACAATGCTGGGACAGGAGAAATGGGCCAGAAGAAAGAAGTAACAGGCCTCAAGGAAGTCTGAAACTCAACAGGGAAAGACATTAAATTTTAAAGCTGGAAATAATGTCTTTTGACTCCATGTTCCTCATCCTGAGCACACAGGGGCAGAAGTTGGGCCCCCAAGACCTCAGGCAACCCTGCCCTCATGGCTTTGCTGGTTGCAGCCCATATATGGCTGTTCTCATGGGTTGGAGTCAGGTGCCTTGGGTTTTCGAAGCTGGGACTGCATGCTGGTAGCTCTACAGTTTTGGAGTCTTGGTGGCAGTCCCACTGTCACAGCACCACTAGATATTTCCCTGGGGAGGACTCCCTGTAGCAGTTCCAACCCCACAGTTCCTCTCAGCATTGCCCTAGCAGAGGCTCTTGGTGGTTGAAGGGGTGGGTCGCCCCTCCACACCTGTGGGTGTTTCTCGTTAGGTGGAACGAGAGACTTGGAAAAGAAAAAGACACAGAGACAAAGTATAGAGAAAGAAATAAGGGGACCCAGGGGACCAGCGTTCAGCATATGGAGGATCCCGCCGGCTTCTGAGTTCCCTTCATATTTATTGATCATTCGTGGGTGTTTCTCAGAGAGGGGGATGTGTCAGGGTCACAAGACAATAGTGGGGAGAGGGTCAGCAGACAAACACGTGAACAAAGGTCTTTGCATCATAGACAAGGTAAAGAATCAAGTGCTGTGCTCTAGATATGCATACACATAAACATCTCAATGCTTTACAAAGCAGTATTGCTGCCTGCATGTCTCACCTCCAGTCTTAAGGCGGTTTTTCCCTATCTCAGTAGATGGAACGTACAATCGGGTTTTATACCGAGACATTCCATTGCCCAGGGATGGGCAGGAGACAGATGCCTTCCTCTTGTCTCAACTGCAAGAGGCATGTCTTCCTCTTATACTAATCCTCCTCAGCACAGACCCTTTACGGGTGTCGGGCTGGGGGACGGTCAGGTCTTTCCCTTCCCACGAGGCCATATTTCAGACTATCCCATGGGGAGAAACCTTGGACAATACCTGGCTTTCCTAGGCAGAGGTCCCTGCAGCCTTCCGCAGTGTTTGTGTCCCTGGGTACTTGAGATTAGGGAGTGGTGATGACTCTTAAGGAGCATGCTGCCTTCAAGCATCTGTTTAACAAAGCACATCTTGCACAACCCTTAATCCATTTAACCCTGAGTTCGACACAGCACATGTTTCAGAGAGCACGGTGTTGGGGGTAAGGTCATAGATTAACAGCATCTCAAGGCAGAAGAATTTTTCTTAGTGCAGAACAAAATGGAGTCTCCTATGTCTACTTCTTTCTACACAGACACAGTAACAATCTGATCCCTCTTGCTTTTCCCCACAGTGGTGGCCCTGCCCCTGTGGCAGTTTTCTCCTTGGGTTCCCAGGCAGTCTGATACATCCTTTGAAATCTAGGTGGAGATTTCTATGCCTTCCCACTAGTCTTGCATTCTGAAGACCTGCAGAAATAGCACCACATGCATGTGGACATTGCCAAGGCTTACTGCTTGTGCCTTCTGCAGCTACAATATGAGTCACATCTGGGGCCACTTGAGCTATGGCTGGAGCAACCAGGATGAGGGAAGCACTGCCCTGAGGTGGCATTGGGCAGCAAGCCCATGGAGGACACCCCAGGCCTGTCTCCTGAAACCATTCTTTCCTCCTAGAGCTCTGGGCCTGTGATGGCAGGGGTAGACTTGAAGATCTCTAAAGTGCATTCAGTGTTTGTCTCCCATTGTCTTGATGAATAGCTTCTGGCTTTATTCTATTCATACAATTCTCCTTATCAATCAGTCCCTCCTTAACAATCATTCCTTCAGACACACCCTTGGTTTCCTCTGTTGAAAATGCTCTTTCAGGGCCAGGCTGCAAAATTTCCTAATCTTTCCACTTAGCTTCCCTTTTAATTATAAATTCCACCTTTAAGTTATTTTTTACCTCTCACAGCTTTAATGTAAGCAGTTAAAAGTAGCCATGCAGCTGCCTGACTGCTTTGCTGCTTAGATATTTCTTCTGCCATATAGCCTAATAAAACCATCAGATATAGACACAATTCAGAGCCAAGTTTTTCACCCATTTATTACAAGGATGGCCTTTACTCCAGTTTCCAATTCCTTGTTCCTCAGACCTGAGACCTCAGCAGAACAGCCCTTACTGTCCATATTTCTATTGACATTCTGGTCCTGACCACTCAAATCATCACAAAGGAGTTCCAGACTTTTCCTAGTCTTCTTGACTTCTTCTAAGCCCTCACCAAAATCACCCTTTATCACCAGAATTGACATTTAAGGCAATACAGGCTTTTTCTCGCCTGCCTTTTTGAGTTCTTTTAACCTCTACCCATTACCCAGTTCCACAGCTGCTTCCACATTTTCAGATATTTGTTATTAGCAACAGCCCAACTTTTTAGTACCAATTTTCTGCCTTAGTCTGTTTCTTGTTGCTTGTAACAGAATGCCAAAAATTGGGTAATTTATGAAGAAACAAAATGTATCTCTTATGATTCTGGAGGATGAGAAGTCCCAGAGCATGGTGCCAGCATCTGGTGAGAGTCTTCTTATTGGTGGGCCCTCTGCTGAGTTCTGATGAGGTGCAGAGCATCATGTGACAAGAGGGCAAAGGGGTATGGCTCAAGGTCTCTGTTTCTCCTCTCAATGCCCCACCCTCAAGACCTCATCTAATCCTAATTACTTCCCAAAGGTGCCACCTCTCAAATACCATAGTTGGATTTACAGCCCTCTTAATACTATTACTATGGGGATTAAGTTTCAATATGAGTTTCAGAGAAAATAAACATTCAAACCATAGCATTGCCCATCTCTTTTACTCTCCTCCCTCCTCTTCTTTTCTGTACTCCACTGTCCCTGTCCAGAGGTTTTATTTAGCCACTCCACCTCAGCCCATCAGGCTTCCAATCAAAATCCCAGTTCTTCAGTGATCATTCAGATTTATTGTCCTGTTGTAATATCTGGAACAATAACAATCTTCTCAGGACAGTTGTTTTTTATTTGCTTCAGTTCCTTTTGAGAAAGTTATTCTGTGTCTTCTCACTTCCTTATATCTATAGCATACAAGTGTTTGAAAACATTCTCCTCAACCTCCTTTAAAATCATGGGGAGCCCAACCTCAGCTCCTAGCCAGAAGCAGAAAGTCAAAATTTGGCTGTCTTTCCTCCATAGAGCACTTTTGGTTTCTTTCCCACTTAGGAATTAAATTCCCAGCCAATAATGCCTACTTTCAGGCATAGAAGTCAAGACTTCAGCCCTACTCACCATATGCATATCTATCTTATTTGAAGTTCTCAGGAAGAACTTTTGTATCTACACTCATACTTTTTAATCCTTTTTAGTACATTGCTTCATATAGCTTTCTTGGTGGTGGTTGTACTTATTACAATATATACATATAACTTATCACAGTCTACTGGTATTGATGTTTTACCACTTTGAGTGAAGGATACAGTCCGTATCTCTAGTACCATTAGCATATTTTACCCTCTCTACTTTTTAAATGCAATTGTATTAAGTATTTCTTCCACATGCATTCCCATCCACAGTTTGGATATTTGTCCACTCCAAATCTCATGTTGAAATTTGATCCCCAATGTTGGAGGCAGGGCCTAATGGGAGATGTTTAGACCATGGGGGCAGATCCCTCATGAATGGCTTTGTGCTAATGTCATGATCCTAATGCTTGTTTTATTCCTCAATGTCATCATTGATTCAACCATAGCTTTTATTTTTAATTTGCTTTTTGTTTGTTTGTTTTCTTTTTTTTTTTTTTTTTTTTTTTGAGACGGAGTTTCGCTCTGTCGCCCAGGCTGGAGCGCAGTGGCGCGATCTCGGCTCACTGCAAGCTCCGCCTCCCGGGTTCACGCCATTCTCCTGCCTCAGCCTCCCGAGTAGCTGGGACTACAGGCGGGCACCACCATGCCCGGCTAATTTTTTGTATTTTTAGTAGAGACGGGGTTTCACTGTGTCAGCCAGGATAGTCTCGATCTCCTGACCTCGTGATCCGCCCGTCTCGGCCTCCCAAAGTGCTGGGATTACAGGCGTGAGCCACCGTGCCCGGCCTGTTTTCTTTTCTTAACTATTATTTTAAGTTCGGGGTACATGTGCAGTTTTGTTACATAGGTAACCTGTGTCATGGAGGTTTGTTGTACAGATTATTTTGTCAAACAGTTATTAAGCCTAGTACTTATTAGTTATTTTTCCTGATCCTCTCCCTCTTCCCACTCTCCACCCTCTGATAGGCCCCAGTGTGTGTTGTTTTCCTTTATGAATTCATGTGTTCTCATAATTTAGCTCCTATTTATAAGTGAGGACATACAGTATTCAGTTTTCTGTTCCCCCATTAGTTTGCTAGGGATAATGACTTTCAGCTTCATCCATGTCTCTGCAAAGGACATGATTTTGTTTCTTTATGGCTGCATAGTATTCCATGGTGTATATGTACCACATTTTATTTATCTAGTCTATCATTGATGGGCATTTAGGTTGATTCCATGTCTTTGCTATTGTGAATATGCTGCAATGAACATATACATGCATGTGCCTTTATAACAGAAAGATTTATATTCCTTTGGGTATATACCCAGTAATAAGATTGCTGGGTTGAATGGTATTTCTGTCTTTAGGTCTTTGAAGAATCTCCACACTGTCTTCCCCAATGATGAACAAAACCTCTGAGAAATATGGGGTTATGTAAAGAGACCAAATCTATGACTGATTGGTGTCCCTGAAAGAGATGGAGAGAATGGAACCAACTTGGAAAACATAGTTCAGGATATCATCCATGAGAACTTCCCCAATCTAGCTAGAGAGGCCAACATTCAAATTCAGGAAATGTAGAGAACCCCAATAAGATACTTCACAAGACTTTTATCCCCAAGACACACAATTATCAGCTTCCCCAAGGTCAAAATGAAAGAAAAAATGTTAAAAAATAAAAAATAAAAACAACTAGAGAGAAAGATCAGGTCACCTACAAAGGGAAGTCCATCAGACTAACAGCAGACCTCTCAGCTAAAACCCTACAAGCAGAAGAGATTGGAGGCCAATATTCAATATTCATAAAGAAAAGAAATTCCAACTCAGAGTTTCATAATTGGCCAAATGAAGCCTCATATTGAAGGAGAAATAAGATCCTTTTCAGACAGGCAAATGCTGAGCAAATTCATTACCACCAAACCTACCTTACAAGAGCTTCTGAAGGAAGCACTAAATATGAAAAGGAAAGACTGTTACCAGCCACTACAAAAACACACTGAAGTACACAGACCAGTGACACTATAAAGCAACCACATAAACAAGTCTGCAAATTAACCAGCTAACATCATGATGACAGGAGCAAATCCACACATATCAATACTAACCTTAAATGTAAATGGGCTAAATACCCCAATTAAAAGACACAGAGTGACAAGCTGGATAAAGAACCAAGATGTATTGGTATGCTGTCTTCAAGAGACTCATCTCACATGCAATGACACACAGGCTCAAAATAAAGAGATGAAGAAAAATCTACAATGCCTTTTTTCCTTAAAATTTGTTTTTTACATTAATAAATTGATATCATTTTTCAAAATTAGTATTTGCATGATATATCCTTTCTGTCTTTTACACTCAATCTCTGAAATGACTTTTATGCTTTAGACATATGTCTTGTAAACAGTATAATCTGAATTTGTATTTTTGCATTCAATTTGTCAATCTCTGTCTTTTGATCACAAGTCAAGTCTATTTGCATTTTACTGAAATAAATAACATATATGGACCTTTATATTATCTCACATTTTTCATTTCGGTCTTTTCCATGATTTCAATGACTTTTTTCCTGTTAGCCCATTTCTATAACCCATTCTAGCATGTGTATCAGGCTGGGATGGCAGGTGGATTCATTCTAACCTCTACCTTGAGATGTGTTTTCAGACTCTGTTAAGGTTTACGTTGCTCATTTCTGGCATCCTTCACATAAGAATTACTGATCCAGGCCCAGCCATTTGTAGATTTTGAGACATTGTTCTGGCTGTCTGCATATGGCCTGTCTCTGGACTTAACATCCCATGTCCTCACTCAGACTACATAACTTTAGACCCACCCTATTACTATGGACTCCCTGTCTATTTGTATTTTTTCAGCAAAACGTCTAAAAGTAATTATCAATATTCTTGAAACATTAACTTGATAGATTCTTGTAAAATCACATAATCTATTGAAAATTATATGGGTGCTCTAAACTATACCCCCTGGATAATCTTACCTGTACACAGTTTGAATAGATGTCCTTTACAGCTAGAATAATGATACTAGTTAAAATCAGAGGACTAATCCATGGGTAGATCATTTCAAAATTTACTCTGAGGCTTAAAAGGAAATATATTTTGTAAAGCAAGAAAGTATATTTTCCAAGATCCAATTAGCAATGAAGGCATCCTAATAGTATCTGGGATCCTCACATGTGAAAAAAATAAACTAGATTACAAAAGAGAGGACTTACATACACTTAGTTCTTGCAGGAGGAAAGGAACTATCTAGACGTTGTTATTTTGTTCAAAATAAGTATAAGTACAAAAATCTGTGGTAGTAAATCTAGTGCACTATTCTTACATGTGACACTAATAACCCAAGGAAAAATAATAAAATATTTCTGCTTCTTTTGAAATGAGCCTGTCATGGCCTGCATGGAAGTTCACTACTGATAAGCACTTTGTTTCTTTATTCCCTTACTCAGCTTTCCTCTTTTGTAGCTTCATAGCAAGAATCACAACCTAACACTGCATTTTATGTCTGTTTATTATGTGACTTTTTTTAGTTCCTGCTAGAATTAAAGCTCATAAAGGTAGGGACACATTTGCCTTTTTGACTAAGTTATCTGGAATAGCATGTAGCACTTAGTAGGAGCTAAATAATTATTTGACAAATAAATGGATACATTCATTGATGAATTTGATGTCCACATAAAGGCTATCTTTATTTAAATAAACCCGTTATTTCCATGAGTCACTTGCTCCTCCTGCTACATGTAGAGAACTATCATTCAGGATTTCAGTTGAGTTCTAAACAGTTGGATACTTCCACAATCAGGGATCTTCAATTCCTCCACTTGGCGTTTTATTCAACAGAAGTGCCTTTGGACATTCACACTTGATCTTCCAAAACCACATCAGCTTCTAGAACAATGCTTCTAGACAGTTTCTTAGTAACCCCTCAAAGACGTGATTTCACATTTTTATCAATGTATAATTTTATTTAAACTGAAATGACATAATATTACTGTGTCAAATATTATAGAGAAAGTTGGCCATCTTTGCATATGCTGTTTTCCATTTGAGTTTCTTCTGTGAATTACTGTTCATCTACTTTCCAATATTTCAACTAGGTTATTTAATCCATTGATTTGAGCAGTACTTTATTTCTTCCTTTGTGTAATATATGTATTGAAAAATATCCAAATATACTTCATAACTATGTTGCCCAAATTTTGTAATGCATACTAACAAATATCTACCTGTTATATTCATTTTTAAGAAATATACTAAAATGTAATAACTTGTACTTTTCCCATCCCACTTTGCTTTTCTAAGCAGTATTTATGTATTTCAACTTTTTTTACAGTTTAAATACAATATACTTAGGTGTAGGTTTTCTTTGTTTTTTTTTTAAATACAGGGATTACCTACAGAGGAACTAAACATAGTAATATAATAAAATTGCAAGAAGGATGCCAGAGACATAAAATTGTTGGTGGTCTAAATTATCTGCTTTCAGATAATTAGATAACTGATGTCTAAATTAATACCCCACATACACAAAGATACACATATTACCATTAAAAGTCATTGACCTGGGGATAATGCTAGTGGAGGAAAGGAATGGCATGAAGGGCTCTTGTTTTCATTAAAATACATCTTTATTGTTTAATCCTCAAACTATATACAGGTATCCTGATAAATTTAAAATACTGATTGCAAAATAAAATTTAATTCTTACTGAAATATCAAGAATGCTGCAGATGGTGGCAGGATGCTCAATGTGAAAAAGGATAGTGGCTTGCATTAGAATGACAGCAGCGAAGTTTGTTTTAAGCATGTAATTTTATAGTACCAATCTCTTATCTGTGAAAGCGTGTAAAAGACTGAGCTCTTCAGTTCTCAAACAAAAGCAGACTTTAACTCCTGCTCCAGTCATGCTTCTTTGCTTCTCAAACACCCATAACCACATCTCAGATTGCATCATATTTTGAACACATGGAAGGAAGAGTAAGGGAAAAAAGAGTGGCTGGGTTACCACCCTCAAGAAATGCTGATCCCTCAAATCTAGACCTGCCAAGGGGCCAGGAGAGAAGGGAAAGCAGCAGCTCCCTTGAATTTTTAAAGTGCAATGTCCCCACCTACTGGTGAAGATGACCCAGTTAACATCCCTACAGCTGTCAATGTCTTCCTAGGACATTGACTTCTTCTAGTAGAATCAGTGTGCTTCAGCTCAGTTTTACACCAGAAGATAAACAAAATATAAATCCAAGATTTTTGCAGTGCAGTGGAGGTCTCTGAGGGTGTTGCAATGAGAATTTTAAACACAAAGCTAGTTTTAAAATAACACCATAATTAGCAGTCCCTTTCCCCAGCATCTATCTACTCCTCACAGCTTCTGCTCAGATTGTCTTCTCTCCATTGTCTCTTCCATCGCCCTGTACAAATCTCCTCTCTTACACTGCATTTCCTGCCCACACCCTGCTTCCCCATGCGTTAAGTTAGCAGCCTTTTTTCCCTCTTGTTGTTTTCTGCCTTCTGATATTTCAGATAAGAAATCTGTTTCTGGGCCGGGTGCGGTGGCTCATGCCTGTAATCCCAGCACTTTGGGAGGCCAAGGCGGGTGGATCACCTGAGGTCAGGAGTTCGAGACCAGACTGGCCAACATCGTGAAACCCCGTCTCTACTAAAAATACAAAAATTATTCATTGGTCATCTACTTGGTGTCCAGCACTAGGTTATTCCTAAGTATCACTGAACTTTGTGATAACGCTGAAGATATGTTTGGAAGTTTCAGGAACCAGAAGAAGAACACGATTCAGGATGTTTCTTCTTGTGACATTTATTTAAATTCTCTGGTTCTTATATTTGAGGTTTGACTGTAGCTGGGGAGGGTAGGAGAGGGATGGGAAAAAGAAAATGGAAAGATATTCCCTGGAAAAGAAGATAATTGTCTAAGAATTGTTCATTTTTTCCTTGTCTTGGCACTATGAGACACTGGGATATAATATAAAAGGTAACAGATTTTGAGAAAAATGCATTTGTCCCGTAGTTGGAGAATTCGTTAAGTTTGTGACCCTCAACAAATCACATATTCTCTGTTAGCCTCAGTCATTTTAACTTTAAAGTTTAGATAGCTTCCATTTGGTGGGATTAATATTAAGATGAAATGAAATTTTATATATGAGACCTACTAATTGCGTATTCTGACAGAGAGCTACAACACCAAAGCTAAGCCCTGTTATGTGCTTCCACAGGGGACAAAATAGAGGCTGTGAAAAGTAGATAGTTGAGTAAAGCTCATTGAATTATTTAATCAGCTACTTCCATTCTTAACCATAAATCTTGCATAACCATTTAGAGGATGCTATCCTGAAAAAGATAATCAGTTTTACAGAGAAGTCTTGGTAGCTCTGAGGCTATTAATAACCCCAGTTACTACAGTAACAACCGGGAGGTGAAACAGATTAATCAGAGGTAAATAGGTTAAAATAAAGCTTATCGGAGTTCTGGGAAATCTCTATCTATCCCAGAGAAGAATAATGCATAATGAGTGATAAAATATTTGATTTTAAAAATTTAAATTACCCACAAATGATCTCCCATTCACAATTGCCACAAATAGAATAAAATACCTAGGAATATAGCTAACAAGGTAAGTGAAGAACCTCTTCAAGGAAAACTGCAAATCACTCTTCAAAGAAATCAGAGATGACACAAACAAAGTGAAAAACATTCCATACTCATGGATAGGAAGAATCAATATCATGAAAATGGCCATACTACCCAAAGCAATTTATAGATTTAATGCTATTCTTATTAAACTACCATTGACATTCTTCAAAGAATTTTTAAAAAACTATTTTAAAATTCACATGGAACCAAAAAAAGAGCTCGAAGAGCCAAGGCAATCCTAAGCAAAAAGAACAAAGCTGAAGGCATCACATTACCCAACTTCAAACTATACTACAGGGCTACAGTAACTAAAACAGCATGGTACTGGTACAAGAACAGACATATAGACCAATGGAACAGAATACAGAACCCAGAAATAAGACCACACACCTACTAGCATCTGATATTCAACAAATCTGACAAAAACAAGCAATGGGGAAAGGATTCCCTCTTTAATAAATGGTGCTGGGAGAACTGGCTAGCCATATGCAGAAGATTGAAACTGGACCTCTTCCTTACACCATATACAAAAATCAACTCAAGTTGGATTAAACACTTAAATGTAAAACCCAAAACTATAAAGACCCTAGAAGAAAACCTAGGCAATACCATTCAGGACATAGGCATGGGCAAAGATTTCATGATGAAGAGGCCAAAAACAATTGCAACAAAAGCAAAAATTGACAAATGGGATCTAATTAAAGTAAAGAGCTTCTACACAGCAAAAGAAACTACCAACACAGTAAAAAGACAACCCACAGAATGGGAGAAAATTTTTCAATCTATGCGTCTGACAAAGATCTACAATTCAGCATCTATAAGGAACTTAAATTTACAAGAAAAAACCCATTAAAAAATGGGCAAAGGACATGAACACATACTTCTCAAAAGAAAACATACATGTGGCCATGAAACATATGAAAAAAAGCTCAATATCACTGATCATTAGAGAAATGCAAACCAAAACCGTAATGAGATACCATCTCACACCAGTAAGAATGGTTATCATTAAAAAGTGAAAAAACAACAGATGCTGGAGAGGTTGTGTTGGTGGGAGTGTAAACTAGTTCAACCATTGTGGAAGACAGTGTGGCAATTCCTCAGAGACCTAGAGACAGAAATACTGTTTGACCCAGCAATCTCATTACTGGGTATATAACCAAAAGAATATAAATTACTCTATTATAAAAGACATATGCATGCATATGTTCATTGCAGCACTATTCACAATAGCAAAGACATGGAATCAACCCAAATGCCCATCAATGGTAGACTAAATAAAGAAAATGTGGTGCATTATGTAGCCATGAAAAGGAATAAGATCATGTTCTTTGCAGGGACATGGATGGAGCTGGAGGCCATCCTTAGCAAATTAACACAGGAACAGAAAACCAAATATCATATGTTCTCATTTATAGGTGGGAGCTGAATTATGAGTTTATAGTTCTCATTATAGGTGGGAGATGAATGATGAGAACTCTTGGACACATGGAGGGGAACAACACACACTGGGGCCTGTCGGAGGTAGGGGATGGGAGGAGGGAGAGCATCAGGAAGAATAGCTAACAGATGCTGGGCTTAATAACTAGGTGATGGGATGATCTGTGCAGCAAACCACCATGGCACACATTTACCTATGTAACAAACCTGCACATCCTGCACATGTACCCCTGAACTTAAAATAAATGTTGGAAAAAATATATTTAAATTACTATTATATTTATCAAAATTATTATATTTATTGGTATAACAGTAACAGTTATCCTTTTTAGACCTTAATATGTGCCAGACATATTGTACATTAAAATATATTATCACATGTGCTTTTCTTAACAGACTATGAGGTAATTATTATTATCTAAATTTTCAGATAAGGAAAACATCTTTCAGTTTGAGTACCTTGCCCAAGATCACAGCTCATAATTTGTTTTAATGATATACCTTAGATAATCAGTATTAAAATTTACATAATACTTCAGTCATTTACACTAATAAGAAAAGTATTTGAGCAAAATATTAAAAAAACAAAATTACATAATTTCAAATAACACAGCTTTTACTAACCCATTAAATTCATTACAAGGAACCAGTCTAAGGACTGTTGATTGAATCAAAAGAGTGATGGTGACATTCTCTTTCTAATTGTCTTGAAATTAATACAAAACACTAATTTATATCACATATTATTCATATGAATTTAGTTAACAACATATATTAATTGATTATGTATAAGTGCTTTCAAAATACTTATGATGTTTGAAAATTAGACACACATTCGTATTTTAATGCCCCAGTTACACCTCTCCCAATGTATTACTGAGTAATCTTTTTAATTTTTATTGCGCAAACAGAATCTCAGGTAAGTCTTTGAATTAATTAATGCTGGTGATTAGCAAATAAACACCCTTTATGTTTCATATGTCATGCACAATTAAGGACCTGAAATTAATTGAGGAGAATAGAGAACCTGCATTAACGAGACATTCCCTTGCTACCACTGTTGTAAGTATCCAGATAATTTGGGGGTTCATTATAGACATGGAAAAAGTATTTTGTATAAGGAGAATCTTCCCATGTCTGCCTTTGGTTTTGCTCTCTCCCCATTACCCTTAGTTTTATGATTTTCTCCTTTTTCAAATCTAAAGTGTTCACAGATCAATCTGAAGAATTCCATATGGATTCAACAGAAATTTACTAAATGCCTAAAATGTGCTAAAGATATAGACAAAATAACTGCCTCTGTTGTGTATGTATATTTTGGGGGAGGAAATACACTAAAATATTTTTTAATCAAATATTTTACCAGCCATTATGCATCAGTCACTCTCTAGGTGCCAGGAATGTTGCATGGAAGGAAAATGGGCATGGACTCTGCCTCATGGGGCTGAGACTGTAGTAGACATGACAAACAGTTGTCTTTTGTTTTCCTATCATGTTAAGATCTGGGAGAGCATTCCAGGCAAAAGAGAGTGCAAGGCTCTGGAGGACAGTGTGAGCTTCGTGAAAGAATAAGAAGGCCAGTGAGGCTGGAACAGAACGGGTTGGTTGGACAATTATAGGAGACAAGATTGGACAAGTACACATGTAAGACATGGTAAGGAGATTTGATTTTATCCTAATGGTAATCAGATCAAATATCTCTACCCTAACACTTCACTGTCACATTTCATAAAGATATATACAAATGTGAAATCTTCCAGTGAATTTTTTCTGCTTTTTTTTTTCTAAACAAACCTTCATATTCTCAAAACTAAGGAGATAGCACCCAAGAGCAGAACCTAAGGAGAAGCAAATAGAAAAAGAGAAATTAGGAAATAAGAAAGTTAGCAGTTTTCTTTGATAGCAAGTGGAGGAATTAAACATTCCTACACTGGGCTGGGTGTGGTGGCTCGCGCTTGTAATCCCAACACTCTGGGAGGCCAAGGTGAGAGAATCGCTTGAGCTCAGGAGTTCAAGACCAGTCTGGGCAACATAGTGAGAGCCCTATCTCTACAAAAACTTTAAAAAGAAATTAGCCGGGCCGGTGGAATGTGCCTGTCGTCCCAGCTACTAAGGAGGCTGAGGCGGGAGGACCATCTGAACCCAAGAGGTCAAGGATGTAGTGAGCTGTGTTTGTGTCACTGCACTCCAGCCTGGGTGACAGAGACCCTCTCAAAAAAAAAAATCCTACATTGGAAGAAAGGAGAAATAACTTCTATTTTTACATTACTAAAGGGGAAAACACGAAATACAAAGCTGTCACCTGGCTTCCGTCAACAGTGATCTGATGATGAACGGTGTCCCCTCAGAATATAAAGGTGTTCTTTGAACGTTCACAGGAGCGATACCTAACCCGGATCATAGAGGGTGTTTGTGTTCAGAGGACACTAAATTTGAGTCCCTGCATGCATCACACAAGTCTTCGCCCAAACTACCATTTGCAGGCTCACTTCTTAGCCCCACCCCTACTGAGAACGCAGAGCCATTTGCACGCTTCCTGTCCTTGGAAACGGAAGAAACTTCAATTACATGATGGCTTTATGCTACCTAGACCTCTTTCTTCAGTCTTTGGCATGTTCTAATCTCGGAGGCGACTTTACACAGATGGCAATAGCATTCGCAGCTTGGAGGTCTTTTACCAGTGGCTAAAACTTGATCCAACAGCCTCAGCCGGTTCCCCCTGACTCCAGCCCTCTAGATGCTTCTCAACATCACCTTCATCTCCTTTCCTTTATTCAGGACAGTCGTGCCAAGAAATGCCTAAGAGAAGGGTGACCCTGGAAATGTCTTGACTCTGGGAAGATCTTCTAACCACTCCACATGGTAATAAGCACAGTGTTGACAGGTGTGAGGACTGAAGTGGGAGATCAAAGAGGAAAAGCCACGAATGAGGGTGTGGGGGGCAGTCAAGAGAAGCTCCCAAGGGAGCATGATCTGTGTAAATGCAGATTCTCTGGGTATTGGAAGATCCTTGGGGACAAATGCCAAGAAGACACCAACTTCTTTTATCAGCATCTCTCAGAATCCATGCCCTGTGGGTAGTTATATGTGAATATCAGAATCGCCCTCCACTGCCAGGGAGACCCAAGGCTTAATCTTGTATCTAATTTGGAAACAAAAAAAAATGTATATGATGAAATTATTCTGTAGTTTTGCTTGTAGCAGCCTCAGTTATCTTAAATATTCCTCCAACACATTATTTTCTTTATTAACTGTTACTATGCCCATGGCATTCATCACTCTGACACTTTCATAATGGATTATGAGGCTTGTACTTGTACTGATTTATTTATGTATTTGTCTCTGTTTGTTTTTTAGAGATGCGGGGGGGTCTCACTGTGTTGCCTAGGCTGGTCTTGAACTCCTGACCTCTAGTTATCCTCCTGCCTGGGCCTTCCAAAGTGCTCAGATCATGGGCATGCACCCAGCCACATTTTTAACCTATATAAATAGAGATGGGGAGAAAAAACAAAAAACTCCAAAGCATTTTTCCTTCTGTCTTACACAGTTACTTCTGACATCAGGTATGTGGAGATTTTTCCCCCACACCAAGCAATTCTCCAGCAGACACCGGGTTCCTCTAAATCAATTCAATTCTGATACTATTTACCTAAAAATAGCATCAGATCCCACAGATTGAGGGATCAGTCATGCAAAACTGCCCCCTTCCCACTTCAGATGCCAGTTGCTATCACCTGTACTTCTGACCATCCAATTATAGATTGGAGGTTCCCACAAACCTTTCCTCAGGTTCAATTAATTTGCTAGAGCAGCCCAAAGAACTCAGGGAAACACTTACTTACATACACTGGTTTATTACATAGGATAAGACAAAGGATACAGACGAACAGATTGATAAAGAAAAACAAAACACATAGGACAAAGTATGGGGGAAAGAGTGCGGAGCTTCCACACCTTCTTCAAGAGCCTATCCTCCAGGCATCTTTCCGTGTTCTGCTATCTGGAAACTCTCCAAACTCTGCCCTTTTGGGTTTTAATGGAGGCTTTGTTATGTCAGCATGGTGAGTTGATTAAACCATTGGCCATTGGCAGTCAACTCAACCTTCAGCCCCTCCCTTCTCCCCAGAGATTGTGAGTGGGCTGAAAATCCCAACCCTCTAATCCTGCCTTGGTCTTTCTGGTGACCAGCCCCAGCCACCAGTCACCTCATTAGCATGCAAAAGACACTCTTATCACTCTGGAGATTCCAAGAGTTTTAGGAGCTGAAGGGCAGGAACCAGGGTCAGAAACCAAATATATACTTCCTATTATATCACAATATCACACACACTAGCTTGGGTCAATCAGTTGCATTAATTATTTGTGTATGATGTGAAGTACTCTTTTTAGTCACAAATTTATCTCTTTCAAATTACCAGGTAGGAAGTCAAAGGGAAAATTCTTTATTTCACTTTTGGAAAACTAATGAATAAACTAAATTAGTAATTACATGCTATTTCCACTTCTGTAAAAATGATATAGACCCTATATGCCTGTTATGAATAATAGATGAGCTTTGCAATGAAGAGCTATGCATGTTACTTTTTATTAGAATGAGTATGGCTTCAATTTTTATGTGACTATCAAAAGAGAAATATGGTTCTTTTTTCTAATTTAGAGTTTATCTAATAATGGTCCATGAGCTCTTGTGACCTCTCTTTAAACTAAGGTACATCTCACTGTTTCAACTCATGCCTCTGTGTCCTGCTCAGTGATTCACCATCTCCCTATACAAGAGATCCCCGACCTAGCAAGCTCATCTACAAACAAATATTCTTATTCTTGGAACAGAGTTGCCAAAAGCAGAGGCACACAGAAAAAAAAGTCTGTGTTTGAGAGCTCAGGAGAGAGAGGAGCCAAAAGAAACATCTACCAGCAGCTAAATGATTTGGTTCCTGAAGGGATTCGCTTCCATGAATAAGAATACGAGTAGGTACTCTCATTGGTACTTCTTCCTTATCTGTAGGTACCTGAGATGACTGTGTCCTCTAAAGCTTCTGTGATGCTAGATGCACCCAACATCATTTTCTATAATTGAGGATCGTAGCTTTCCCCTGTGATCCTCTGGCTCTATTGTGGGAAGATAGTCAAAAAATCATCTTTTAAAGTAGGAAATAAACTTCTTTTTATAGAATCAGCTCCCCTTCCTCTGCGCTTGTGGTTTCCATTACTATAAAAGAGAGCACTGAAGTCCAAAGAAAGTACTGTGTATTTCCCTTTTGGGGCCCTGATGTTCTGCCCATGGCATTCATGCCCCCAAAATTGTTTCATGCCACCATGAAATTGCCTCCACGTGGTGCCCATCTTTTTCCCTTCACTCATATTCTCAACATTTCCAGAACCAGAGAGAGAGAGACAGAGAAACAGAGAAGTTCTGACCTCAACACCACCTTTTCCTACAGAATATGTGGCACCCGTATTTTGTCAGAGAAGACAAATGCGTTGTTCCTCAGATTGGTAGGATTCATGGGCATTTCATCCTCATAATATGAGGTTGTATGCAGACAGTGCCTCCTGGTATCAAGAAGCCATGTGAGTTACACCACAGAGGAGAGGAAGTTAGGGGTTTCAAATATTTCAAAGAATAAGGAAGCTAAGTCATACTCAGAAGTTAACAAGAACTTTGGGGAGAGAGGAAGTCAAAATACAGAAATGCATTCAAAAAAAAGTTTAGGATGTAGAGGAGGATGGGATCACCATGAGACAGCCGTCCAATGCCCATGATAGTTCCTGTTACAGTAAGCCACATCTTCAGATAGAGAGAGAAAAGGCCACATGTATACTTACCTTGTATGAATGAGCACTGTTGTTTGATGAATTCCATCTCTTCCCCTCTTTTCAGTCCCTTCATCCTCATTGTAATAACAAGACTGCTGGTGATGTGGCCATGCAGAGCTCTTGTCCCTCATGTTCTTTCCACCTCGATCTTTCACTTTTCTCTATTTCTGCTTCTCCTGGTCCTACCTGGGCTCTCCCCAAGGGCTGCTCCTCACCGGGCAGCTAGTTACACGGCCACCACCACCCTGCCATCTACACAGAGGCCCTCCATCTCTCTGTGACCATTTTGATGAGATCTCTTTTTTTCATGGCATCCATCTTGGCAGTAGCAAGTTCATAGCCCAGAGTAAGAGGATTACCTGTTGGGATGCACAAAGGAATTTAAACCCCATTGAAATTTGTGACCCAAATCATTGTTTATGCTTAACAGAAATAGCAGCAATAAGATCGATTGAGGAATTATCTCACGTACTAAAACAGAAGACCTATCATTTTGTGGGAGGTAGTAGCCATGAATCCAAATCAAGCCTAGTAGTAGTACATTCCCCAGCGTGCTCAGAATATGCATAGAGAGTTTAAATCAAGGCGTAAGAGTTTCCAACCCTTCTATCTGTATGGCCAAGCCCCATTCATGTTAGTGCTGGAAGCATTCTTCCTGTATCTCATTGGTTTCTCGGGTACTTTTTCTCAATGTCTCCATTTAAAAACGTTTATATAGAGTTCTGGTTTCTGCTTGGGGATGCAGAGAACTGGAAACAATGATGCTTCCTTGCAACATGAAAGAAATCACACAAATTGCAAGGTCGCAATTTTTTTCAACCCATCACAGAGCTGGGATTGAGCTTCCAACTAGCTTGAAATCTAGGAAAGTTGTTGCCTGAGTGCTTGCTTACCTAAGGCAGGTACAGCTGGGCACTGGTAAGAAGAATTTAGCTGGAATCATTTAAAAATTGACTGAGGTCAAATGTGGGCTGGAAAGAGTACAGAGCCCCAGGGGCTCACGAGTATAGGGCGGTTCACACCTTCTTGCAAGCTTCGTATCCGGGAATGCCAGTGGGTGTTCACAAATAAAAAATGGGAGAGTCCTGAGAAGGCATTCCGCATGCTTTTCAAGGAAAAGAATAAATAGAAGTTAAAGGCTTTATACATCGATGTGCATCAAATGAGTTAATTAACAGAATATAAGGGAAGCAAAGACTTTACTATCTCATGTTGAGAGCAGACTACATACTCAAACCCTATTTCGTCTGTTTTTTGTTTGTTTGTTTGTTTGTTTGTTTGTTTTGAGATGGAGTCTTGCTTTGTCGCCCAGGCTGCAGTGCAGTGGTGCGATCTCCTCTCACTGCAACCTCCGCCTCCCCATTAGCAGGGATTACAGTCGCACACCACCACACCCGGCTAATTTTTTTTTTGTATTTTTAGTAGAGAAGGAGTTTCACCATGTTGGCCAGGCTGGTCTCGAACTCCTGACCTCATGTGATCTGCCTGCCTCGGCTTCCCAAAGTGCTGGAATACACGTGTGGGCCACTGCGCCCAGCCTCCTCCGTTAATCTATTATCATTCTTCTCTAATATTCTCAAACTTACTTAATTCATTAACGTGATATATGTTGACATCTCATTAAATATGTCTCTATTTATGACATACTCAACAACATGTGTGTAGTGTTATAAAATTTTAATTTATTTTATAAATATTTAACACTAACTGAGTGCCAGGCATTCTTCTATGCACTTAAATAGCAGACAGGCATGGTGGCCGACACCTGTAACCCCAGCACTTTAGGAGGCCGAGGCAGGAAGATCACTTGAGCCCAGAAGTTCAAGACCCTGTGGTTTCAGAGGCTGAGGTGGGAAGACCACTGGAGCCCAGGAGGTCAAGACTGCAGCGAGCCATTATTGCACCACTGCACTCCAGCCTGTGGGACAGAGGGAGTGAGACCCTGTCTCAGATGAAAGAAAGACAGAGAGAGAGAGAGGCATAGAGATGCATATGCACACAACGATTACATCGTAGGGCTGTTTAAATTACTCATTCTGGCTGGGGGTCTGTGCTCTAAACCACTATTGGTACGCTATTTCTGTGTGGCTGGTCTGGAAAGCTTCACACCACCCCCCTCTCCCTTCCCTGAATTTCCATATTCCCCCCAACCCTCATTATCCCTTTCAGAGTCTCGCAGGTTGAGGTGATGTGAGAGAGGAAGCAGAAGCGAAGGTTACGCGAGGAAAGCCCCTCGTTAAACTTGGGATTTTCACGGGGACTCAGTCCAGAGGAAGTTGAGAAAACCAACTTAAATTACGGTCTCGATCGCCATCTGGCGGTGGAAGTCCACATTACATCCGCGGAGCAATGGCTGGGAACGTTGCATAATAGAGCGGGGCTCAAATTCCAAATTAAGTTTCTGAATTTTTTCCATCTGGAATTTTATTTGATGATTAGTCTAGCATCGTAATGGTGTCCTTCGTGTTGACGTGAAAACCCAGTCTTCCTTCAGTTCATTTCCCGTTTATTAGGGATGCAAAACTCCAGCCACAGATGACCTACGACTCTGACTCCTTCCCCACCTACTTTACCCTCCCCTCCCCCAGTACATTCTGGGGCTAAACCCTAAGAGGTACCCATGCATCGCTGGGCCGATGATGAAAATGAAGAAGTCTTCTGATGAAGCGAGACCCCGGAAGTGCAGCTTCAGGCAAAATCCTGAGCGAATTCTTTGCTGCCAGGACAGTCCATAGGCTCTTACTCTTAGAAATTACGTAAGCATGAGCAGTCAACGCTGAAAAGCAGAGAATGTGGTTTTCTGGCGGACTCCAGAGGGAGACCAGGAAATCCTCTCACTTACAATCCATCAAGAGTAGTTCCTCCAAATTGAGTACAAAGTCTCTAAAGGCCAGCAGAGACAAGTAAGGACTTGTAGTGAGCTGCAGCTCACCACCCGGATCAGAACATAAAAGACAGGAGACCTCACGGCCTGGAGACCCACTAGAGCAAAATCTGCCATCCCAGGCAGGGAGGAGAATCAGGCGGAGGCCTGACATGGTGAGGCCTTGCTCCAAGTGGAGAAGGTGCATAAACTTAACAACTTTGTTATTGCCCTGAGGATGTGATGTGGCAAAGGGGACAAGGATTGGATAGATTGTCTTACTGATGGAAGTTGGTAACAAACAAGGCAAATCAAAAAAGAAGCCATGAGATCCAGGGAACTGCTGTACAGGGGACATGGCTGCATAATATTAGTATAGTAACTCATTATGCACTTGTGTGGCAGACAGTGGCTGAATTCTGGAGACGGAAAATATTAATAAGACACGGAGTCCTGCTTACCACCCAGGAGACATATTAGCAAACAAAGGGGCACAGCAGAAATGTGTGTAAAATTAGGACATTGAAGTCACAAACAATTAGGAAAATTTTCTAGTGGAAATGACATTCAAGCTGATCGAGGGTATATGGAGAATGGCTTCCAAGTCTAACAAAGCATGAGCGGCTTGGACACTTGGACAGGCTTCGAGGGAAGTGAAAGTCTTTCGGAATTGGTAAAATGGGTGGGTGACAGATGAAGCAGAGGGCTAGGGATGGATGCCTCACACACCAGGCTAAGGACTTGGGTCTTTGATCTGCAGTCAGTAGGACCAGTATGCAGACTGATAGTAAGGGAAGGGTCATGGGCAGCTTCACGTTTTAGAAAGACTACTCTGATGGGAAGAGTGGGTTAGAGGAGCATAAAATTGAAAGCAGAGAAAGCAGCGTGGGTAACTGTTAGAGTAACACAGACCAGACATGATGGGGCTCGAATTAAAGTAGGATCAGGGATCTAGAGAGAGGGTCAGAGACATGTGAGGGAGCAGATGCAACATGATGTGTCGTCATCCATTGTATATGGGAGAGAGGAGAAGGCGAGAGCAGAAGATGCTTGGGAGACCAAGTGGTTAGTAATTCCAGTCATCAAGAAAGGACAGTTTAAGAGAACATTCCATATTAGACATTTTGTATTTGTAGGGCCTGTGGGTCATCCAGATGAAACTTTACTCTGTGTGGTAGATGGAATAATGCCCCCAACTGCCACCCCTGAAAGATCTGAATCTATGAAACCTGTGAATCTGTTACCTTACATGGCAAAAGGGACTTTGCATTAGTGATTAGATTAAGGATCTTGAGATGGGGAGATTATTCTGGATTAGCCAAGTGGTCCTGATATAATTACATGGGTCCTTCTAAGTGAAAGAAAGAGGCAAGAGAATAGAAGAAGGAGATGTGATATTAGAAGCAAAAATCAGAGGAAAGTGATTGCTGGAAGGGGGCTACAAGCCGAGGAATGCAGCTGGTCGCTGCAAGCTGGAAGAGGCAAAAAACAGATTATCCGCTAAAGCCTTCAGAAGGGGAACACAGACAAGCTAACACCTTGATTAGCCCTGTACAAGTGTTAAAAGAAAAACTTTGAACAAATGAAATTTATTTTGATTTATTTGAGCAAAGCACAATTCATGAATTGGGCAGCATCCAGGACCAGAAGAGGTACAGAGAGCTCCACTGAGCAATAGGGGCAGGCAATATTTATAGAGAGAAAAAGGAAGTGGTATACAGAAGCAGCTTGTTTACAGCTCAGTATTTGCCTTATTTGATCATGGTCTGATCAGTTGGCAACCTGTGATTGCCTGAAGCTTGGCTGCTGTGTTTGCCTGAGACTCAGCTATTTATTACAAGAATATGCTCTTAAGTTAGGGTACAATTTTCTTACACATTAAGTTAGATTTCAGTATACTACGTAGGAATTCAAAGTACAGAGGCCGCTTTAAGCCAAATTTAATTTAATTTAACAGGACCCATTTTAGGCTTATAATTTCCAGAACTGTCCAACAATAAATTTTTGTTGTTTTAAAACACTAAATTGTGGTAATTTGTTACAGCACCAATAGGAAACTAATATATCCTGTAATCACGAAGCAATATAGCTCAAACCTCAGGCTTGGGGACCATATGGATTTGAGTTCTTATCATAGCTCCATCGCTTCCTACCCATATGAACTTGCGTGTCTTAATTAACCTCCCTAAGCCTCCACTTTCTCATTTGTAAAATGGGACTATCTACTAGAATTTCTGTCTGGAAAGAGGAATGGGGAGGCAGTGTGGTCAGCTGTTTTGCATAACAAGCCCTGTAGAAATACAGATGCTCCTTGACTTCAGGTGGGTTTGTGTCCTGATAAACTGCAAGTTGAAAATGCATTCAATACCCCTAACCTATCAAACATCATAGTTTAGCCCAGCCTACCCTCAACATGCTCAGAACACTTACATTAGCGTGGCTGACTGGGAGCTGTGGCTCACTACTGCTGCTCAGCGTCAGGTGAGAGTGTTATACCACATATCACTAGCCCAGAGAAAGACTGACATTTCAAATTTGAAGTACATTTCTTCCAGAATGTGTACTGCTTTCACGCCATCACAGCTGAACAATCTTAAGTGGAACCATCATAAGTCAGGAACCATCTGTATTTGATGTTTTAAACCATGTCATGTATAACTTTTTTAAAAAAAAGATAAAATAATTTTAAATATTAAAATAGGAAAATTTTAAAAAGAAAAAAGACATTTTTTCTTTTCTTTTTCTTTTCTTTTTTTTTTTTTTTTAGGCAGAGTCTTGCTCTGTCACCCAGGCTGGAGTGCAGTGACATGATCTTGGCTCACTGCAGGCTCCACCTCCTGGGTTCACACCATTCTCCTGCCTCAGCCTCCCGTGTAGCTGGGACTACAGGCACCTACCACCATGCCCAGCTAATTTTTCATATTTTTTAGTAGAGACAGGGTTTCACTGTGTTAGCCAGGATGGTCTCGATCTCCTGACCTCGTGATCTGCTCACCTCAGCCTCCCAAAGTGCTGGGATTATAGGCGTGAGCCACATTTTTTATTTTCTAAAATGAAAATGTTGATATTTAATTTTTAATCCCCTTCAAAAAAGCAACTACTCTGTTTATGAGATTTATAGAGAATTCCATATAGTTAATACTAAATACATTCCTACATCAGAATTTGTTTAATACAAAATCAATTATTTAGGTTAAAATGTTAACACTCTTCCGCTAAATTACCACTGCAATTGTGTAACTTCAAAATGCTCAGGATATTGTCAACAGAGGAAATAGAAATTGATCTTCTAGCACAATAGTCAAACAAAATTGACTATACAAGATTTTGGATGCTTGTTACACTGTTGACTCAAAACAATTCTAAACAACTCAATGTACTTGATGGACAGAATGTACTAAGAAACCAACAAAAGCAATTCATTTCTTACTTAGCTACATAAGCTAAGTAAGAAAATCGCAAATGCTGACATCCAAGGAAGCTTTCCAAGCATAGAAATAAACTCTGATAGATTATTTCAGATCCAGGATATTTGGAAAATAAATCAGATTGCCTTTTTGGATAATTCCTAAAGAATCACACAATTATGACTTTTGAATCCTTTATTAATGGAGGTTACAGCAGCCTAAATAACTTGAAAAGTGGGGTTGGCTCTCAAATAACATGGAGGGTTTGTTTTAGAGGAAACATGTAACACGACAGGACTCCAGAAGCACGTGCTTTAAGGTATAAGGACATGTACCCCTGGTGACAGAGGATGTATAAATATTGTGAGTCCAAATATATAGGCCACTTGTTTAAGAAAAAAAGACATTAGGAGTATAAAAAGGAATCAAATGTAAGTGCAAACTCATAATAAATCTAAACTACATGAGGCATAAATCCTAAATAAGTGCTTAAGTAGCTGAAATAGTATCACTTTATGTTGGAAACCTGAAAGGGACTAAATATATGACATAGAGTCCATATTTAAAAACTTCATGTAGGCATTAAATAGAAAGGATACAGCTCATTTGACAACCAGTAGAACAGGCAGCTATTTAAAGAAGCGTAATCCAAGTTAATGATGTACATATATGAGGTATTAGAATACGTAATTCAATGGCCATTCATGATAAAATGCTCAGAAAATGCAAATAGAGAGGAACTGCCTCAATTTGATAAAGAGCATCTGCAAAAAATCTTACAGCTAACACAGCGGTGAAAGACTGAAATTTTTCCCCCAAAGATCGGGAACAAAGCAATGATGTCCACTCTCGCCATGCTTATTCAACATGGCGTTGGAAGTTCTAGATAATGTAATGGGCGAGAAAAAAAAAAGGCGTGCAGATTTCAAAGGAAGAAATAAAAATGGATCAAAGTCTAATATGTAAAACATAAAGTCACAAAACTCTCAGGAGAAAATCTTCAGGATCTAGGATTAAGCAAAAAGCTTTTAGACTTGACACCAAAGGCATAATCCATAACAGGAAAAATTAATAACGTGCAACTACTAGTGGTTTGTCCTCACCAATTTGTATTTGAGGTTTATGGGGATACTTTGACACTTAGTTTTGTTGAAAATGTTAAGATGCTGTATTAAATTATACTTTTTATTTTGATATAATTGTTGATTCACAGACACTTGTAAGAAATGTTACAGAGATATCTCATGTACATTTTACCCAGTTTCCCCCAAGGATAACATCTTGTAAACTACAGTAAATTATCACAGTCTGGATATTGACATTGATATAATTAAAATAAAGAACACTTTCATCACTATAATATCCCTCATTTTGCCCTTTTGTAGCCACAGCCACTTCCCTCCCATTTCCACTTCTTCATTAACACAGCAATTATTAATTTCCATCTCTATAGTTTTGGCATTCCAGGAGTGTTATGTAAGTGGAATCATTTAGTAGACAACATTTTGCAATTTTTTTTTTCACTCAGCATAATTCCCTGGTGATTCATCCAGGTCGTGGTGCCTGTATCCAGTTTGTTCGTTTTTATTGCTAAGTAGTATTTCCTAGTATGGATATACCACAGTTTGTTTCCAGTTTTTGTCTGAATAAAGCTGCTATGAGCATACATGTGCAGATTTTTCTCTGAACATAAGTCTTCATTTCTCTGGGATAAATGCTCAGGAGTGCAATTGCTGGGTTGTATGGTGGTTGCATGTTTTGCTTTTAAAGAAAATGCCAAACTATTTTCCAGTGTGGCTGTACTATATTACATTCCCAGCAGCCAAATGTGAGTGATCTATTTTCTCTGCATCCTCACCAGGATTTGGTATTGTGCCTACTTTTTATTTTTAGCCATCATGATAGGTATATAGTAATATCTTATTGTGGTTTTAATTTGTAATTCTCTAATGGCTAATGACATTGCACATGTTTTCATGTCCTTATTTTGTATCTATGTATCCTTTTTGGTTCCATATGCATTTTAAAATAGTTTTTACTAGTTCTGTGAAGCATCTCAATTGTAGTTTAATAGGAATAACATTGAATTATAAATTGCTTTGGGCAGTATGGCCATTTTGATGATATTGTTTCTTCCTATCCATGAGCATGCAATGTTTTTCCATTTGTTTGTGTCATTTCTGATTTCATTGAGCAGTGCTTTTTAGTTCTTCTTGTGGAGATCTTTCACCTCCCTGGTTAGCTGTATTCCTAGGTATTTTATTCTGTTTGTGGCAATTGTGAATAGGACTGCATTCCTGATTTTGCTCTAGGCTTGACTGTTGTTGGTGTATAGAAATATTAGTAATTTTTGCACATTGATTTTGTATCCTGAGACCTTGCTGAAGTTGTTTATCAACTTAAGAAGTTTTTGGGCTGAGACGATAGGGTTTTCTAGATATATGATCATGTCATCTGCAAACAGGAATACTTTGACTTCCTCTTTTCCTATTTGGCTGCTCTTTATTCTTTTCTCTTGCCTGATTGCCCTGGCAAGGACTTCCAGTACTATGTTGAATAGGAGTAATGAGAGGGGGCATTCTTGTCTTCTGCCAGTTTTCAAGGGGAATGCTTCCAGGTTTTGCCCATTCAGTATGATGTTGGCTGCGGGTTTGTCATAGATGGCTCTTACTATTTTGACGTATGTTCCTTCAATAACTAGTTTATCAAGAGTTTTTAACATGAAGGAGTGTTGAATTTTATCAGAAGACTTTTCTGCATCTATTGAGATAATCATGTGGGTTTTGTCTTTAGTTCTGTTTATGTGATGAATCACATTTACTGATTTTTATATGTTGAACAAACCTCATATCCCAGGGATAAAGCCTACTTGATCATGGTAGATTGGCTTTTGGATGTGCTGCTGGATTCGGTTTGCTGGTATTTTGTTGAGGATTTTTTGCATCAATGTTTATCAAGGATATTGGCCTGAAGCTTTCTTCTTTTGTTGTGTCTCTGCCAGGTTTTGGTATTTAGATGATGCTAGCTTCATAGAATGAGTTAGGTAGGAGTCTCTTCTCCTCAATTTTTTGAAATAGTTTCAGCAGGAATGGTACCATTTCTTCTTTGTACACCTGATAGAATTCAGCTGTGAATCCATTTGGTCCTGGGTTTTGTTTTGTTTTGTTTTGTTTTGTTTTGGTAGGCTATTTACTACTGACTCAATTTCAGAGCTCATTATTAGTCTGTTCATAGATTCAATTTCTTCCTAGTTCAGTCTTAGGGGGTGTATGTGCCCAGGAATTTATCCATTTCTTCTAGATTTTCTACTTTATGTCATAGAAGTATTCATAATATTCTCTGATGGTTGTCTGTATTTCTGTGGGGTCAGTGGTAATACCTCCTTTGTCATTCCTAATTGTGTTTATTTGAATCCTTCTCTCTTTTCTTCTTTATTAGTCTAGCTAGAAGTCCATCTATTTTATTAATTATTTCATAAAACCAGCTCCTGGATTCATTGATCTTTTGAATCATTTTTGTGTCTCAATCTCCTTCCATTCAGTTCTGGATTTTGGTTATTTCTTGTCTTCTGCTAGCCTTGAGATTGGTTGGCTGTGATACTCTAGTTCTTTTAGTTATTATGTTAGGTTGTTAAATTGAGATCTTTCTAAGTTTTTGATGTTGGCATTTAGTGCTATAAATTTCCTTCTTAACACTGCTTTAGTTGTGTCCCAGAGCTTCTAATGTGTTGTATCTTTGTTCTCACTCATGTCAAAGAGTTTCTTGATTTCTGCCTGAATTTCATTATTTTCCCAAAAGTCATTCAGGAGCAGGTTATTTAATTTCCATGTAATTGTACGGTTTTGAGTGAACTTTTTTGTCTTGGTTTCTAATTTGATTGTGCTGTGGTCCAAGAGATTTTTTCTTATGATCAGTTCTTTTGCATTTGCTGAGGAGTGTTTTACTTCTAATTATGTGATCGATTTTAGAGTATGTGCCATGTGACAATGAGAAAAATGTATATTCTGTCTTTTTGGGGTGGAAAGTTCTATAAGATGTCTATCAGGTTCATTTGATCCAGAGCTGAGTTCAGGTCCTGGGTATCTTTGTTAATTTTCTGTCTTGATGATCTGTCTAACATTGTCAATGTGGTGTCAAAGTCTCCCACTATCATTGTGTGGGAGTCTAAGTCTCTTTGAAGGTCGTTAAGAACTTGCTTTATGAATCTGGGTGCTCCTCTTTTGGAGGTATATATTTTTAGAATACTTAGATCTTTTGTCGAATTGAACCATTTACCATTATGTAATGCCCTTCTTCATCTTTTTTGATCTTTGTTGGTTTAAAGTCTGTTTTGTCTGAAACTAGTATTGCAACCCCTGCTTTTTTCTGTTTTCCATTTGCTTGGTAGATTTTTCTCCATCTGTTTATTTTGATCCTATGTGTGTCACTGCATGACACACATGAGTCTTTTGAAGACAGCATACTAATAGGCCTTGGTTCTTTATCCAGATTACCACTCTGTGCCTTTTAATTGGGGCACTAGCCCATTTACATTTAAGATTAGTATTGATATGTGTGGATTTCATCCTGTCATCATGATGTTATCTGGTTATTTTGCAGACTTGTTTATGTGGTTGCTTTATAGTGTCACTGGTCTGTGTACTTCAGTGTGTTTTTGTAGTGGCTAGTAAGTCTTTCCTTTCCATATTTAGTGCTTCCTTCAGGAGCTCTTGTAAGACAAGTCTAGTGGTAATGAAATTCCCTCAGCATTTCCTTCTCTGAAAAGGTTCTTATTTCTCCTTCACTTTTGAAGATTAGTTTGGCCAGATATGAAATTCTGGGTTGAAATTATTTTCTTTAAGAATAATAAATGTTGGCCCCAGTCTCTTCTGGCTTGTAGAGATTCTTCTGACAGGTCCACTGTTAGTCTGATGGACTTTTCATTGTAGGTGACCTGGCCTTTCTCTCTAGCTGCCAACTGTTTTTCTTTCATTTCAACCTTGGAGAATCTGATAATTATGTGCCTTTGGAATGATCTTCTTGTGAAGTATCTTACTGGGGTTCTCTGCATTTCCTGTATTTTAATGTTGGCCTCTCCAGCTAGGTTGGGGAGATTCTCATGGATGATACCCTGAAATATGTTTTCCAAGTTGGTTTCATTCTCCCCATCTCTCTCAGGAACACCAATGAGTCATAGATTTGGTCTGTTTACATAATCTCATATTTTTCAGAAGTTTTGTTCCTTCCTTTTCATTCTTTTTTCTCTATTCTTGTCTGACTATCTTATTTCAGAAAGCCAGTCTTGAAGTGTGGAGATTCTTTTTTCCACTGGGTCAGTTCTGCTATTAATAGTTGTGATTGCATTATGAAATTCTTATAGTGTGTTTTTCAGCTCTATCAAATTGGTTATGTCCTTATCTATACTGGCTATTTTATCTATCAGCTCCTGCATTGTTTTATCATAATTTTTAGCTACCTTGGATTGGGTTTCAATGTACTTCTGTAGCTCAATGATCTTCATTTCTATCCTTATTCTGAATTACATATCTGTCATTTCAGCCATCTCAGCCCAGTTCAGAATCCTTGCTCGAGAGGTGATGTGGTCGTTTGGAGAACAGAAGACACTCTGGCTTTTTGAGTTGTCAAGGTTCTTGCCTGATTCTTTCTCATCTTTGTGGGCTTATTTTCCTTTAATCTTTGAGACTGCTGACCTTTGGACAGCAAAGATCATCCAACCTTTTTTATTTATCCTATTTATCCTATTTGATGACTTTGAGGGTTTGATTGTGGTATAAGGTGGATTCAGCCAACTGACTTCATTTCTGGACAATTTTATTTGGCCAGTATTCCACTCCCAACTCCTGGACTGCATGCTGTAATTCTTTGGGACTTGTACGGGGCCCTGACTTTGTTCTCTGTTTCCTCAGAATTAGGAATCCGCTGTGATGGGCGGGGGGTGGGGGAGGTGGCAGGAGTGGTGCAGTCCGAAGTGCTCCCAGACCACTGGTCACTACACTCCAATGAGTGGTGTCAGCCAAAGTGTTTCATAGTACAGTGACAGGAGGATCTGTCCTTGTTTGAGTGTACCAGCAGCAGTGGTAGTTGAAGCTGCAGCAGAGTACTAGCAGGTGCCGGGGTGCCCACCTCCCTGCAGGCATCCACCACAGTGGCAGAGGCAATGCAACTGCAGGAAAGGAAGGGGGTCCCCTGCTGGCAACTGTGTGTGTGGTCACACAGGAAGTGGTGTTGGCTTAGGGGCAAGGCATTGGCAGGTGCAGGTCTGCGTGCCTTTTCTGTGCAGGAGTGGTCACTCAGGGTGGGGGAGGATCAGCTGTTCTCTGCACAGTGTTAGCACAGGGTGGGATGATGGAGGGAGTGGGGCTGGCTGGCTCTGTGCCCACCAAGGCTCTGTCTGCAATGGCTGTCAGGAGGGAATTGGTGGGGGGTGAATTACACTCCTATATGCTGGTGAGGCAAGGAAAACAAAACCCACCCAGCAGACATGTACCAGCAAAATGATGTGGGGAGTTGCTGTGGGCCCAGAGGAAGCTGCAGTGTGGGGAGGGAGCATGCAGGCTGGTGCCTGGTCATAGGGGCCTCCTCGTTGGAGCTCTCCACTTACTGGTCAGTCATGGTCTGCCAGTGTAGAAGCTATGGTGCAGGCCCACAGAGCACCTGAGGCTGCTTTGCAAGCAGATGTGGCCAGGCCAGGGCCCCAGGAGAGGCCAGAAGACCAACGGTTGCTCAGGTAGAACCAGACTCATCTGATGGGCAAGACCACCCTACAGATTTCAGGACCAACAGTTTCCCTAGGGCTAATGTCTCCTATGGGAGTAAGTTGAGCCTAGGGAAATGGCCATCCCTGGCCATGCTCCACTGCAGATGCTCCTGCACTGAATCCTCTAGGCTCCACACCCGCTGGCTTGCCACCCCTACGGCTTCTCTAAGCAGCTCTTCCTGCCAACTCAAGTGTCCATGGTGGTCAATGGGTCTCCTCCTGCCATGGTTGCAGAGGTCATAGTGACAGTGGGTTGTTCCTTGCCAGTTCAACTCACCCATTTTCCTGGAGCCATTGGAGGACAGGAATGAGTCTGGATGTGCTGTAGCCCCATGTAGGGCTCCCAGCTTTCTCCCACTTCAGTCCAGCTTCTGTGTCTTCCCTCTGTCCACTCTAGGTGCCTTCTGTCTGAACATCTGTTAGGAGCACGCCAGTCATCTGGGTTCCTCATTGAGAACTGTTTCACCTGGCTGCATCTAGTCAGCGATCTTGCCCTCCCCCCAACCAAGATACATTCCAATAAAACTTGTGGATACTAAAGAAAAAGAAAATACCATCTGGATACTCAGCAAAAGTAGCAATGACTTATTAATAATTAGATTATCATCAGACTTTTTGATAGCAGTTATGTGAAAATGTAGTAACTTTTTAAGATACTCAAGAGCGGAAAATGGAACCAAGATTTTTATAGCCACAAAACTGACTTTCGACTATGAAGTGCAAGAACTTCCTGGTGTGGACTGTATATGCCGTCCCAAAATTCATATGATGAAATCGTAACGCCCAAGGTGACAGTACCAGGAGGTGACGCCTTTGGAAGGTGATTAGGTCATGAGGGTGCAGCCCTTATGAATGGCATTAGGGCCCTTATAAGGGAGATTCCAGATAGCTCCCTTTCCTTCTGCCACATGAGGTCTTAGTGAGAAGATGCTGCCAGCAGGCCTTCACCAGAACCCTACCAGGCTGACACACTGATCTCAGACCTCCAGCCTCCAGAACTGTGAAAAATACATTTCTGCTGTTTTTAAGCCATCCAGTCTCTGGTAGTTGGTTATAGCAGCTCATACAAACTAAGACACTTTCCTAAGTCTTCCTGAGGCACCTAGGAGAAATAGTTTCAAACAATCATGATGACTACATCAGTAGCTTATAATTCTTTTGATATCAGGATCCCTTTTTATTCATAAAATTGTTGAGAACACCAAGAAGCTTTAGTTTACATGGGTTATGTAAAGTGACATTTATATTAATTTATTTGTTATTAAATAACAATAACAAACCCATTACATGTTAACATAAACAACACACTTTTATGGAAAATAGCTGTCTTCTCCAGCACAAAAAAATAGTGAAAAAAAAGGAATTATTTTACATTTGTAAAAATCTCTTTAATGTCTGGCTTAATAAAGCTAGCTTGGTTATATATTCTTCTACATTCAAGCTGTAACAATATGTTGTTTTGGCTAAAGCACAAGAGGAAAATCTGGCCTCACTCTTATACACAGTTGGGAAAAGAAGGAAAGTTTCCATAACCATTTCAGCTATCGTAACTGTTCTTCCTTGATAAGACACCAAAACTCAAGAAATGGCAGATTCTTAAAGGTTAGTTGCAGTGTGGAATCTGAAACCTTATATATTAACTTTTCATATTCTGTTGTGTTAAAATTCACTAGTCTATCTTTAAATGGATCTTTATGCATGACTTTGCAATATCATGCATTGATTATTTGTAAATTATTGATTCATGGGTTTACGCAGATTTTTAAAATGTTGACATATTTTATTAAACAATATTTTTTAAGCCATATTTGTTAATATCACCACCAATCTCATCAGAAACATCTTTAAGTAGTGAGAAGCTGTGGCACACGTAAGTTTTCCAAAATTTTAATTTTCTCTTGAAATTCCAATTTCCACTGTCAATATTATTTTCTTTGATGGGATAGGCTCATTTTGTTTATTTTTGAGAAAATTTCTACCAAATACCCAAGTCTGAATAATCACAGTGTGCCTTTCAGTCATTCTTTCAAGGAAAATGATGACCCACTAAAAAAAAAATGTTTAACTTCACTCACAACTCATGCAATTACATAATGGCTTTTCCACAGGACAACTGCCTTTCCATCAGTATGCACCAGAAATGCTGCCTATGTTCTTACACTGACTATTAAACAGATGTGTGCTTGAGGTTTAAAATTTAGTAAACTAATGATTTTATTGCTTCATCAAGGTCACTGGCTTTTGCTTTTTTTTTTTTTTTTTTTTTTACTGTAAGCTTATGGCAGTGAAGAACATGACCTACCTGTACAGCTTGGTGTCACCACCTTGATTTGTGCTCAGGCACTAACAGTTTCACGTGACCACCATAGATTTCTGTACCAATATGTAAATAATACAGTGAAAAAGGCAAATAACATCTTAGTATTAGTACAAAAATAGCTTGACTTCATAGGCCCCTTGAAGGGTCCCAGGGACCCCCAGGAATCCATGGACCACACCTTGAAAACCACCACATGACAGGGATATCAACATAAGGAATGATGGTGAGCATTAAACATATCTCTACTCACAGAACTAAGACTAACAAGGGAGCAAGTAGTCTATGCAATGGTACAGGATCAACTAATATAGACATAGTTCAACTAGAAAGCGGGGGAGAACATAGGTAAAAAGGGAGAACACAGGTAATAGGGAGAATGTAGGTAAAAAGAATTTCAACCGTTTTCAGTAGCCATTTTGGTGGTTGTGTATGAGTGTTATTATCCTTAGACTGCTGTCTATGTTAACTCAGGAAAAGCAAATAAGTATGGACATTCTAATTGTGTCTGTCCCTGTGTCCTTGAAAACCAGAGTTCTTGGTATAAAAGAAAGGAGATGCAGAAGTAATATAGAGAAGACTGATTTTTTTTTAAGATGGAGTATTGCTCTGTCACCAGGCCGCAGTGCAGTGGTACAATCTTGGCTCACTGTAACCTCCACCTCCCAGGTTCAAGCGCTTCTCTTGCCTCAGCCTCCCGAGTAGCTGGGACTACAGGCGCGTGCCACCACACCCAGCTAATTTTTGTATTTTTAGTAGAGACGGGGTTTCACCGTGTTGCCCAGGATGGTCTCAATCTCTTGACCTCGTGATTCGCCCGCCTCGGCCTCTCAAAGTGCTGGGATTACAGGCGTGAGCCACCGTGCCTGGATGACTGATTTTTTTAAATGTATACATGTATAAATGTTTTATTGCCATTGAACAGGCTGGACACAATGACCATTCCTATCTATTTAGGCTCCCCCACTGCCCCTCTCCCTGCTTTCTTTCCATGTCCTGACCGAAAAATCACAGAATGCCTCTGTGACCCAGCCAGCTGCAGGTTTTTCCCAGCAGGCTCGAACCCAAGCCAAGGCCTTGAACACTCCCAGGCACTGATAAACGTATCTAGGTTGTTTCTCTAAACACTGAAACTTTGTCCCAGCCCTGAGCCAGGTTCCTTAAACCTTCATATAAGCTCCATACCCTGACCCCCTCGCTGCAGACATACCTAGGCAGAACATCCCTTTTCTCTTGCTGTCTGCAAGGACTCCTGAAGCCCTCTGTAGGTAAATTCCCTAAACAAATGTTTTGGACTGATCACCCTGGCATTTAGTGCTTCTTTCTTTGAATCCTAACCCACACCATCTCAGAATGGTTTCAGGAACTTCCTTGTGGTAACTCCCTTGACGCCACTTTTGAGGTGACTCCAGCAGCGGGTTCAGTGGGACAAAACACCCTAACGCTGGATTATAGTCTTAAATGTCATTTCCCACTAAACTAAACCAGGGATTTCTGGAAAAATGGCTACCTCCAGGTCTGGCCAAGAAATGAACAAGATGAACCAGAAACATGTTGTCATCCCAGATAACAAAGAAATTATCAAAAGAAATTTGCGTCAAAAGAACTCAGTTTCATTTTTAGCCACTTGAAGAAGTTTTCACTCACCAAAAATGTAGGATATAAGCTTTAACAAGCATAAAAATTGCAATAGAGTAAAACCTATCAAACATTTAAATCCTTCTGTTTATAATTATTTAAAGAATGAAAAGTAAAACCTGATTGGCC